>NC_000012.12:132918326-133265309 GCF_000001405.40 Homo sapiens | reverse complement strand
CTAACCCTAACCCTAACCCTAACCCTAACCCTAACCCTAACCCTAACCCTAACCCTAACCCTAACCCTAACCCTAACCCTAACCCTAACCCTAACCCTAACCCTAACCCTAACCCTAACCCTAACCCTAACCCTAACCCTAACCCTAACCCTAACCCTAACCCTAACCCTAACCCTAACCCTAACCCTAACCCTAACCCTAACCCTAACCCTAACCCTAACCCTAACCCTAACCCTAACCCTAACCCTAACCCTAACCCTAACCCTAACCCTAACCCTAACCCTAACCCTAACCCTAACCCTAACCCTAACCCTAACCCTAACCCTAACCCTAACCCTAACCCTAACCCTAACCCTAACCCTAACCCTAACCCTCACCCTGACCCGGACCCCGGACCCGGACCCCGACCCGGACCGGGACCCTGACCCTAACCCTAACACTATTAGGGTTATTATGTTGACTATTTTCATTGCTGTCTTAGCACTGCACGGCAGTGTGCGGATTGCCGATCTTATATTAATATTTTGTTTTGAGGCAGTGCATTAGCATTACAGGTGCTTGTTACATGAGCAATGGGGTGTGTTATATTTTCGGTGTCATGTCTGCATTTGTAATGCTGCATTTGTGTTCCAATGCTACGGTGTGGATCTCCCACTGCTGCCGCCTCACCTTGGCTGGGGAGAATCTCGGTGCGCAGGATTCAGAGGGGCTTTTGATTTCCCGTTTTCCACACTGAACCCTTCTAACTGTTCTCTCACCCTGAATATTCAGCGCTGCAAACAGAAACGATTGTATTCACCATCAATGAAGCCCCGAGTCGTGCCAAAGCGAGGCAGTGCCCCCAAGGTCTGTGCTGAGGAGAACGGTGCTCTGCCTTCGTGGTGTCTCCTGGGTCTGTGGTGAGCAGAATGCCGCTCCGACCTCGCGGAGCCCCCGTCCCACCCAACCGCCCGCGTCTGTGCTGAGGAGAATGCTGCTTCGCCTCCGCGGCACCCCAAAAGGCTGTGCAGAGGAGAACGCAGCTCCGCCCTCGCAAAGGCCCCCCGCGCCGGCACAGGCGCAGAGAGGCGCCCCGCGCCGGCGCGGGGCGCAGAGAAGATCTATGGCAAGTAAACGTGCAAAAAGATGCTCAACATACTAGAGAATTGAAAACCACAATGAGATAGCACAGCTACTCTATAGCTCTTAGAACTGCTAAGCTCTTTTAAAAATGACAAATTGCTGCAGGAAAAACAAGAACTCTTTTCGTTGCCTGTGGAACACAGTGTATAAGACCAAAATATGCCACCCCAAAATATAATGGTAGGTAACCAGAATATGCTGTCCCAAAATATGTCCCTTTGGCTTAAGAATTATTCCAAGCTATTTTAAAAAAAATGCTAACAAAGTTCTGAAAACAGAGTAGAAGTTACCCTTGTGTAAGGAAAATTTACATCTATAAAGGAAATCCCCATTTAAAAGCTACCTCTGTCGACATCAAGAAGAGAAGGATAAGTAAATCACTAGAGTCTTATCAATGGAGAATGCATAGACTTCAGTCTGTATAACAAACCTTACCCTTGTCTACTGTGCTTTTGCTGGTTAGATCCCCACTACTGCACCTCAAATCTTCTTTCTTTAAGTTGAAGATAGTATTTATGCTTGAATTGAAAGCCACCTGTTGGAGATTTACTCGTTTTTTCCTGAGTATCTCCCATGTATCCATAAGGTATACATGTTTTTAAACTTTTCTATTTTTCTAATTTTAATCCGTCAGTTTTTACAGAGGGTCCCATCTAAGAATTCTGAAAACATAGAAAATTATTTTTCCTCCCCTATTACAACTTGGGCATTTTTTCCCCAAAGCTAAACAAGTCTCACCTTACAATCCAAAAATCACATTCCTAAGTATTTTGACAACTACTTTGATGTTATTTCCGATCAAAAGCTACCATGCCATTATTTACAGAAGCCCTATTCATAATGACCAGAGGAAAAAAAAGGAATCAGAAAGTCTTACAATAGATGACTGTGTGGGAATCCACTCTGACATCAAAAATTTTTACACAGATTATTTAAATGAAAACATTTGAGATACTGAAGATAAAGGAAGAAATCTTACCAGAACTTACTTTATCCAATTAAAGCAGAGCTCCCAGAAAAATACAGCTGCATTAACCCCATCCAAGGAGTTTCTTGCAAATTCAGCTGCCATGAAGACAGTGTACTCTTTCCCATTAGCATTGATAAATGAAAATGAAATCCTAAGCTCCCAACTGACTGAACAGACCCACTCTTGGCTGAGGGGACCCCAGAGTAACTTTCAAAACTGAGTTCTCAGCTTTGCTAGGATGGGATGATGGGGGTCAGATACACATCGTTATACCCCCTCCTTTGCTAACCATGATGAGGCTTTCTTCCCTAAGGATTTAACAGAAACCAGCCCTTCCAAAGGCTACACCACTGATATCAACCTCTCCTTTCTTGCCTGATAAGAGACCACCCATGATGGAGAGGTTCTGGCCAGCATACAGAGGATGCACAGAGCGAGTTTTCATGTACTCTGCTTCACCTTTTAATGTCAGAGGGCTGAAAACTCCACCATGGGATCATGCTAACACTGCCATTTTTTGTACATGGGACCCATGAAGAAGCAAGAAACTCAATTAAAGCATGCATGCATTTCTCCTTCCATAAATATTCATGACTCCTCCTAGAGCATATTAAATAAATGTATTTGGCCATTCCACTCAGCATAAATTACTATTTCCTTTGCATCCTCCTTGAAGCATCCGTTTCTGGCTTCTGCCTGGAAGCTATGCTTCCCAGTCTGTCAGAAGGACAACCCTGAAGGCTGCAACCCTTTATAGGAAACAAATCTCTCACTGGTTGTGATGGCTCATGCCTGTAATCCCAGCACTTTGGGATGCTGAGGCAGGTGGATCACCTGAGGTCAGGAGTTTCAGACCAGCCTGGCCAACATGATGAAACCCTTCCTCTTAGAGGAAGAAAACCTGCAGGGAGGTAACATCCAAAGGAGAGATGCTGAGGGCTGAACCAGAGAAGTAGTGGTAGGGAAATGGGGAAGGGGACAGGCTAGGAAATACTCAGAAATAGAACTGTAGATGCTGGTGACTGATCAGGTGTTAGAGAGGGAGGCCAAGACCCTTAATCCAAACCTCATGGATTAAGTTTGAAGGGCCTGTGGATCATTCAGCTGGGGAAGTCCAGGTAAAGAAGAAGTTATAGGGGAGCTCAGAGCAGGGCCTGGGCCTCCAGCCTCTTCTGGACAACAGCCACGTAGAGCCAGTGAGCTGAGGGCTGTGAGGAGCAGGGTGGAAGGTAGGGAGGGGTTACATGAAGTTGCATAAGGGTTATTTTCTTTGTAGAATTTTTTTAAGATAGGAAAACATGACAGTCTTTATAAATTGGAAGAAAAGTACAAGTTGTGAAAGGGAGAGGTTGAATCCAGAGAGGGGAGGAGTAAATTTGGAGAAGAGAGACAGTGCTCAGGTGAAATGCGAGGTGAGTGGAGAAAGCTGTGTAGATGGAGATGAGTTTGCGGGGAGGGGCAGGAGGTGAGAAAGCCTCTTTCTTTCTTCACAAAGCAGGACACTTCTTCAGATCTCATTTTCAGTTTTGCTTCTTTTAAATTATTATTCTTATTTTCAAAGCAAGCTGAAACTTCACTCATGAGATTGTTCTTTTCCCAGGAGTCATTGCAAGGTGAATGTTTACAGCTAATGTCAAAGATCTCTTGAGCCTTGATAGCTAGTCTGTATTTGGCAAGACTTCAATGTTAGAAGATTTAAGATACTTTTAGTCTGAGTAACAATCACAATTAACTCATTTACCCTGGCTTAGGCTGATTTGGAGGAGATGGAAGTAAAGCTTCAGTTCAAGACTCACCTTCTTCATCGAAACTTCTCCAATTCACCCCATTCTTCACTGGGCTACCTCTTCACATAACTGTTATCATCCCTCCATAATCTGATAGGTCAGTCAGCTGGGTAACAATCAATCTTAAAATTTTAATGTCTTGTGACCACAAATTTAGTGTTTTTTTTGCTCATGAGTTTGTGGGTCAGCTGAGGTTTGAGGGTCTTCACTCAGCTCGTCTGGTCTTAGATCCAGGTTCAGGTATGGCCCAGGCATGCTCTATCTGTCTTATTCTGAGGCTCAAGCTGAATGGGTTACAGATACCCAGGAGTAACTCGTGATGACAAAGCAGGAGAAGGCAAGGGCAGCCCCACAAACATTTCAAGACCTGCTTGTGTCAAATCCACTATCATTCCTTTGGCCAAAACAAGTCACATGGTCAAGGAAGTATACTCTGTCCAACCACAGGGAGTCACAAACTGGGTCTAACAATTCGGTCTGCAACCCCTGGCTTGTCAGTAATCTCACCTGAGAATCTGTCAGTTACCTGCTCCATATATACACATGAGAAAAAATTGTAGCTTATCCTTCTCCTGATTCCACTGTATTTAGAATAGAAACATCTTGGGACAGGGCTTGGATTCAAAGATTGGCCCCATCACCAGGATACATCATTTGTTCTTTGGCAGCTCTCTTTCCTCTTCTGCCAAATGGGAAATAAGAATTCTGTGAACAGATATGATAGAATACACATATAAAGACATTGGTCAGATATGATGTGTATGGAGATGAGAAGAGAGTTGTTTAAGCTTAATTTAACAAATTCCCCCTTTTGATCATCCCCTTGATTTTGAGAGATTGACCAAAACATTAGTAATTGATGTCACTATCATCAATGTAAATGTACTGATTTGGTCTTGAAATCCACTGTACAATAGCAGAACAGAGGGTTTTGTAAGGTAGGTACAAGGACATCAGGTTATTTATTTTGATAAGGGTTAGAGCAGAGGGTACTTCCTTGTGCTGGACTCTCCTGTTTACAGGAGATAAACAAAACCTTGTCAGTTCTAGGACCTATCTCTTTCCTTAAAGTCTTAGTTAAATTATGCCATATGTAGTATGAGTGACTCCATTTTGGTTTGGTCTGGTCTGTTGGGGCCTAGTGTATGAGCTCAGTTCAAAACAATGGCCTCCCATAATTTTGTTTAAGAATTACACCCTTTTTGTCAAGTTCTCACTTAGGTGAGAGTATGACTGGTATGGTTTGGCTCTGTGTCCCCACCCAAATCTCATGTTGAATTATAATTCCCAATGTTAGGGGAAGGACCTGGTGGGAGGTGGGATTGGATCATGGGGATGGATTTTCCCTCATTTTTCCTGTGATAGTGAGTGAGTTCTCATTAGACCTGATGGTTTAAAAGTGTATGTCACTTCCCCCTTTGCTCTCTCTCTCTCCTGTTGCCATGTGAAGATGTGTTTGCTTCCCCTTCACCTTGTGCCATGATTGTAAGTTTCCTGAGGCCTCCCCCACCATGCCTTCTGAACAGCCTGCGGAACTGTGAGTCAATTAAACCTCTTGTATTTATTATTTTTTCTTTGAGACAGTGTCTTGCTCTTTCACCCAGGCTGGAGTGCATTGGCACGATCTTGGCTCACTGCAACCTCCACCTCCCATCTTCAAGCGATTCTCCTGCCTCAGCCTGCCAAGTAGCTGGGACTATAGGCATGTGCCACCACAGCCAACTAATTTTTGTATTTTTAGTAGAGATGGGGTTTCACCATGTTGACCAGGATGGTCTGGATCTCTTGACCTCATGATCTGCCTGCCTTGGCTTCTCAAAGTGCTGGGATTACAGGCATGATCCACTGCACCTGGCCAAACCTCTTTTCTTTATAAACTACCCAGTGTCAGGTAGTTTTTTTGTAGCAATGTGAGAACGGACTAATACAATGACCAAAACTTGAGGATGGCAAGGGCATCTGAACTGTGACATTATGAACCCAAGGTTCAAGATCCTGAAGTTTTGCTGCAATGGGGATGGCAAGGGCATCTGAACTGTGACATTATGAACCCAAGGTTCAAGGTCCTGAAGTTTTGCTGCAATGGGGATGGCAAGGGCATCTGAACTGTGACATTATGAACCCAAGGTTCAAGGTCCTGAAGTTTTGCTGCAATGGGGATGGCAAGGGCAGTCTTTATCTGATGTTGTTCTTAGAAGACCCAGTCTCTAAGTTCTAGATTGTGAAGGGTTTGATTGTCCTCGGTCAGTAGACCATAAAAAAGATTTCTTTACCTGGTGAAAATACATCTTGACATAATGCATTAAAGCCTTGCAGCATTTAGTTATATCAGAGTTCAGTAGTGGAAGATAAATGAGGTTGTATTATTAGGGGAATAGGTCTTCCAGTGACTATTTTGTAAGGTATCACCTTATGGTTTACACTGGAAGTAGATCTGATTGCCATTAATATAAAATACCTTTGACCAAAGCAATCCAGTCATTTCAGTTAGCTTTACCAAATGTTGTCGTATTTATAATACCTTATTTAACTGCTTTAAAATTTGTCCAGTGAAACAAGTACTTCCATCACTGGAGATTTCTTCAGGAATGTCCCATGAGGAAAACACATTTTCTAATAACCTTTTTGCTACTGTTATAAAATTAGCCCTCTAGCATGGAAAAGTTTTTTCGGCCTAAAAATATATATATTTTTAATTTGGATCATTTTATTTCTTAGATAATGAGTCATGGAATGCAGAGATTTTAATAACAAAAGCTTTAAGGACTCAGGAAGATGAGGCAGCTGCTCTCCAGGAGCCCACACTTAACATTGGACTTATATCCTCTTAAATACTGATTGTTTCTCCAATTTAGGTGCATAGCACTGATAACCAATAGATTATCATGGGTAATTTGACTTTGACCATGGAGTTCATTTAAATTGCATATCTTAACAATTTAAGTACTAGCTGATTTAGCATGAACATCTGGCAAAATATTTTCTTGGTATTCAATTAGTTTTTTTCCTGCCTGGCTTAGTAGTTTTATAAACCAGCCAGTCTCTTCATTAGAGTTCCAGGAATTTTTACCCAATCCAAACGATGTGGTCCTAAAGTTATTAGAAACTTGTGTTTGAGAGCTTGTGTCAGGGTTCTTTCCATCCTTTCATGAATCTCCTTAAAGACACCATATTCTAGGATTTTATGTGCTTGTGAAGTTTTAAGAAACTGCATCAGAATTAAGCAATTAACTGTGGAAATGAATTTAAATGGTCATAAAGACAATTGAAAAGGAAATTTGGTTATTTCTGTGGTTTACAATAACTCAACATAATAACCAGAATTATGACTGATAGCATATACCCAGACATATTAGGATTTTAGAAATCCCACATAACTTTGGAACATATATTAATAACATATTCTTTAAGATATAACTTAAGAAGGTTAAGCCATCCTTTCTTGTTTGATAATGCTTCCCATGTAATTTCACATGTCAAATAATCCGTTTATCTCCCTTTTGGATGCTTCAGGGGACCTTTGTAGCATCCCAAAGTTAAAAGGTGAAAAAAGACTTAACTTTGAAGTTGAAATTTGATTTTTAGAAAGCCAATCAAATATGTCAAAGGTTTAAAACACTTTACCAAAATAAGATCACAGGTCACCATAAAATAATAGTCATTCTTTTAGCCAAAGTGATAATTAAAGGATTTTTTAAACAAAAACCTGTACTCTTTGAGAGAGGAGACTCAGTTTTCCAATCAAAAGATCTCAGACAGCATGAGACAAATTCTGTCTCTTCTCTTTTCTCTTATCTCTGTCTTTCTCTTTGCAGTTTACTCAAAAGGTGAACAAAAATATTTTACTTTGTCTTATTAACACTACATGAAATTTTTGTTCAGAAGAGAAAAACTAATTTTATTTTTGTATTAGTGCACTATACATATAAAGCTAATATTTAATAAAATCTTATAAATAAATCAAGTCTGTCATCTTTTGAACACATAAGATTTCTATAAACTCTATAAACCTTTTGTGTTTTATACTTTTCCCTAACTTTCTATATTTATCTAGTTTTATCTTTTTTTACTCCTTCAATTTGAAACCTTTAAGTAACTTCAAACTAGACAAGTTTTTTTAGCAAACACACATTTTTATGCCTTCATAACTTTCCCCATCAAAAGCATGTCGTGTTTTTGTTTTTGTTTTGTTTTGTGTTTTTGAGACAGGGTCTCACTCTGTCATCCAGGCTGGAGTGCAGTATTGTGTTTACAGCTCCCTGCAGCCTCAACCTCCCCAGGCTCAAGCAATCCTTCCACCTCAGTTCACCAAGTAACTGGGACTATAGACCCATGGCGCCCTGCCCAGCAAAAAATTATATTTTATAATTTTTTAAACAAAATATAATAATTTTTTAAACAAAAAATTATAATTTTTTAAACAAAAAATTATAATTTTTTAAACAAAAAATTATAATTTTTTAAACAAATTTTATAATTTTATAATTTTTTAATTTTTTAAACAAAAAATTATATTTTATAAGCACAGAGCTAAGCCTTTAGGCCTAAATAATGTATTATTTGGTCAAACAAAGGAAAAAAGGTGTAAGTAAAAGTTCACTTAAGACAAGATGGCCAGAAAAGAACTTTAAACAAAGGTATGATTTGTTGTGTGAATTTAAAAAAATGGTAAGAGTTTCTAATATACATACACAGACACCATAAAAATGGAGATTTCCTTTATAACTGTGAAATTATTTCACAAAAGGATTTAAAGGTAGCCAGCTAAATTCCAGAAAGGTGTACTTTAGTTTGACAGGTGGTCTTTTTTAACTTTGCTACTGTTTCTTAGCTGAAATTACTGAGTTTATGATGGAGGCCCTTAAAGAATAGGGCAAAGAAAGCACTTTCTATGCCTGGACTCAGCATGGAGAGATCTGAAAGAGAAGCAAGAACCTACTTTACCTGAGAGCTTACCTTTTAAAAACACTCTATCTAGGATAACTTTCTTTTCACCTTCGAGGTAGGATGATGACCAAGCCAAAAGGTTAGCAAATTTAATGTTTCTTATCAATTAGTCACTTGAGCTTTTTATTTGCTTTTTATAAAGAGTCTTTAAATAAAAATACTGAAATCTTTTTAGAAGCTTCTGCATATCAATAGGTATCCCTAGATGAGACTAATTCAGGAGCCCTCATTTTCAAGTGCACTTCTTCAAATGCAGTGTTGTTCATTTGAAATGTTCCACTGTAACTTTCACACTGAGCAATTCACACTGCGGATTGGATCTGTGTCCCCACCCAAATCTCATGCCAAATTGTGGTCCTCAGTGTTGGAAGAGGGACCTGGTGGGAAGTGACTGGATCATAGAGGCAGACTTCCACCTTGCTGTTCTTGTGATCATGAGTGTGCTCTCATGAGAACTGCTTATTTAAAAGTGTGTAGCACTTCCCCCTTTGCTCTCTCTTCCTCCTGCTCCAGCCACATAGAATGTCTCCTTCCTCTTTGCCTTCCACCATGATTGTAAGTTTCCTGAGACCTCCTCAGCCATACTTCCTGCACAGCCTGTGAACCATGAACCAATTAAACCTTTTTTCTTTATAAATTACCCAGTCTCAGATAGTTCTTTATAGCAATGGAAGAATGGACTAATACAGTGAGCTAATACCTAAATGACCCTCATTACTTTTGTTGAAAGAAAAGGCTTGGAAACTATCTGATCAGCATGGGATTTGTCACTCAGTCATCTCAGTCACTTCCCTGGATCAATATTTGTATTTTCAATTTGCCGTTAGTGTGCAGAGGCTGCACCTCCATCCCAAGTGCATCTGAAGGCAGTTCCCTCTAACCAATGAACACATGTGAAAGTTGAGAGTCTAGAAAATGACTCCCTTAAAACTATTCATGTCCCTGGAAGGTCTTCCCATATCCCCAACAACATGCATTCTCATTTGAAGACCACTGACTATTCCACAGCATAAATCAGCCAACATGATTTGTTGAGTGATCATGAAGTGCTGTAGCTTTCAGATATCACCAGCCCCACCCACTGAGATTCAAGGTGACTACTCAATTAAATGTCCTCTTTGATTCACTTTACCTTTCCCTGTGGAATAACTTGTTTAGGCCTGTTTACTAAATCCTGATGTAAGTCAACACCAAATTAGAGAAAATCACACTTTTCAAAAAACAAAAAACTTTAGATTGATTCTCAAATGCCAAGTTTGAAATTTTCCATAACACAAAATAATTTGGAAGTCTGATTAAAGTCAGTGGGAATGATGCAAAATCATTAAGTCCAATTTTTATTATTATTATTAGATCATTTCACTGCAGGACAGTTACTCCATAGCTAGTGTTTCTTAGGAAAGCATCTTTTAACCTCAAAATACATCTCACGAAGCAATGATATGCCTTTGAAAAGCAATGCTAAATAGACATTTTACAAATGGAATCATGCTGTCCACACATTAGGCAATTTATTATTAGAGCAATCCTAAGATTTTTTAAAAAATAAAGAGATGCCCTATGCTGAATGAAAAAGCTAATACTTTAATATGCTTTCTTGTCAAATGTTCATTTTCATATAAAGGGCTTTCTTGGCAGGGGTTGGTGGGGAGCTGGACACAGCTGTCTCATTTTACTGCTGCTTGCCTTACTGTGTTTTGCCTTTTCTTTCAATGTACAAAACTGTGCACTCTTTTCTCAGCTCTGGTAGAGGGCTCAGCAATTAGCCTATGAAAGGCTATTACAAATTTTCAAATCATAAAATGTATGCTACACTGACCATGATGAGTGATGTAAAATATACTTTAAGCTGTCTCAGGATTTTGAGTCTTATTCATTGGAACATAAATGAGCAGAGCAATGATAAAAGAGATTATTCGGTTGATAAAGTGTCAATTAAAAGTCTTTAATATACTTCTTCTAGGAGATCATTAGCTATTAATTCAACCATTTACTAATGCAATACAACCCTTTCCTGAGTTGTGGCTGTCTTGTGTAGGCTATGTTCTGATGTGAATGAAGTTGCTTGTACTTGGCCTTCATTACTCCATGCACAATATATGATATTAGAATTATCTCTTTGAGCTGAGGGATGTTTTATTACCCTGATTGTGCTCACCACTCTTGTCTTCCACAGTACATGAGAAATCTGAAACATTTTCTATGTTATTAAGTCAGTGTCATTTGTGGATGGTTGTGACTCTCCGTCCTCACTCCAGTTCTCATAGATGGAAACAGAATTTGTGTTTATGCATCAGCCAATAGCTCTCCTTCAGCATTTTGCATATTTAAATAAATGTGGTTCTGATCATTTCTTTTTTTGAGATCATTGCAGATGTGTCTGATGATGCCACACATAACAAAGAGAATACTTGACTGAGATAATCTTATTTCAGAAGGCTGGCTTGTTAATGGGTATCTGTAACTACAACCTGAAAATACAGTCAACAAAAAAGAAAACCTCTGCCTTGCACAATCATGTATGTCTGAATGCGTGAAATTTAAACTATCTTTTAAGTGACTGTTATTTAGTACCAGTTAGCTAGATGCCCCTCCCTGGGGTTGGAGCATCATTAGGTATCAGCCTAAGGGAAAGAGGTGGGAGGTGGATCCGCTGACAGGAGGTCATGAGAGAGCTAAATAATTTAAAAAAAAAAACGGAAGTGTCTTCTGATACCTAAGCTGAGAGATTGAGTGTGGGAGGCTGCAAAGCAACTGGTGGCTAAAGCCAACATGAGCAAAGCCAAGGAGTCTTTAGTTCAAGAAGAAGGACCAGGAACTTGAAGGTGATGATCCCTGGTCTCTCCATCAAGGGCATCCTGTAGTCAGCTTGGTCAAAGAAGCTTGGCTGTGTGCTGTGTTTCAGTGTCCCCTCCAGAGCTCGTGTTGAAATATAATTGCCATTGTATCAGAATTTACAGACAGTGGGACCTTTAAGAGATGATTAGGTCATGAAGGCTCATGAAGGTAATGAATGCATTAATACTGTTAATATGACACTGGAATCCCAAAAAAAGGACAAGTTCAGCCCAATTTCCTCTCTCTGTCTCATGCATTCACTTCTGCTTCTACCCTTGCCCCATGAGATGATGTTTGCCACATGCTGGCACCATGCTTTTGGACTTCCCTGCCTCCAGAACTGTAAGAAATAAATCTCTTTTCTGTACAAATTACCCAGTCTGTGGTATTCTGTTATAGCAGCAGACAATAGGCTAAGCACCATTCAATGATTAATTTCCCTTGCTATTTGTTTATTCCAGTAATTGGCATAGATTGACACTAGCAGAGGGCATGTCCATTTTGTGTTGCTATAAAGAAACACCTGAAGCTAGGTAATTTATAAAGAAAAGGGGTTTATTTAATTTACAGTTCTGCAGGCACCAAACCTGAGGGACTGCCTGGCTTTATAAGAACTCTCAAGGGAAGTAATTACCCTAAGAACCAATCCAGTGTCTCAAGAACAAGAATTGCACGAAGCCATTCATGAGGGATCCACCTCCATGACCCAGAAACCTTCCACTAGGCCCAACCTGTCAACATCACCACACTGGGGATCAAATTTCAACATAGATTTGGTGGGGACGAACAAACCGTAGCCACACAGTAGCAGTGGGAAGCTGAGGTGAGAAGGTGCAGGGTGTGAGGAGTCCTACACAGGCCTATGGTTTAGTCACTGAAGGCAAGCTGGTGGGGTGAGGGGCCTAGTCCCTTGGGTTCTGATAGTGCGGTCACCATGAGTGCAGGTGACATGTAGTTCACCATGCTGCTCTGTTATAAAGCTATAAAACTTATTTCCTATTTAATGTTTTTCCTGGCCAGATTTTCTCATGCAAAAAATAATGTCCCAACATGAGAGTGGGCATTGCCTTGTGCGTTTTCTGCAGGGCAGCCTGTGAAGGTGGCAGCAATGGTTTGTTACTTTCCCATCTCTCCTTTCCTGTGTCTTTTGCACTTTTGCTGCTTCTCCAATGGGGTCACAGTGAGTTCAGGCCGCCAGTCCACCCACACTGAATAACATTACGCCCCTGGCCCTTTCCTCCCATCTCTATTAACCTGGTGGACATGTGGCCCTCCCATTACTTCTTTCCTTGGCTGTTGTAGTGGCAGTTTATGATACACTTAAGTAGACAATACACTAAAAAGGTAATATATCCCTTCCAGAAAAAAATCTTATATGGAAGCAGGATTCCTACAGATAAAGAGTTTTAAAACCACAGGAAAAATTTAATGGGGGAATTTGGTAGTGTAATTGGGTCAAAGCCTCATATATTATAATTTTTGGTGACTGTTCTGCCTATAAAATATGTAACCTACTTAGGGATAGGTATTGGTCAGGCACAAATGTTTTTCTCTGTTTGGTTATGAAAACTCTGAAAAATACTAAAGAATGTATATGATATATATCACGTGATTACATAGTGCATTTAAGGACAAACCAGCTGAATAAACAGATGTTAGTATCAATGTGTTAGGAACCTGCAAACAACCCCCCCGTCCGGCATCTGAGCCCTCTGTGGGCTCCTTTCTAGTCACATCCCCTGCCTCTTCCTAGAAGTAACCACAACCAGATTTGTGTTTATAGTTCCATTGCTTTTCGTTACAGTTTTACAACATATGTATATATCTCTAAATGACGAGTTGCAGTTGTAGAGTATTACATGTTTTAGAACACATTACAAGTAGTTTCTTTCACTACGTGTATTCCTTCATGACTTTATTCCTTCAATGTTATACTTTGGAGATGTATTCTTGTTGATATGAATAGCTGTACATTATTTGTTTTTCCTGATACGTACTATTACATCTTGTGAATACTTCTGAATTATTTGCCCATTCTTTTGTTGAAGGATCTTTGGGTTATTTCCAGATTTCTACTATTACAAACCACAGTGCTTCAAATATTCTTACATCATATCTCAAAGTATATATATGCATGATTTTCTCTCATTAAAACCTAGGACTGGCAGTATAAGGTTATAGAAAATGTACCACAAAAGTTTACTAGATTACTACTATATTGTTTTCCTAACTAGTTGAAGGAAATGATATTTCTACCTGCAGTACATAAGGGTGTGTGTGTATACACACACATATATAAAATGATATACATTTGTCATATGTATCATAGCTAACATTTGCTCCCAATCTGAGGCATGCATTTTTGCTTTTGTCAAAGTGCTTTTTGTTTGCTTATTTGTTTTTTCATAAATGTAAGTTATTACTGCTATGAAGTCAAGTTTATCTGTTTTTTCTTTTATGGTTAGTGCTTTTGTGTCTTATTTTAAAAATCCTCTACCATGAGATCATAGAGGTAGTTCTATGTTTTCTTCTTAAAGTTTTGCCTTTCACATTTTTCTTTTTTTTTTATTATCCTTTAAGTTTTAGGGTACATGTGCACAACGTGCAGGTTAGTTACATATGTATACATGTGCCATGTTGGTGTGCTGCACCCATTAACTCCTCATTTAACATTAGGTATATCTCCTAATGCTATCCCTCCCCCCTCCCCCCACCCCACAACAGGCCCCAGTGTGTGATGTTCCCCTTCCTGTGTCCATATGTTCTCATTGTTCAATTCCCACCTATGAGTGAGAACATGCAGTGTTTGATTTTTTGTCCTTGTGATAGTTTGCTGAGAATGATGGTTTCCAGCTTCATCCATGTCCCTACAAAGAACATGAACTCATCATTTTTTATGGCTGCATAGTATTCCATGGTGTATATGTGCCACATTTTCTTAATCCAGTCTATCGTTGTTGGACATTTGGCTTGGTTCCAAGTCTTTGCTATTGTGAATAGGGCCGCAATAAACATACGTGTGCATGTGTCTTCATAGCAGCATGATTTATAATCCTTTGGGTATATACCCAGTAATGGGATGGCTGGGTCAAATGGTATTTCTAGTTCTAGATCCCTGAGGAATTGCCACACTGACTTCCACAATGGTTGAACTAGTTTACAGTCCCACCAACAGTGTAAAAGTGTTCCTATTTCTCCACATCCTCTCCAGCACCTGTTGTTTCCTGACTTTTTTTTAATGATCGCCATTCTAACTGGTGTGAGATGGTATCTCATTGTGGTTTTGATTTGCATTTCTCTGATGGCCAGTGATGATGAGCATTTTTTCATGTGTCTTTTGGCTGCATAAATGTCTTCTTTTCAGAAGTGTCTGTTCATATCCTTCACACACTTTTTCATGGGGTTGTTTGTTTTTTCTTGTAAATTTGTTTGAGTTCATTGTAGATTCTGGATATTAGCCCTTTGTCAGATAAGTAGATTGCAAAAATTTTCTCCCATTCTGTAGGTTGCCTGTTCACTCTGATGGTAGTTTCTTTTGCTGTGCAGAAGCTCTTTAGTTTAATTAGATCCCATTTGTCAATTTTGGCTTTTGTTGCCATTGCTTTTGCTGTTCTAGACATGAAGTCCTTGCCCATGCCTATGTCCTGAATGGTAATGCCTAGGTTTTCTTCTAGGTGTTTTATGGTTTCAGGTCTAACATTTAAGTCTTTAATCCATCTTGAATTAATTTTTGTATAAGGTGTAAGGAAGGGATCCAGTTTCAGCTTTCTACATGTGGCTAGCCAGTTTTCCCAGCACCATTTATTAAATAGGGAATCCTTTCCCCATTGCTTGTTTTTGTCAGGTTTGTCAAAGATCAGATGGTTGTAGATATGTGGCATTATTTCTGAGGGCTCTGTTCTGTTCCATTGATCTATACCTCTGTTTTGGTACCAGTACCATGCTGTTTTGGTTACTGTAGCTTTGTAGTATAGTTTGAAGTCAGGTAGCGTGATGCCTCCAGCTTTGTTCTTTTGGCTTAGGATTGACTTGGCGATGCGGGCTCTTTTTTGGTTCCATATGAACTTTAAAGTAGTTTTTTCCAATTCTATGAAGAAAGTCATTGGTAGCTTGATGGGGATGGCATTGAATCTATAAATTACCTTGGGCAGTATGGCCATTTTTATGATATTGATTCTTCCTACCCATGAGCATGGAATGTTCTTCCATTTGTTTGTATCCTCTTTTATTTCATTGAGCAGTGGTTTGTAGTTCCTTGAAGAGGTCCTTCACGTCCCTTGTAAGTTGGATTCCTAGGTATTTTATTCTCTTTGAAGCAATTGTGAATGGGAGTTCACTCATGATTTGGCTCTCTGTTTGTCTGTTATTGGTGTATAAGAATGCTTGTGATTTTTGCACATTGATTTTGTATCCTGAGACTTTGCTGAAGTTGCCTATCAGCTTAAGGAGATTTTGGGCTGAGACGATGGGGTTTTCTAGATATACAATCATGTCATCTGCAAACAGAGGCAATTTGACTTCCTCTTTTCCTAATTGAATGCCCTTTATTTTCTTCTCCTGCCTGATTGCCCTGGCCAGAACTTCCAACACTGTGTTGAATAGGAGTGGTGAGAGAGGGCATCTCTGTCTTGTGCAAGTTTTCAAAGGGAATGCTTCCACTTTTTGCCCATTCGGTAGGATATTGGCTGTGGGTTTGTCATAGATAGTTCTTATTATTTTGAGATACATCCCATCAATACCTAATTTATTAAGAGTTTTTAGCATGAAGCGTTGTTGAATTTTGTCAAAGGCCTTTTCGGCATCTATTGAGATAATCATATGGTTTCTGTCATTGGTTCTGTTTATATGCTGGATTATGTTTATTGATCTTCATATGTTGAACCAGCCTTGCATCCCAAGGAGGAAGCCCACTTGATCATGGTGGATAAGATTTTGATGTGCTGCTAGGTTTGGTTTGCCAGTATTTTATTGCGGATTTTTGCATCGATGTTCACCAGGGATATTGGTCTAAAATTCTCTTTTTTTGTTGTTGTGTCTCTGCCAGGCTTTGGTATCAGGATGATGCTGGTTTCAGAAAATGAGTTAGGGAGGATTCCCCCTTTTTCTATTGATTGGAATAGTTTCAGAAGGAACGGTACCAGCTCCTCCTTGTACCTCTGGTAGAACTCGGCTGTGAATCCATCTGATCCTGGACTTTTTTTGGTTGGAAAGCTATTAATTATTGCCTCAACTTCAGAGCCTGTTATTGGTCTATTCAGAGAGTCAACTTCTTCCTGGTTTAGTCTTGGGAGAGTGTATGTGTTGAGGAATTTATCCATTTCTTCTAGATTTTCTAGTTTATTTGCATAGAGGTGTTTATAGTATTCTCTGATGGTAGTTTGTATTTCTGTGGGATCAGTGGGATATTCCCTTTATCATTTTTTATTGCGTCTATTTGATTCTTCTCTCTTTTCTTCTTTGTTAGTCTTGCTAGTGGTCTATCAATTTTGTTGATCTTTTCAGAAAACCATCTCCTAGATCCATTGATTTTTTGAAGGGTTTTTTGTGTCTCTATTTCCTTCAGTTCTGCTCTGATCTTAGTTATTTCTTGCCTTCTGCTAGCTTTTGAATGTGTTTGCTCTTGCTTCTCTTGTTCTTTTCATTGTGATGTTAGGGTGTCAATTTTAGATCGTTCCTGCTTTCTCTTGTGGGCATTTAGTGCTATAAATTTCCCTCTACCCACTGCTTTGAATGTGTCCCAGAGATTCTGGTATGTTGTGTCTTTGTTCTCATTGGTTCCAAAGAACATCTTTATTTCTGCCTTCATTTCATTATGTACCCAGTAGTCATTCAGGAGCAGATTGTTCAGTTTCCCTGTAGTTGAGTGGTTTTGAGTGAATTTCTTAATCCTGAGTTCTAGTTTGATTGCACTTTGGTCTGAGAGACAGTTTGTTATAGTTTCTGTCTTTTACATTTGCTGAGGAGTGCTTTACTTCCAACTGTGTGGTCAATTTTGGAATAAGTGTGGTGTGGTGCTGAGAAGAACGTATATTCTGTTGATTTGGGGTGGAGAGCTCTGTAGGTGTCTATTAGGTCTGCTTGGTGCAGAGCTGAGTTCAATTCCTGGATATCCTTTTCAACTTTCTGTCTCATTGATCTGTCTAATGTTGACAGTGGGGTGTTAAAGTCTCTCATTATTATTGTGTGGGAGTCTAAGTCTCTTTGTAGGTCTCTAAGGACTTGCTTTATGAATCTGGGTGCTCCTGTATTGGCTGCATATATATTTAGGATAGTTAGCTCTTCTTATGGAATTGATCCCTTTACCATTATGTAATGGCCTTCTTTGTCTCTTTTGATCTTTGTTGGTTTAAAGTCTGTTTTATCAGAGACTAGGATTGCAACCCCTGCCTTTTTTTGTTTTCCATTTTCTTGGTAGATCTTCCTCCATCCCTTTATTTTGAGCCTATGTGTGTCTCTGCACATGAGATGGGTTTCCTGAATACAGCACACTGATGGGTCTTGACTCATTGTCCAATTTGCCAGTCTTTGTCTTTTAATTGGAGCATTTAGCCCATTTACATTTAGGGTTCATATTGTTATGTGTGAATTTGATCCTGTCATTATGATGTTACCGGGTTATTTCCCTCATTAGTTGATGCTGTTTCTTCCTAGCCTCGATGGTCTTTACAATTTGGTATGTTTTTGCAGTGGCTGGTACCGGTTGTTCCTTTCCATGTTTAGTGCTTCCTTCAGGAGCTCTCTTAGGGCAGGCCTGGTGGTGACAAAATCTCCCAGCATTTGCTTCTCTGTAAAGGATTTTATTTCTCCTTCACTTATGAAGCTTAGTTTGGCTGGAAATGAAATTCTGGGTTGAAAATTCTTTTCTTTAAGAATGTTGAATATTGGCCCCCACTCTCTTCTGCCTTGTAGAGTTTCTGCTGAGATATCAGCTGTTAGTCTGATGGGCTTCCCTTTGTGGGTAACCTGACCTTTCTCTCTGGCTGCTCTTAACATTTTTTCTTTCATTTCAACTTTGGCGAATCTGATAATTTGTGTCTTGGAGTTGCTCTTCCCAAGGAGTATCTTTGTGGCATTCTCTGTATTTCCTGAATTTGAATGTTGGCCTGCCTTGCTAGATTGCAGAAGTTCTCCTGGATAATATCCTGCAGAGTGTTTTCCAACTTCGTTCCATTCTCCCCGTCACTTTCAGGTACACCAATCAGACGTAGATTTGGTCTTTTCACATAGTCCCATATTTCTTGGAGGCTTCGTTCATTTCTTTTTATTCTTTTTTCCCTGAACTTCTCTTCTCACTTCATTTCATTCATTTGATCTTCCATCACTGATACCCTTTCTTCCAGTTGATCGAATCAGCTACTGAGGCTTGTGCATTCATCATGCAGTTCTCGTGCCTTGGCTTTCAGCTCCATCAGGTCCTTTAAGGACTTCTCTGCATTGGTTATTCTAGTTAGCCATTCATCTAATTTTTTTCAAGGTTTTTAACTTCTTTGCCATGGGTTCGAACTTCCTCCTTTAGCTTGGAGTAGTTTGATCATCTTAAGCTGCCTTCTCTCAACTTGTCAAAGTCATTCTCCATCCAGCTTTGTTCCATTGCTGGTGAGGAGTTGCGTTCCTTTGGAGGAGGAGAGGCACTCTGATTTTTAGAGTTTCCAGTTTTTCTGCTCTGTTTTTTCCCCATCTTTGTGGTTTTATCTACCTTTGGTCTTTGATGATGGTGATGTATAGATGGGGTTTTGGTGTGGATGTCCTTTCTGTTTGTCAGTTTTCCTTCTAACAGTCAGGACCCTCGCCTGCAAGTCTGTTGGAGTTTGCTGGAGGTCCACTCCAGACCCGGTTTGCCTGGGTATCAGCAGTGGAGGCTGCAAAACAGTGAATATTGCTGAACAGAAAATGTTGCTGCCTGATCGTTCCTCTGGAAGTTTTGTCTCAGAGGGGTACCTCACTGTGTGAGGTGTCAGTTTGCCCCTACTGGGCGGTACCTCCCAGTTAGGCTACTCGGGGGTCAGGGACCCACTTGAGGAGGCAGTCTGTCCGTTCTCAGATCTCCAGCTGCATGCTGGGAGAACCACTACTCTCTTCAAAGCTGTCAGACGGGGATAGTTAAGTCTGCAGAGGATTCTGCTGCCTTTTGTTTGGCTATTCCCTGCCCCCAGAGGTGGAGTCTACAGAGGCAGGCAGGCCTCCTTGAGCTATGGTGGGCTCCCCCCAATTCGAGCTTCCCAGCCACTTTGTTTACCTACTGAAGCCTCAGCAATGGCAGGTGCCCCTCCCCCAGCCTCACTGCCCCTTGCAGTTTGATCTCAGACTGCTGTGCTAGCAATGAGTAAGGCTTCTTGGGCATAGGACCCTCTGAGCCAGGCATGGGATGTAATCTCCTGGTGTGCCATTTGCTAAGACCATTGGAAAAGCACAGTATTAGGGTGGGAGTGACCTGATTTTCCAGGTGCCATCTGTCACCCCTTTCTTTGTCTAGGAAAGGGAATTCCCTGACCCCTTGCACTTCCCGGGTGAGGCGATGCCTGACCCTGCTTTGGCTCATGCTGGGTGCACTGCACCCACTGTCCTGCACCCACTTTCTGACACTCCCCAGTGAGATGAGCCCAGTACCTCAGTTGGAAATGCAGAAATCACCTGTCTTCTGCATCACTCATGCTGGGAGCTCTAGACTGGAGCTGTTCCTATTCAGCCATCTTGGCTCCACCCCTCACATTTTTCTTTAAGCTACCTTAAATTCATTTTTGTAAATGGTGTGAAGTTAGGACCCAGTTTTACTTTGCACATGGATAAACAAATTGTTCTGCTACTATTTGTTGAATGGTAAATACTTTCCATAGAAATATGCTCTGCTGGCGCTTTCATAATACCATTTTTCTATATTTTGAAATAAATCAAATATCTATATATGGCTACCTTTCTTTTTTCTTTCTTTTTTTTTTTGAGACAGAATCTCGCTCTGTCACCCAGGCTGGAGTGCAGTGGCGTGATCTTGGCTCACTGCAACCTCCACCTCTTGGGTTCAAGAAATTCTCCTGCCTCAGCCTTGTGAGTAGCTGGGAGAAAATTTTTGAAATATATCCATCTGGCAAAGGTCTAATATCTGGCTTCCATTGGGAACTTAACAAGTTTACAAGGAAAAAAAAACAATCCCATAAAAACAGTGGGCAGAGGACATAAATAGGCACTTTTCAAAGGAAGACATACATGCAGCCAAAAAGCATAGAAAGAAAAGCTCAACATCACTGATCATTAGAGAAATGCAAATCAAAACCACTGTGAGACACCATCTCACACCAGGTAGGATGGCTATTATTAAAATGTCAAAAATTAACAGGTGCTGGCAAGGTGACAGGGAGACGGAATGCTTGCACACCGTTGGTGGGAGTGTAAATTAGTTCAACCATTGTGGAAAGCAGTATGGTAATTCCTCAAAGAGCTAAAAACAGATCTACCATTCAACTCATCAATTCCATTACTGAATATATCCCCAGAGGAATAGAAATCATTCTACGATAAAGACACATGCACGTGAATGTTCATTGCAGCACTATGCACAATAGCAAAGGCAGGAAATCAACATAAATGCCCATCAGTGGTAGACTGGATAAAGAAAATGTGGTACATATAAACCATGGACTACTATGGAGCCATAACACAGAATGAGGTCATGTCTTTTGTGGGAACGTGGATGGAGATGGAGGCCATTATCCTTAGCAAAACAGAAAACCAAATACCGCATGTTCTCACTTGTAAGTGGGAGCTAAATGATGAGAACACACGGACACACAGAGGGAAACAACAGACACTTGTGCTTATCAGAGGGTGGAGGGTGGGAGGAGGGAGAGAATCAGGAAAAATAACCAATGAGTGCTAGGCTCAATTCTTGGGTGATGAAATAATCTGTACAACACACCCTCACAACACAAGTTTACCTATAAAACAAACCTGCACATGTACCCTGGAACCTAAAAGTTAAAAAAAAATCCATTTTCTAGGAGGAGAAAAAATAATTAATAAAAGCACAGTTATTAGATGCATGCTTTGTTTTCACTGAGAGCACTGCATGGTTGAAAATATTTGTAGATCACAGCTTTAACCAGCAGCCAGACCATTAAATGTTCTTCAGTATCCGAGTCTGTGGATGTAGAACCTAGGCCTGCACAAGGAGGGACAAGACTTGGTTCTTCAGCTGTTTCCAGTTTTCACCAAGTGCCTGCCAGAGCCTGGGTCCTGTAACCCCTAAAATGCTGGGAAAGTGGCAGAGCAACAGTTATTGTGGACAGCCCACCAGGGTCAAGGGCCATATTTACTCTTCTCCTCCACCCCAGTGAGTATTCCATGTTAATTTCATGGTAAGCCATCATGTTATAGCTTTAGTGTTTTATCAAGATATTAGAACCAAAATATTTGCAAATTCAATTCTGGTCACCATGTTTAAAACTCAGATAGTCATGAGTTCTTTTTCTAAAGCAAGATTGGCTGATGGTAATTTCTAAGATATGTTCTAACATGTAGGCATTTACCTGTAGGAAAAGGACTGTGCTAGATCCCAGCAAATAAAAAAAAAAGGCAAACTCAAGGTTTTATTTACAGAGGTGTGGGCAAAGCCAAAAGGAACAATAAAAGCCTGTGAAATGCTCCCAGACTAGCAACAGCAGAAACCCTCTAATACCCCGGGGCCAAAGGGTGAAGAGAGAATGGGCTGCTGGACCCTCCCAGGACTCTGGCAGGGCTGTTTCTCCATGGGGTCATTTTGCCTGACACTGTGGGCTCAGGTGGGGGTGCTGCAGGGCTGCTGCTGGACACCCTCCCATGTGCAGGGCAGCCCCAGCACAGAAAATGGTTGAGTAGAAATGCTAGTACAGCTGAAGTTGAGAAACACCAGAGAGAAACCCAGCCTTTGTGAAAACCCACTGCTAGAAGGAAGGAAGCAGAGGAAACCAAGGCCGTCCCCACCTCTGATGGCTGGTGCCTCCCTCTGGCTGAAATCCTGGAATGGGACCTGGGTGATGCTCCCAGAGGCCAGCCACTCAGGACCCAGAGCAGAGCTGGAGAAGTGGGAGGATGACTTAAGAGGCATGTGGGGAAGACCCACAGCACCCTCCTCTCAGAGCCCAGACCGGGAACTCTTTCTTCATGCACAAATGAGAATGGTAAATCTTTTTAAAAGACAATTTTTTCCCATTTCTTGCCTCCCCTGCTTGCTGTGGTGTGGATGGGGTTTGTTTGTCCTCCCTGAATCTCATGCTGATATGTGGTCTGGGCATGACAGTGTTGACAGGTGGGACCTAGTGGGAGGTGTTTGAATCTAGAGTGGAACCTCGTCATCGGCTTGCTGCCTTCTCATGGTAGAGTTCTTGATCTGGCAATGCTAGATGAGTACCTGTGAGCGTGGTTTGTTGCAAAGCTAGGATGTTCTTTCGTTTGCCTCTCTCTTTGCAGGTGTCCAATCCCTCTGGCTCTTCTCTGCCAATGTTTTAACCCAGCACATGGCCCTCACCAGAAACCAAGCAGATGCTATGCCTGCTTCTCCCACTTCCCAGCCTCCAGAACTGTGAGCCAAGTAAATTTATAAATCACGCAGTCTCACGTACCAGGTTATAGCAACCCTTATCATACAAAGACACTGTTCCTCAGCTTCTCCAGTCTATAACCCTGACCCTAACCCAGGTTGCCCAGGTTGGTTTCCACCCTGGGCCCCTCCCAAACCCCACAGGTCTTGCTTGTCCATAGATCTTCGTGCATTGTTGCTGGAGGGTCAGAGAATTTCCCCGGGTGTCGGGTCAATTCACCCAAAAGGAGTAAAAGCGCCTGGGAGTTTACCCCACAACTCAACCTAAGCCACGCACTGTCTGAGGGAGGATAAAATACCCACTGTCTATGCCTGCAGTCAGGATGAATTCTGATTCTATGCAACACTGAAGCACTATCACCCAAGCTCTGAGCCGCCCAAGCCCAGGCAGGGCTCTAGTGCTTCTCCCAACACCTTGCCCTGTTTGTTCCATCTGTTTTGGTTCCTCTCCTTTATTCAATGGATAATATGCAAATTATAGCTGAATAATAATTTCACCAATATCCTTGTCTCATAATCTGCATCCAGGGACAGCTTGCCAGAGACCGTATCACTTATCTCAGCCCTAATCATGAAAAGTATTAACCTGAACAGTAGTAACCCATGACCTCACCCTAACCCTCACCTTCACACTTACCCTCAACATAATGCAAACTGTAACCCTAACCCTCACCCTCATCCTCACCTTCACCCTAACCCTAACCATCACCCTAAACTTCAACCTCACCCTAATCCAAATTCTAATCTTAACCCTAACCCTAGCCCTAATCCTAACCCTTAACCCTAACCCCTAACCCCTACCCGCACCCCAACCCCCAACCCCCAACCCCTAACCCCTAACCCCTAACCCGACCTAACCTGTAATTCTTGACTATAACACCTAACTCCTCAACCATAACCTTTACTTCTTCTCTGTAACACTGAACCCTTAACCAAAGCCTCATCCCTAAATTCTCACTCTAACACTATCCCTTTTTAGAAAGAATGATTATAGAAACATGCACATTTTTAAGAATCAGTTGTTTCAACTAATGTCTACTTCCGTAGAGAAAATACAGATTTAAAAATCTTTATCATTCTGTCCTTTCACAATGTACTTTTATTTTCTTTGGCTTATACCTCTAAGCCACTGTTCACAGGAAATATTCTGCTAACTTACAATGCTTTGGTTTAATCAAACCACCCCTGTACCATTTCTGCGACTGCAGACCCATGACTCACCTCAGGTCGGCATTTTGTCATGAGGTTGGCAGGTGCCCACCTCAGAGTCATGGGGGCATTTGATGACCTGGCACATATGCTCCAAAAATATTTATGAACTCTCCAACCCCACTTCCCATCCTGTACCTGACTTACGAGGGAAATAAGCAACTATTGCTTCTGTGGAGCTTCAGGTAAAGGAAAACTCAGTAATATACATTGTCTTATCCAAAAGTTTGATATTCTGTTAATCATAGATTCTTTGACATATATTTTGGTTTTTTAAAAACACCACATTGCAATATTATTTATCTTGATTACTGAGTTTTTTGATACTTCACTTGCTTTCATCCTATTCTCAGCCTTATTTGGGAGAAAAATCATCTTGGACACCTGGGTGGTGCTTATAGATCCAGAATCCAGTGGGTGTCACGTTCCCCACCTGCTGGGTCATTTCGCTGAGGGGTGAGATTACAACTCGGATGATTGGAGCAGCCTGTCCCGGGGAAGGCCTCAACCATGACCCAGAGGAAGGAACTGCAGGGCTGTAGCCAGCCCCTTCTGAGCTTGTGAAATAACAGCCTCTGGCCCTCTGAGCAGGGCAGTCACACCAAAGAAGGGGTCATTCCTAACCCTCTCTGGGTCATATGTTGGGGGGTGCTTTAAAGGGATGATCCTGTTTTCCTGCTCTCTGGCCCTGTCCACATCTGGTTTTTAAGGGCTCAAACTCCAAGAAGAAAGGAAGGGCTGATGAATCACTCTCCGAAGCCCTAGGATCCCTCTGTCCTTCTAAAAAATTCTACCCAGGACACCAGACACACCCTCTCTTTTCCTGCCCGCGTATCTCCCTTGGTGTTCCCCAGAAGACTGGCTCTCTCTAATTCTGTGAGCCTACGTAAGGGGCCCGAATGACAGATCCCCAACAGCTATGAGCCCCCTAATAGGCACACAGACGTTGGACAGGTCTCCTAAGAGGTACTCATCCCAGGGCCATCCAGCGGCTTCAAGATGCGGATACGGCAGGGCTCCCTCAGGAGAGCACCAGTGATAGTGGGTGTTCCCAGGATGGAAGACAGCAGCTCATGATGGAACAGAGGTTCTTACGAGGTTAATCGAAATCACCTTCCAGCCTTCTGTGTTTCAGCTAATTACGATGGAAGAAATGCAAGAATTCCCAGGAAATTTGTTTAAAAGACACATAATGATAGAAAACTTACCAGATTTTGCATGTGCTAGTGTATATAGAAAGCAAAATGATGACAAAAAGAGCACTTACTGAATATTGACTCTAATTATCTCAGTCCCACCAAGGAAGAGGCCCTATTGTTATCCCCATTATGCCAAAGAGGAGAAAAGCTACAGAGAGGGTCAGTAACTTGCTCAAGTTCACACAGCTATTAAGTAACTGAACTGACAGTCTACCCGAGGAAGCATGGGTCCAGAAAGGAAGAGAAAATCTACAAATAGTGGGTAAGTATGCCTTAGAATGTGTCATGTGTTACTGACTGCATTTCACATTAAAGAGCATGGAGGGAAAGGGGAGACAGCCTATATTTACAATAGGCATTGGTAACTCAAATTTTGGTACTGCGCTTTATTAAAAGTAATGCTTAAAAAGGGTTCGTTGGCCAGGCGTGGTGGCTCACACCTGTAATCCCAGCACTTTGGGAGGCCAAGGTAGGCGGATCACGAGGTCAGGAGATTGAGACCATGCTGGCTAACACGGTGAAACCCCGTCTCTACTAAAAATACAAAAAAATTAGCCAGGTGTGGTGGCTGGCACCTGTAGTCCCAGCTACTTGGGAGGCTGAGGCAGGAGAATGGCATGAACCTGGGAGGCGGAGCTTGCAGTGAGCCGAGATCATGCCACTGCACTCCAGCCAAGGCAACAGAGCACAACTCTGTCCCAAATAAATAAATAAATAAATAAATTTTTTAAAAAAGGGGGTTCATTCTCGGCCGGGCACAGTGGCTCACACCTATAATCCCAGCACTTTGGGAGGCCAAGGCAGGCAGATCACGTGAGTTCGGGAGTTTGAGACCAGCCTAACAAACATAGTAAAACCCTGTCTCTACTAAAAATACAAAATTAGCTGGGCATGGTGGTGCATGCCTGTAATCCCAGATACTCGGGAGGCTGAGGCAGGAGAATCACGTGAACCCAGGAGGCAGAGGTTGCAGTGAGCCCAGATCGTGCCATTGCACTTCAGCCTGGGCAACAAGAGCGAAAACTCCATCTCAAAAAAAAAAAGTTAGGGGGAGGTTTGTCCTCATTTAGAACACTTGCAATTTAAACACTGAAGTGCTGAAGTTAAGAATGTAGACTTTTTTGGCTAGTCAAGTGAAGCAGTGGGAGTAGAGAAAGAAATCCATACGTGGTTGTGATCAGTTAGTTGTAAACACCACTGCACTTGAACTATCCAAGGATGTGGACTTTTGTGCTCACTTTGGCAGCACATGTACTGAAAGTGGAATGACACAGAGGTGAGCATGGGCCCCGTGCAAGGATGACACACAAATTCATGAAGCTCCATATTGTTTTAAAAAAGAAGGTAGAGGCCAGGCGCAGTGGCTCATGCCTGTAATCCCACCACTTTGAGAAGCCGAGGTGGGTGGATCACTTGAGGTCAGGAGTTCTAAACCAGCCTGGCCAACAAGGTGAAACCCTGTCTCTACTAAAAATACAAAAATTAGCCGGGCGTGGTGCTACGTGCCTGTAATCCCAGCTACTCAGGAGGCTGAGGCAGGAGAATCACTTAAACCTGGGAGGCAGAGGTTGCAGTGAGCCAAGATTGCGCCACTGCACTCCAGCCTGGGTGACAGAGCCAGACTCCATCTCAAAAAAATAATAAAATAAATAAAAAAGAAGGTAGACTTTCGAGTCTGACAATTAAGAGAGGCCAGCCTGTGCAACACAGCAAGGTCACGTGCCTAAAAAAATAAAAATACATTAAAAATGTGTTGAATTCATTTAAATCTAACAGTGTAGATATTTCGACATTTTAGGCCCCATTGTTTTACATTCGTTAGTGCTTAATGGGTAGCGAGCAATCTTTAGTCCACATGGCAGGAGGTAAAGGGAGGACTATCGCTCTATTCTGTTCTGTATCTCAGACAGCTGCAGTCTGTTCTCCACCCCCAACAGGGGGCTCCAGTCCCAATAGACTCCGTCAGTCAGTACTGCTTCTCCACAACCCTGTTGTCCTGTTCTTTCCACTTCTTAAAAAGAAATTTAAAAATAGAAAACCACAAAATTATTTTATAAAAATTAGAAAATGTGGATAAGTGGCCAGGCTCGGTAGCTCACACCTGTAATCCCAGCACTTTGGGAGGCCGAGGTGGGCAGATCAGAAGGTCAGGAGATCAAGACCATCCTGGCTAACATTGTGAAACCCCGTCTCTACTAAAAATACAAAAAAATTAGCCGGGCGTGGTGGCGGGCACCTGTAGTCCCAGCTACTCAGGAGGCTGAGGGAGGACAATGGCGTGAACCCGGGAGGCGGAGCTTGCAGTGAGCCAAGATCGCGCCACTGCACTCCAGCCTGGGCGAGAGAGTGAGACTCCATCTCAAAAAAAAAAAAAAAAAAAAAAAAAAAAAAAGAAAAGAAAATGTGGATAAGCAAAAAGAAGAAAATTAAAATGCCTACAAAAGATACTGAAACAAAGTGGTAATTGAATCACCCCAGACCCACCAGGGTTTAGGATGTGGCATGCATCATTTTATCTCTGCTTTCCATGTGGGCTCCTACCTCTGTCTTAGAAGCCAGCCTTCTGCTGTACAATGTATCGCGATCATCAGCTGGGCCCCAGCGACCTCAGCATCACTACTAATAACCTGCCAGGAACCCATCCCCTGTCTCAACCGTGGTTTATTTCTCAAATCTTCCACCAGAGGCTTGGGCTGTTTTCACATCTTCACTGGAACAAACACTGAAATGTTTATCCTGTGTCTTATGCGTGTATTGACTTTTTTCCTTCCAATTAGACCTTCACTACCTTTGAAAACCAACTCAAGGCCGGGCACGGTGGCACGCACCTGTGGTCTGGGAGGCTGAGGCAGGAGGATCACTTGACCCCAAGAGGTTGAGGCTGGAGTGAGCTCTGATCGCGCCGCCGCACTCCAGCCTGGGCCACAGAGCGAGACCCTGCCTCTAAACAAACAATTCAAGGTCTCCGGGTAACTTCCGAGCTCACTGTATAAAACACCAAAAACAAAAAAAAAAGCCACAAACCCACAAAAAAACTATAAACTCCACAAGGGCAGAGGCTGGACTGCACCCGTGCCAGGACTTGGGGTGTTCAGTCATTTCCCAGCCACCTTTTGACCAGGTCTGCGAGGACCCCACTCCCACCCCAGGATCGCCCCGTGGTGCCCGGAACGCCGGTGGTCACGGAGGTCAGCCGTGGTCAGGCTGCCCTAGGCTTCCCCTGAGGGAGCCACCCGCAGGGCCCACCTGGGTGGAGCCCCCCGCCGAGGCTGAAGTCGGAACTCCGCTTGGACCCAGGCGCGTCCCCTGGGGGTCTGCGTTCCAGAGGCGCCCTCCTCCCCCGCGCTAGGAAAGCGCTGCGCCCCACCGAGCCGCGACCCCAGTTTGACTCAGCTGCGCCTGCGCCGGCGCCAGAGCCAGGGCGGGCGGCGCGGGGTCAGCCGTGGGTCACGACTCCCTCGGCTCCGCTGCAGGGCGGGGGTCGCGGCGCCCTCCCCCACCAACCCCGCACCCCGCGCCCCGCAGAGCCTGCTCCTTCCGGCGCTCGAGGACGCAAAGCTCCAGGCCTTTCTGACCCCGCACCGCACACCCCAGAAACCCCAGGTCGTCCGGGACTCCTCGGACCCGCAGATGCCACGGACACCAGATCCCCCACGGACCCCTCAGCTCCCCCGGACTCCGCGGTCGCATCGGGGGCTGAGGGGCGCCGGCCCCCGGGACGCCTTGTGGGCGGGGCCTCGCGGGATTGGCTGCGAGCCTGGATACTTTGTAGCACCCGCACCTTCTGTGCTGCCCAGCGCCTCCTCGCCAGCCCCGGGTGCGCGCCAAGCACGTGCGCCGGCGCTGAAGCGGGTCCCGGAGGGTGAGGGGCGCGCGGGCAGGGGGGTCCGGGAGGATGAGGGACGCGCGGGGGCAGGGGGGGCCTGGAATGTGAGGGGCGCGGGGGCGGGGGTCCCAGAGGGTGAGGGGCGCGCAGGCGGGGGGGGTCCTGGAGGATAAGGGGCGCGGAGGCGGGGGGTCCCGGAAGGTGAGGGGCGCTAGGGCAGGAGTCCCTGAGGGTAAGGGGGGCCCCGGAGGGTGAGGGGTGCGGGGGCCGGGGTGGGGCTGAGGGTGGAGCCTCCCAGGCTGGAGCCCCAGGCAGGAATTTCGGCCTCCGCAGGGAGCAGCGTGCCAGAAAGGTAGGGGGGCTGGGGGCCATGGGCGGGGGTCCCGCCAAAGTCAGGAAGCCAAGCAGAGCCACCTCCCGCGACCCTTCCCCTCCATTCAGCTGGAGCCGGGTGCCCCTCAGGGCACCGGGCGGACAGGCCAAGGTACCCCACAGGAACCTTTTTCCTTCCTGAAGTGGCAGGAACCCCGCCCCTCCCAGAGCCGGTGGGGGTCGGCGTTGCAGGAAACCCAGGCCTGGGAGCCTCCTCTGCCCTCCTCCAAGGCCCCTGCAGGCTCTGTTCCCCCAAGGGACCCCAGGTCCAGGGCCTCCTGCCCACTGTGGCAGCTGGAAACTCAGAGCCCCGAGTCAGGACCCGGGTGAGATGGCGCTAGAGCCCGGGAACGGGTGGAGTAGACGAGGTCGCGTCCCCTTGGCGGGCGCACGGCAGAAAGAACCCCTCGCCAGGGAGCGCGCAGCCTACCTGGTTCTTCGCGGCTGTGAGGATTTACAAACCTTTTGGAAAGCAGTTTGGCAACACCTACTACCCTGCCCCTACTTCTGTGAATAAAAGTGTATTCCGCAGAAGTAAGATCGATTGGGGAGGGTTTTCTGTTGGGAAAAGCAGTCACTGGCAGCTGCCTGAATGTCCTTAGGTGAGGCACCGTTAGAACAAGTAAAGGTTCCTCCTGTGTGGATGCAGGACCAAGCGTGTGATTGCAAAGTGTGTCTTTGACATTGTTTGGATTAAGTATTGGCGTGAGCAGTTTCTGCTGTTAAAACAAGTGCATGTATGTGGGTTCAGATGAAAGGCCTTGGCATCCACTGGTGACCCCTGCACACAAGGTCCCTACCCTACTGAGCCCAGAGCAGTGGAGGAGCTGTTGCAGACAGTACCCAGCCCAGTGCTTGGTGCACAGCCGTGTTCGTTAAGGACTAAAGTATTTGGGGGATTAGAAGGAAATTCTAGAGGGTGTATGCTATGGTGCTGCCCTCTCTCGGGATGTGTGAGGTCTTATTCCTACTCTACAAGTGTCCACGGCACAAGAGCCGTGCATCACCTGCTTTGCAGAGTGGGTTGGGCGATTGACTGACAGAAAGGACGTGGTCAGTGGTGGCCATTCTTGTGACTGTTTGTGTTGGCAGAGTGGCCACGACCCAGCACAGGATGCAGAGCTTCCTGACTCTGCTGAAGGAGCATGAGGACACCTGTGCACCCCCGGCGGAGCTGGTGACCCTTGCGGGCAGACTGTGCCGGGACTTCCAGGATGACCTTGCCCAACTGCAGCCTTTGGTCACAGCCATTCTGGACAGCCAGCTCCGCCTGCATCTCCTGGACAACGCAGATGTGGCCCTGGCGTGCGCCCGTGTCCTGGACCAGCAGGAGCAGCAGCAGGCGGCTTGCCGCCTCCTGGAGGTAGGCCTGGGCTACAGGGGTAGGGTACAGAGAGAGGTAGCAACTTCTTTAGGCAGCCTCCACCCATCTCCGGCACTGCAGCAGTACCCAGGAGTTAGTAGGAACCCACTGGCCAGAGGCCCACCCCCAGGCCTTGGAAAAACCTGGGAGGCAGGTTTTATGTAACCTTACTCCGCTCTCACATTACTAAGCTCTAACTAGTTTGGTAATCTGAGTTAAAACTACTCATTTGGCAAATCCCTATTGAGTGGTGATCTGTGACAGGCAAGATGCCAATAAAGTGAGTGAATAAAATGCAGTCCTGTCTTTGGAGAGCCAGCATCTTAGCAAGGCATTCAGACAGACCCCTTCTCATTCCCCGGCCGCAAGTCTGCAATGGAGAACTCTGAAAACCAAAAGTATCTCTCACTCACCTGCTGGTACCTTCAACCTCAACGCATTAGGCACTGAACCTGACCTGTGCTGATCTGAAGCTATTTATAGTGTTTATTGTTCCAACTAATGTGACCACTGTACGTTTTGCTGCCTAAATAAGAGTATGCTTGATGACAGGATGCTGCCCCAGGTCGTGCTGAGTGGTGCATGTCGTGTGCTGGATGCCTGCGTTACTTGCTGAAATCTGAAAAATTCTGAATCACAGAAAACGTGGCCCAAAGGGTTTCCAAAAAGGAATTTGAATGCCTATTTTTCCTTTCTTTGACCCTGTAAAACAGTCCATACATAATTCATTGTGAGTTTACCTTCAAGATACTCGGTTCCTTCCAACCCCTCACCAAGCTAGTGTGGTGTCCTCCTGTCCCCTCCACCTGTTCACACAGCAGCCAGAGGGAGTTTTTACAATGCAAATGGTATCACAGTGTGCCCCTGAGCAGTGGCTCCCAGATCCGGGGCCTGAGCCTGCTGCTGTCCTCTCACCTCTGACTCCTCCCAGCCTCCTCTGCAGTGGCCACACCAGTCTCCTTGCCGTTCCAACTCCCGAGATGTTTCCCTGTCCCAAGGCCTTTGCAGGTGTCTTTCCTCTGTTAGAGGCTGGCGCCTGGCTCTCCGTGTGGCCAGTGCCTACCTACCCTTCTGGTTTCTACTTTAAATGTCAGCCCAGGGAGGTGGTGCCTCCTTCACTCTCCAGTATTGCCCCCCCGTTACCCCTTTTCTGTCCCTGCCTCTGTTTGTAACTAGAAGGTTGTTTGTCAATCTGCCTCCCTTACTACACTGAAGGTCCATGAGGCAGGGCCACCACAGCCTTTCTCACTGCAAGATTGGCTGACACACAGCACGACACCTAGAACCTAGCAGGGCTCCAGGTCTTTCAAATCTGTCAAAATAAATGAAGTAAACAAACGAGAGAGTGCAGAGTTAGAGTTGTAATGACTGCCGTGAAGGCAACCACTGGCATCAGTGATGAAAACCCCCTGCAGAGGAATTAGAAGCTCAGTCAGGGTGACCCACAGGTACGTCTGAGGAGGTGACTTGCGGCTGAGACCTGGGAGGCATGAAGGGACCACCACATCAAGAACGGGTGGCAACCCCAGCCTGTGCAGGGTGTTCCTGCCCCCACGTCAGGGCAGGGGGAAGTTCCCATGCAGGTTCCCTGAAGGCCGCGTGCTGAGAGGAGAGTGGGGCACAGAGCCGTCGGCTCTGAGGGGTCACTGCCGAGCAAGACTGGGCCTCTCTGATGCCTCAGAGAGAAAGCTGAATGATTCTCAGCACCTCCCTCGCCAGGATGGTCCAGGCAGCATCGTAGTTAAAGGCCAGTGTGGGGCCACAGGGATCACTCCTGTGGCAGATGATTGGAATTAAGGAAATGGTGGGAGCCACACAGGAGTCACGGGAGACCAGCACCAGGCATCCTCCGTCATCAGCAAAGTCCAGTTAAGTGGATGGGTGTACTGGCCACAGACAGGGACCCCTTCATCCCCCTCACCTTAGATTGTGCCGAGTACCTGAGGGACCAGCACTGCTGCTGGGAGACAAAGGTCTTTCATGTAAGACTTGAATCAGACATCAGGCCCTCAAATCGCACCATGTGGTTATAACCACTGCTCCACCTCCCCTTTGCTGTTGGCCAAAAGAGAGTCACTGGACTTCCCCTTGCCACATGTGCCTTACCTTTGAGGTACAGCTGGGAGCTGTGCTTATCTTGTGTTTTGGGGAGGGTTGAAGGTTTAAAGGAAGGGGCCCATTCAAGACTGATGTGAGTGCATCTGCCCAAGGTCTATGAGGTGACCTGGCAGGCCTAGGGTCACACCGCTGAGCCTGCTAGGAATGGAGCGGGGGCCATCTGACTCATGCCTGCATTGTGTGGCCACACTGGCACTTTGTAAAATCAGTGAATTTGAACCCAGAACCCTGCTCTTCCCATCACTGCCTTCCCCAAGGCTGAGTCGGTTTGGGATGGCAGATGCAGGTCCCAACAGTGCTCCAGGGTGGGCAGGTGGCCAGGGCTCAGTACACTCTTCTTGGCAGGGGTGCCAGGTGCCGGGAGGCAGCCAGGAGTTAGTGCAGCTCTGGAACGACATCCACTACCGTCTGGTCATGAGGAGGCTGGGCGTGGCTGCGCTCACCCCGGTGCAGAAGTTCCGCTGCAGGAAGAGGTAACCTACAAGCATTTACTTGTGCATATTTCATGGGGATCCCAAGGGATTAGATGTACCATGCAAAGCCCAGAGGGGCTGAAGCAAAGTGGAGGTGAGGAGATAGGGACAGGAAATGTCCGCCGGAGCAGTAATAGTCACAGTGTAGTCAGCATAAGATGACTTCAGTGTGTGTCACACCTGTGCTGGATGCTGGTCACTGAGCTACACTCTCCACCAGCCACTTCAGTCAGCTGATGGCTGGAAACGGATGGCTGACCACAGGGTGACTGAGGCTAAGGCCAGGAGGTGGGCATCCTCATCATCTCTGCCCAGCATCCACCCAGGGACTGGCCAGAAAGGGGGCTATTGGGCCAGGGACAGTGGAGATGGAGGGCAGGTGGGAACAGCTCAACATGTGTCCCCAGGTCATCTAATCCCCACAATCTGGGCTCTGGGTGGCCACTGAGGGGTTGCAAGGCCTTTCAAAGAGTTAAGGGTGAGAATGTTGCCAGTGTTAGCATGAGTTACATGTCAGGCGCTCAGAATAGTGCCAGGCACATGATAGGCACTAAATAAGTGGTAGTCCTTATCATCGCCACCATTATCAGCACTAAATAAATGTTACTAGTAATTTTTATTATCACCATCATCACCACTTATGGATGAGGAAACGGAGGCACAGAAAGGGTAACCTGAGGTTCCACACGAGAGAGAGTTGCAAAGCCAGGACGCTAGCCCAGACACTGAGAAATTGGAGCCTTTAAAAAAAAAATTGAGACAGGGTCTTGCTCTGTTGCCCAGACTAGCATGCAGTGGGGCGGTCACAACTCTGCAGCCTCAACTTCCCGGGCTCAAGCGATCCTCCCACCTCAGCCCCCCAGGTAGCTGTGACCACCATGCCCAGCTAATTTTTAATTTTTTGTAGAGACAGGGTCTTGCTATATTTCCCAGGCTGGTCTCAAACTCCGGGGAGCCTTATTCTTCATCTCAGGTGCTCTCCACTGGTCAGGAAAGGGCTGTAGATCTTGCTGTGAACTCCTGACAGCCCAAGTCATGAAAGATTCCTGAGCCACAGGGCCTGGTCGGTAAGAATACTGGTCGCTGAAGGAAGAAGACATGGATACCTTTTGGGCTCAGAGAATTTTCTTGCGTGGTACCCATCAAATAGAGTGACAGAGTAAGACAAGTCGTCAGAAGCCCAGCAGTAAATCAGCTGTGGGGTCTTCAGGGGATGTGATTGTAGCCCCCCACGGGCATGCTGACACCTGCCAGAGTGCAGTGGTGTCATCTTGTCGACATGTTTGTTAAGCACCCCCTGCCTGCTGGGTTCTGGGAGGTGCTGGGGATGAAGGCCAGGCTCTGCCTCCATGGAACTGACATTGGGATGTGGACAATAGTCAACAGACAAGAAAATAAAGTAGGTCACATAATTCAGAGAGTGAGAAGTGCTATGCAGAGAATATGTCCAGAAGAGGGCTGTGCAAGGTTGGCTGCTTTAGATGGGGTGGTCAGTGCAGGCTGGTCCTAGTCTTGGAGGAGAGTCTTGAGTATGGTGATGTGTCAGCCATGTGAGCAGAAGTTTCTGGGAAGGGGCAGCACATTCAAAGACTTGGGATCAGAGAAGCTTGGTGTTCAGGGGCAGATGGGAAGTATTTTGGGGTGTATGTGTTCACAGCCCTTGAAAAATGTAAAAGCAGGTGTTGGAATGGATTCGCTCACCCTGCCTTAGAGGCTGATGAGCAGCAGGAGGACATTGAGCCGGCAGCCATGGTAGCTGCTGGATTGGGTTATGACCATGCTGATGGTTCCCGGGTGGTGTCAGGAAGGGATGGCATCTGAGTCACAGAAGATGCAGATACAGGGATCAGGAGTAGATGCTGGAGTTTCTAGGAGGTTCCAGGCATGCCCAGGGCTGGGATCGTGGCTGGGGAAAGTGGAGAGTGTTGTGTCAGTACCCTGACACAGGAGGTGGAGCTGGGGGGTTTGCTGATGGGCTGTACACATGGCAGGAGGTAAAGAGAGGGCTAAAGTAGACTCCAGGGCTCTTGGCCTATGTGGGAACCACCAGGAGCATGAGGGTTCCTTCACTGAGATGCACAGGAGCTGGGGAAAAGTCTGGAGAGGGGGGATGGAGTTCTTTTGGGATTCATGATGTGCGAGATGCATTTTAGATGTCCAAGTAGGCACTGGGATGACACACCTTCTACAGACAAGTAATATTGGTGCATATATCATCTTTTCCTTATGAAATATTCAAATCTGCTCAGCACTAGAGAGGAGCATAACCAGCTGGAACACCCCCAGTGTCCAACTCCAGCATTGCTCAGACACGCATCCCTTTGTCATCTCTGTGACTGATACTGAAATCCTGGGAGCGCACAGAGAAAGGGGTCCTCTGTGTTCAGGGGACAGACCTCTGGGACTTTGCAGCCCAGAGGAGGATGAGGAAGATTCAGCTGAGACATGGCCAGTGAGAGGAAGAGGAAATCCAGCAGTGCAGAGTTCAGAAGCCAGTGAGGCTGAGGAGGTGCCAGTTAAGAGGAGAGCTGAGAAATGAACTTCGGATTGTGTGAGCTGGGCAAGTGCTTTTAGTGGCAAGGTGCAAGGATCCAGGTGTGTCACAGAGACAAGGAGACAGTGGCAGTGATCCAAGATCATTCTTTGAGAAGTTTAGCTGGAACTGGAGCAGACTCATGGGATCACCACTGGAGGTGAGAAATTTACAGAGCTTAGCAGCTCATGAGAATGACTTACTAGAAGAAATGCTGGTGATGGCAAGCAGGGAATTAGTTCAGGGGAGTGTTCTTAGTGAGATGGGGGATGAGCAGGTGCCACGGCTGGAGCCTCCCCTCACCAGGGGCCCCACAGGCATTTGGGGAGTGCAGAAGGGCTGGCAGGTTTGCTGGGGGCACAGGTGGTGCTTCTCTTCTGAGAACATCTTGGTGAAATGAGAGCCAGATCACCCAAGGACATTAAGTCTTGGGAGGAGGTCTTGGGGGTGAGAGACGAAGGGAGAAAGCTGGCGTGGCCATGCAGGGTGGCAGGGGTGTGAGTGCTGCAAGCCTCAGAGGACTCATGCAAGAATGGGGCTGATGCCTGGAAACCAGCGATGAACAGAAAGCACTGAATGGAAAAGCACCCAGGGTGGCAGCCAGGTCCTGAGGACAACAGTGTGTGTGTGTGTCCAGGAGGGCCATCCACGGGAGCTCCATGGGCTGAGGACACCTGTGTGTGAGTACGAGGAAGGCTGTGCACGCGGCCTCCATGGATGAGGATGTCTACATGTGAGGATGTCCAGGAGGGCCATCCATCGGGGCTCCATGGGCTGAGATGCACCCAGGAGCACTGCAAGGGCCCACAGAGGGCTCCTCACAGTGGCCTGTAGATGTTCTGGAACAGTATTTGTCAGGGTTTGTGCATGTCTGTGGAAGAGACTCTAGTTTTCACTAACTGGAGGCAGAGAGAGGCATCCCCCAGGAGGAGGCACAGGGAAGGAAGTGTCACCTTCTGCAGAGGGCCAGGCCTGGAGAAGGGAACAGATTTGGAGGGGTCCTGTCTGTTACCACCTCCTCACTGTCCTTACCCAGGAACCCCCCGCCCCCCTCCCTCTGCCCAGAGGGGCTGAAGAGCCGGAACTTCCCCAGAGAGGTTCGTGAGAAGCTGCACAATTTCGCTGTGGGGGTGAACACCAACCCCAGCAAGGCTGAGAGGGTAAGAATAGAAGATACCCAGGACCCAGGGGGTCCCTGCCTGGTGCCTCCCTGTCCCCCAAGGGGTACCCCCACCCCAGGCTCCTCAGTGGCCTCATCCGCCAGGGTGCTGGTGGTTTCAGCCCCTCCTCTGGACAGGGACCTTGTTGATTGGCAGACTGTCCTGTCTGCCACATAAAGGGTTTCATTTTCTCACGTGGAGTCATAACATCTGTGTATGTGGCCCCACGGCTGCTCACTCAGCACCCACTGTGTGCCAGGCACCAGGACGATGGGTCGAGGCATCTGCCAGCTGACATGCTCTCCACTGCACAGTGGGTTTGTGCCAGGCACAGGCAGTGTGGTTCTGCAGGCCCTGCCCCTCCAGGGGCTTGGGGTGGCCCTGGGCATGTTGTCTGGGTGGACCTAGCAAGGGCCCCACTCAGGGGGACGTGCACATGTGGCTGTGCAGACAGCCTGACCTGGGCCTCACTGCTCAGGGGATGGGGATCAGCCCAGGGAGGTGAGGCCTGCATGTTCTGCTCATGCTCACCGCTCTCTGCTGTCCTTGGAGAGGTTAGGCTGGGCTGTCACCCCCTTTCTTGGTGTAAATGAGCTGTCTGAGCCACTTCTGCACACCCCCTGTCCTCAGGGAATGGAAGCAGGGCTAGAAGTCTTGTTGTTTGGGGGCAGGAGAACTTGGCATTGGAGACGAGCTTGACCCCTGAGCAGGTGTACAACTGGTTTGCCAATTACCGGCGCCGCCAAAGAGCCCTTCCCCAGCACATGAAGCCAGCCCAGCAGGCCACAGCTGAAGACCCTGGTGCGAGGGAGAGGGGTCCTGACCTCCTGCAGCCCTCAGGCAACCCCCGTGTTGACTCTGGGTTTGTGGACAGGCCTCAGTGGTCAGGTGAGTGGCCTGAGGGCCCCAGTCTCCTTGTGGTCGGGGAGCTGGTTTCTGACAAGGGCCAGGCCTAGGTAGTCACACTGCTTACAGGGGTAGCCCTCCTCCAATCAGTAGGTTCCAGGTGTCACTCTGTGGGAGCAAGATCACAGGGTCCGAGGTCTGAGGCTCAAGATGCCCAGGCTGGGCTGTGGCTGCCCCTATGCATTTTGAGGTCACTGTGTGGCCGGGCCAGGAGCTGGGCTGGAGAGGAGGGCATCGTGTGGCCAGAGGAGGAGTTGGTGAGTCAATTTGAGAAGTGAACCAAGCACCGGGATTTGGGGTGTCCTGGGTTGGCAATTATGGATTGTTGGTTCACACCAAAGACAGGACAAGAAGCAAAAACATTGGGATGGCCCCATGGCAACAGCCTTTTCCAGCCAGCAGGGCTGCTCATACCTGATGGGAAGGAGGTTGGGAACCAGAGCCTCACTAAGTCTCCCCTCCCATCTCATCACTTTCAGAGGAACGTGAGGAAAAGGGGCCTCCACAGTCCCCACAGACCACCCAAGGACCATGGGAGCCACTGGCCTTAGCCCCGGACTTTCCCGCAGATGAGACAGTCTCAAAGCCACTGGATGTCAGGTACTGTCATCTCCATGGCCATGGAATCATCTCACCTATTCAGTTCCCTTTCCTCCTCAGGTGGAGACTAGGGCATGAAGTAGGCCTAAGGGTGACAGGACCCCCACACTGGGATCAGGTCAGACCCCAGGGAGAGGGAAGCCACCAGCAAGGAGCCCACGTCAGGGACTGGGGTGGGGGTGGCTTCTTCTGAACCCACACGTGCTCCTGCAGCCTGACTCATCACCTGAGTTCATGTCTGTCTTGGAGAACGGGGTAACAGACTTAGAAGGAAACACATGCAGCCCTGCCACCTAAAGACAAACCCAGCTGTCCCTGTGGTTTGTTTCTAGTACTTTGTCTGTTTTGCTTTTCATTGAGTTAATACCAGCCAGTATCTCTTGAGTTCCTACTGCACACCAGCACTGTTTGAGCACCGTTGTGCTCCCTCCTGCCCTGCCCTGAGGGAGGCTCTGCCCACCAAGAGACAGTGTTCTCCATGTCCCCCAGGTCTCTGCCAGGTGGCGAGATGTACCAGGAGGGGCCTGGCCATGATCCTGCCACCCTCCCCCTCTTCTGCCCTGGCCCTGGCCTCTGCCCTCTGGCTGCTGGCAATGACATGCTGAACCCCTCTCTGGCTGCCCCTGAATCTTGGCTGATGTCTCTTGCACTGGCGTCCTCCAAGGAAGTTTCCTTCCAGACTGGGCAGCTGGTCCACAGCCATGGGCTGGACTTCATGATGGGCCCTGCAGACACCGCTGTGGCTGTGTCCATTGCCACCCTTGGAGATCCCAGCCCTACAGGTGGGTCCACTTCAGACAGACCATGAGTTTCAGCACCAGACACTGTGACTACTCAGGTCCTGTTTGAGGGGATAGAAGTGTGGGTAGGGCCACACGGCTTGAACCCATGGTATTTGATTAGACCTGGAACCAATGTAGCCAGAACAAAGACTCTTCCCACAAACATCCCAGATTATTTCTCATCTGTTTTATTGTGTGTGTGTGTGTGTGTGTGTGTGTGTATGTATGCATATCACTGAAGAGGAAGAGTTGAAAGGAAAGAGCTGCCACCCTGTGCTCTCCACTGCAGTCCACTTGATTTATCTATTAACACCGGGTGCAGCAGAGAAGGCTGAGCTCCTTAGACTCCCCGCTTGTCCACCCCCCTTAGCCTGTAGTAGAGATCCCATGATTTTAGCTTCTAAGTTATCGTTGAAGCTGTAAAATCATTTAAAGAGTATGTATTTAGATGTATATTTTGCCCATCCAGTACACCAGAATCATGAGACTTCTCACTTTGTAAGGAGGAAACTGGAGCTATGAATTCACCCAAATTTCTTTCTTTCTTTTTTGTTTTTGTTTTTTTTTTTTTTTGAGACGGAGTCTTGCTCACCCAGGCTGGAGTGCAGTGGCGTGATCTCGGCTCACTGCAACCTCCTCCTCCCAGGTTCACGCCATTCTCCTGCCTCAGCCTCCCGAGTAGCTGGGACTACAGGCGCCCGCCACCACGCCTGGCTAATTTTTTTGTACTTTTTAGTAGAGACGGGGTTTCACCCTGTTAGCCAGGATGGTCTTGATCTCCTGACCTCATGATCCGCCCGCCTCGGCCTCCCAAAGTGCTGGGATTACAGGCGTGAGCCACCACGCCCAGCATTTTTTTTTTTTTTTTTTTTTGAGATGGAGTCTTGGTCTGTCACCCAGCCTAGAGTGCAGTGTCACGATCTCGGCTCACTGCAACCTCTGCCTCCAAGGTTCAAGCGATTCTCCTGCCTCAGCCTCCCGAGTAGGTAGAACTACAGGCACCTGCCACCACGCCCGGCTAATTTTTTGTATTTTCAGTAGAGACAGCATTTCACCATGTTAGCCAGGCTGGTCTCAAACTCCTGAACTCAAGGGATCCACCCGCCTCAGCCTCCCAAAATGCTGGGATTACAGGCGTGAGCCACCATGCCCAGCCAAATTTACCTATATTTAATATTCTATGGGTATATACATCTTTTCTCTTCAGCTTTTTTTTCTTCTTGGAGCTTCTCCATGCCTTTCCTTTTTCTTTTTACATTGTCTGCTTTTATCACATTTTTAACATCTTCCAGCATTTGAAGCATCCCATCTGAAAACTCACTGTTGGGGGCCCTCCATTTTCCCTTTCCCCTCCAAGTGACAGCTCCCTAGGCCTGGAGTGAAGCTATTGTCCCCAGTGCTCCCATGCTGCTTCCCTGGGTTTACTCCAGGGTGTCCTGAATTTCAGGTCTGGTTCTTTCTTTATTTGACTCCCTTGTTTTGTTAGCCAGCAGCTTCAGTTAACTTTGCAAGAAAGAGTGCCTGCAAGATAAATTATCCGAGTCCTCATTTGTTCTAAAAATGTCTTTAATCTGTCTTCAAGTTTGGTTAACAATTTTGCAAGGACAGAATTCTGAGTTGAAATGCTTTTCCCCCCCTCATAATTTTTTGGAGCTCTTAGATTCTTTTTTTCTTATTTTTTGGGGGGGTGGGTCTTAAAGTTCTGAAATTTCACGCTGAGGGTCCGAGGTTGTGGGTCTTTTTACTTCATCTTGCTGTTAAGACTTTAATCTTAAAGAATAAGGTCTCCTGGCCGGGTGCAGTGACTCACGCCTGTAATCCCAGCACTTTGGGCGGCTGAGGCAGGCGGATCATGAGGTCAAGAGATCAAGACCATCCTGGCCAATATGATGAAACCCCATCTGTACTAAAAAATATTTAAAAATCAGCTGGGCATGGTGGTGGTGCCTGTTGTCCCACCTAGTTGGGAGGCTGAGGCAGGAGAATCACTTGAACCCGGGAGGTGGAGGTTGCAGTGAGCTGAGATTGCGCTACTGCACTCCAGCCTGGGTGACAGAGTGAGGCTCCGTCTCAAAAAAAAAAAAAAAAAAGAATAAAGTCTCCTGTAAGCTCTGGGCATTTTTTTCTAATATCCTTTGATCGTATCTTTGATAAGTTCCTGCTTCCATGTTTTCAGCTCTCTCTTCAGAGCACAAATGTTATTTGGATGTTGGAACTCCGGGACCAGTCTCCCAAAGAACTTACCTTTTATCTTGTATTTTTTTATTGATGTGCGTTTTGGGTATTTCTTAAATTCTGTCTTCTGATTTTTTGCTTTAACAGTTATATATATATATATTTTTTTTTGAGGCGGAGTTTTGATCTTGTTGCCCAGGCTGGAGTGCAGTGGTGCGATCTCGGCTCACTGAAATGTCTGCCTCCCAGGTTCAAGCGATTCTCCTGCCTCAGCCTCCCAAGTAGCTGGGATTACAGGCATGTTTCACCATGCTGGCTAATTTTGTATTTTTAGTTGAGATTGGATTTCACCATGTTGGTCAGGCTGGTCTCGAACTCCTGATCTCAAGTAATCCACCTGCCTCGGCCTCCCAAAGTGCTGGGATTACAGGCATGAGCCACTGCGCCCGGCCAACTGCTGTATATCTTAAGAGAATTTCAATCCTTCTTTACTGATCTCTGAACTCTTCTTCCTTCATAGATTGTTACTTTCTATGGATGCAATATCTTACACTTCTCTAAGGTTCCTAATAATAATTTTTTTAAATGTGCTTCACTGTCTGAAGTCAGGACTGTTGGGACTGTGGATTCTGGCCCTTCCTTGATGCAGGGCCAGAAAGAAGAAGGGATCTTAGGGCTCGCGCCTCAGGAGAGGGCTTGTCAGTTTGATCATACTGACCTTCCATTTTTTGCTGTCCTTTTTATTTAACTGTTGGACACTCACATTTGCCTGTCTGTACTTACTGACGAGGCTGGCGTGGGGACGGTCAATGGGTGTCTTCACATTGGGACAAGAGGAGCTGGTCTTCAGACCTGGAGCCTGCTCAAGTGAGGGGGGATGTTCTGTGGGAATCAGCGAACTCCTTTGTTCTGTCTATTGAAACCCCTGCCTTCGGGTTCCCTGCTGCTGCCTGGGTACCCGGATGCTCTCCCTCCCGAGCTCCTTGGGAATCTCAGCCCCTGCCCCACACCCCAGCTCCCTGCCAGACACCCCATCACCATGGGCTGCACTTGCGTCCTGACTGCACGACTGTGGACATTGTGCTCATGGCTTTCCCTTTCTCTTGGAAAGAGAATGCGTAATCTATTGCTGTACTATGATGGATGGAACTAGAATGTCCAAACTAGTGCTTGAACATTATTTCCTCTCTCCAGAGTGTCTGTAAGGTCTGCATGAAAGAGGAAATAGCAGAAAGCAGGCACATGGTCAGGAAGGTCCCTTCAACCTAAGAAGGCCCTGGGCAGCTGGGCACCAGGTTAGGTGGTCACTCTGCTGTACAGGAAGGAGGACCACATGAGCCTCACCCCCAGGCCGCTTGTTCCATGTCTTGAGATCAGGGCCATCTTAATGCTTGTTTTACAGCCTAGTAGACTCAGGGCAGGAAAAAACCTGCCTTTTCAGGCCACAGCTCTCCTAAATGTCCACCCAGAATTGACCAAAACCACAGTAGCTTGTCTAAGAGTGAGAGATGTTCTGAGATACGCTCTGGAAAGTCAAAGGGAGGGGAAACTAGTGACAGCTTATACCTCAGTGACATCTTGGTAACCTTAGTAAGAGGTAAAAGTGGAAACCACCAAGGGCTGGTGGCCAAGCACTCCGTGAACCAGCCACAAGAGGAGACTGAGGGCTCCTGGCACATCCTTCCGCACCAGCAGGACGGAGCAAGCTGCAGACTCTGACTGGCACCGAGGGCACATGAGGTCTGCGATGACAGCAGCATTTAAAGTCAGCAGAAGCAACCGTGTCTTGGTCTCTGGAAGCCTGGAAGGCTGTTGAGATCAATGGTTGTGACAGTTCCTTCCTCAGAGAGGGAGACTGAGGCCCAGGGACCGTGAGTCTGGTTCACGTGGCGCGGGCTGGCTGGGCCGGAGGCTGCATCCGCCTCCGTGCTTTGAGGTCTTGGTTGTGTCACACGTGGGCTCTGCTCCTTTCTCCTGCCAGTGTGCCGTGGAATCTCATTACATGCAGGGTTTTCTGGCCCCCCCAGCGGCCATCCCCAGAGCGTGCAATTGGAGGAGGGTCTGGGCACAAGCAGTGGACGGACAGAGCTACGGGTGGGCAGCTTCCTGGTGACACAGCCCCCACTGCAAGCTCCTGAATTCATCCTCACCCAGAGGTAAGCCCTGAAGAGCCACAGGCCTGGACAGTCCTTTCCACAGGCCACAAGATAGGGTAATGCCCAGTTTATAGACTCACCGTCCCGGACTGTGCAGATAGGGTCCTCTCCTTTGGATTGCTGAAAACTGTAACAGTCCCCACAAGCCTACACCTATGAAGAAAAGGGTAGTTTTTCTCTCAGGAGAGCCCAAAACATCAGAGCAGATGTGGGCATCCCATGCATTGGACATGATCAGGGTTCACCCTTACCCCCAAATCACCCTGGACCCCAGCAGCCTTTCTTTTCCCTGAACAAACACTGTCAGTTTCTGGCAGAATCAAGATCCTGATTTTATATTCTGAATTGTAGTTTTCAAGGGACTTGGGGTCTTGAACAGCGTCCGTGAGCACTTGCTGTTGATAGTGTCAGTGCTGTAGAAACAGAAGATGACCAGGGCCTTCGGGGCCAGCCCAGCAGGTGGGATCCTGCAGAGACAGGAGGGATGGAGGACTGGGGCAGGGTGGCCTGGGGTCCTCTGGTGGGGAGGCTATCGCACCCGCCACTCCTGTTCTAGCAGACGCCCCATCCTCTCTACACTAGGGCCTCCAGGAGCAGAGCAGATCCCCAGGTTGTGGGGTCTCCCTCATCAGGGAGCTGCAACCAGGTTGACTCAAGGCTCATGCTAGTGAGGGCAGAATTACAGAGGGACATAGGAGAAAAGGCGGAGCAGCCCCTAAATCACATGGCCTGCTTGCTCAAACAGCCTGACTGTGAGAAAATGTACACCACACAGATGGACTCACTTTTCCATTCATGGCTGGGAGCTGAGACCAGGCAGAGGCTGCCATGGCCACGGTGTCCCCTTGTGTGTCTCGCCTCACCTCTCCACATGGCCATCTCGACCCCTTCTCTTGCTCCCCCAACTCCCATGCCTCCCTGTTCCGATCTGAAGGCCATGCTTCAACCTGAAAACATCAGTTCCTTCGTTAAAAGTGGCTTCATTGAGGTGTAATTGGCTGTACATGTGTAGACGGAGCACCTGAATTTTCTCAGTGTGACTTTCACATCCACACGAGGCCACCACCGTGATGAAGGTCTTCAATGTACCCTCCTCCTGCCTTTCGCCTCTCCCTGGCCACCCAGGACCATGGATCTGCTTCTGTCACTAAGGATTAGCTGCATTTTATAGAATTTCATGTAAATACGGTATATTTTCGGGTCTTTGTTTTGCTGTGGTCTGGCTTCCTTCGCTCTGCATGACGACTTTGAGAGTCACCATGTTTTGGATGCGTGAACAGTTCTTTCTCTCTCTGGGGAGCCACGTGCCATTGCGTGGATGTGCCACAGCTTCTTCACCCTTGTCCTGTGGATGGGGATTTGGGGGCATCACAGATAAAGCTGCTGTGAACATCCTGTATGTGTATAGTCTGCACACCTGCCTTCATTTCTCATGGTGCATGCCCAGGAGTGCCGTGGCCATGTCACATGCTAGTATGCGTTGACCTTGCTGAAGAACCACCGCCCCTTGTCCTGAGTGACTGTGCCGTGCATCCCGGCTCTTCCTCCTTTGAGGTCTCTGTTTCCTCCACATTTCTGTTCACTGGCTCTTCCATGACCCTGCTCTGAGCCCTCTGTGCAGTTGCCCCTATGACCCACCGGGTGACCCTGCTCTCTGTGTAACATGTTCCCCTCCTAACACCCTACATACGTGACAGCCCTGCAGGAAGAGAGTCTGTTCTGATGAGTGTCAAGTACTAGAATGTCTCCTGATGAGGGAGAAAGCACAGCTGGGTGGATTTTGTCACCCCAGTGTCCCCTTGAGATAGGGCCTATTCTTACACTGTCTCTTTTCCAGCCCTCCAGAGCTGGCCCCAGCCCCATCTGCCTTCCCCGGCCCTGTGTCTGCCATGGAGCTGAGCCAGGCCCTGCCCTCCAGCCAGGTGAGGCTTCCCTATGAGCACTGAAGGATTCCCTCTTTACTCCTGGATCTGCAGCTCATGGTGCTGAGGAGGGTTCAGCTAGTGCCACTGGAGTGAATACACCAGGCAAAGATAAACAAGGGGCAAAGATGATTTGTGGCTGGACATTACTGGACTGGGAGCTGGGGTGAGGGATGCTGTGGGGCAACATTCCCTCCTGAGTCCAGACTGGTTGCGGGGGGTCTTCCCAAGGTCAGGAGGTGCCCAGGTGGGAGGGCAGGTCTTGAGCCTGGAAAGGAAGCCTCTGTGTTTACCACTGTGTTGTCTTCCAGGTGCAGTGTTCTGATAGCCAGGCCTCTGGTGATGCCTTCTGGGGAGCCAGGATGCTCCTTGAGTTTTCAGGGAGCAGCCTGGGCTGAGCTATCCCCAGGAGCCAGACAGCACCCCAGGAGGAGCGGGTGTGGATGGTCTGCCTGGTCAACACAAGGAGTTACAGAGCTTTATCCTGAATACAAAATGAAGGTCCCCAGAGTTCCCCTGGGGGCTCTGCTGAAAAGCAGAGATTCTTTCCCACTGCCATGTTTGAATAGTTTGGTTAGCAATTCCCTGTAGTAGAGAAAGCATTTGAGAAATGTTCGTGAGATCAGAAGTCAAAGGTGGGTCTGTCCCACTCACGCAGCACTGGATCAGTCGGGCTCCGGGGCACTCGTGCAGAGAAGGCCATTCTAGAGAGGGGAGTGTTCTGCTGCTGGCTGCCTTGCCGTCTGCCCGTGCACACAGCCAGACTTTTCCACCAAGTTAACTGAGTGAGGTATGAGGAGTGTTCTGAGATTTCTGTGTGTAGGGGCTTCTCCCTTGAGTACTGGGAGGCAAACCTGTCTGCGAATGGCCTAGGCAGGGCAGAGTAGGGTGGATTTTCCCTCCAGGTTGTAATTCACTGTGTCTATGACACAAATGTTGTAGTCAATTAAAGTTTAATGTTTTGAACTCCCCCCTTGTATTCACTTAACCATGTATCCTGGGCATCTGTCCATGTCAAAGTACAGAGATGAACATCAGCCTTTCCACCCGGGGCCAGTGTTTCATGATGTGGGTGTACATTAATCATGCAGCAGTGCCCGACAGATGGACATCTGGACAGTTTCCAGTGTGTCTGTTTTATATGCAGCATTAGCGTGGGCAACCCTGCCCTCTGCCCTTTGCCCTTCACCTGGCTATTATTAGGATAAATTCCTGGAAGCTGAATTTCTGGGTCGATTATGGTAGCCCTAGGTGTGGACTGTGGATTTTGGAGTGTCTGTGACCTTGTGCTCACCTGGCCACGTGCCCATCTCAGGGGAGAGCCACATGTGGTCTGGGCTGAGATCAGTAGCCCTTAACCCAGAGAAGTCAGACTCTGGCCCTGCTCTCAGGAGCTCCCAAGCTGCTCTGTGAGAGGCAAAGGCACAAATACCAACCTTCCTGTGGGGTCATGGGTGGAACAGAAGGAGGAGCCATAGCTGGGAGATCTGACGGTGGGGGTCGGGAGAACAGGAGAATCTTGACGGAGGTTGCAGAAGAGCATTGTGATAGGGAGGGAATGGGGTAGTGTGGCAAAGAGAACAGGAGCCTTGGTGTCTGGCAACCATTGCATTGCTCACCTGTGGCCCCATGCATCCCTGGCAATCCCCAGGCCTGGAGGAGAAGCAGGAGGGCACTGGGACCAGCTTCCCAGCAACCCTGAGCTTGAAGGATGTGCTGCCAACAGGGTGGTGTGGAGTGGAGGGCACAGCTGCTTGCCTCCCTGTCGCAGGAGAACCAGCCCCCATGTTCCCCACATGCCGGCTCCCCCAGACTCAGGGCAGAAGCAGCAGCAGTGACTACTGTGCTTTGGGCTGCTATGGGAGGCACCACCCTTTGGCCCTCCCAGGAAACACGCAGAGCCTGGGCCCATCCCATCCCTGGGCTGAGGCCTTTCCTGCAACCAGCAGGGCCCAGAGACCCAGCAAAGAGGCACTGGGTGCTAGCTGGTCACAGTCAGAGGCCCAGGCTGCACAAGGATCTCCATGGCATGTTGTTCCCTCTTGTCCTCAGCAGGGCTCAGTCCTGAACATTCTAGAGTCCTGACTCAGACAGCTGTATCATGTCCATTCTAGAGAAAATGGACCAAAGTCTCTGGAGCTGGCCCTTGGCTAGGACTGGACCTCCCAAAAGGGGATCTCTACCAGTGGTTGATGGTCCTGCCAGGATGGAGGCTGGAGGCTCCTCACTTTCTCTGTTCAGCACCTATGAGGAGGAACTGCTGCCCACAGGCCCTTCCTTCCCCTGTCTCCTTTCTGGCTTTATCCCTGGCCTCTCTGACAATGGGATGTGGCCCCACAGCCTGTTCTGCCCTCATCCCATTAAAGGACCAGCCTGAGTCCAGTGGACACAGGTAAGGCACCATGACCAAGTGGTGTGACCCCTTTCTGTGCCTTCCTGAGGCACCTGTCTAGAGAATGAAGGGACATAATGGCTGTTCCAGTGGATTGATGGCTGGGAGGAGGGGCCAAGAGAGGTATGAGGGGTGGGGTTTGGCCAGCCCTGGGCTTTCTGGACTCCAGGGACAGCGAGGTGGGGGCTCAGGGCAGCTCCAGTGACAGCAAGGTAGAAGCTCAGGACAGCCCCAGGGACAGGGGTGGAGGCTCAGGTGCAGCCCCAGGGACAGCAAGGTAGAGCCTAAAACAGCACCAGGAGACTGAGAACTGAGACCAGGACTTCCAGACAGAGTGGAAATGACCACCCAATAGCAGTGGTGGCCCATGAAGAGCCCTACTTCCCTGACTCACCCTCTCGGGTGGGCTTGGGAGGCAGCTGTGGTCTGGAGAGAGTGGTGGATGGAGCATGCCTGTGTTCCTTTCCTAGGGCTGCTGTAACAAAGCACCACAAACTGAGAGGCTTAGAGCAACGATTTGTTGTCTCCGAGTTGGGAAATCCAGGAGACTGAGTCATGCTCTTTCTGAAGAGTGGAAAGGATTGCCCCCAGGCCTCTCCCCAGTTCTACTTGTTTCTTGGCTTGTGACATTGAAGCTTCAGTCTTCAGTAGCCTTCCTCCCTGTATGCATGTCTGTGTCCAAATTCCCCCTTTTTATAAGGACACAATCATAGTGGATTAAGGCTGGCTTTAATTACTTCATCTCACATTTATCATCTGCAAAGACCCTATTTCCATATAAGGCCGCATTCACAGCTACTGGGGGTCAGTACTTGAACATATGAATTTGGGGGATATAATTCAACCCCAGCAGTGTCTCTGTCTCTGCTGGTGATCACCATATCCCTGCTGGTGCCAAGTAATCATGGCCCCTCCCAGGGTGCCCCATCCTTGTACCTGGTGCTCCAGGCAGTTCACAGGAGGGCCTAACTGCTGGGTTTGGGGCTGGCATTGGGATCCCTTGCCCAGTAAGGGCTGGATCCAGACTGTTCTGGGGTTGAGGTGCTGGTGTTTTGAAGGCAGGAAAAACCAGAGGCTGGTCCTTCTCTGGACGGTGAACCACAGCAAGGGACCTCTCATGGGGGCTCCCATACCTCCTGTGACCTGGGCAGAAAGTCGTACAGTCCCAGGCCTCCAAAGGCAAAAGCCCCTTCTGACTCAGATAACATCCCTCCCACTCTGCTTGCCTGCAGAGCCCCGGAGGTTTCTGGGGAGCTTCAGTGGAGCTGAATCATCAGGGTTGAGGCAGGCCCTAGCATTGATCGTTAGCAACCAGAGAGTGGAAGCGGTGTAGATGGCAGCGAGTTGCAGGTGGCCTCAGTTCTAACTAAATATTACAATACTAGCATGATTCCACTTCCTGGAGCTGGCCTCTGGGGAGCCCCAGGCTGGTGTATTTATGATAGGGTCTGTGTGGCTCATGAGGCTTCACGTGGGACTTGGGCCATCTCATGACCAGACAAGTGCCCCCACAGCTGGGTTACCTCTGCTGTGTGGCCTGGACACAGGTTCATGTGACTCACAAACTTTGAGTGGCACCTGGAAACGAGGTTCTGGGCTGGAACCTGAGTGTGAACCTCACTTGGAGGCTGTGTGATTGCAGGTGAATCATTCAATCACCTGAGCCTGGCCCTCCCCTCTGCACAAGGAACTAGCCATACCTAGCAGATAGCTGTGAGTCACCTGAGCAAGATAGCTGCATGGTGATGGTCAGAAAACACTGATTTCTCCTTATTGAAATGGGACAACCCTTGGATACCACGTGCCGAGCTATGAATTCCAGCAATGCAAGTTTCAAAAGACCCTGTGTGCCCTAAGGAGGCACTGCTGATCACTTAGTGTCTGTGAAGGCATCAGAAGGTGACCTGGACCTGGAATGATGAAACAGCCATGGGTTTAGGAGCTGGCAGATGGTGTGGCTGGAGCACATGTCTGGAATGTGGTTGGCCAGGCCCAGGCAGCACTGGGCTATGGAGGGACTTAAATGTGAGGCTAAGAGGGCTGACCCTGGTGAGGGAATGCTGTGGACTAGATTTTTTTATTGAGGTAAAATTTACACAATATAAAATTAACTTTTAAAAATGTACATTTCTGTGACATTTAGTCCATGCACAACATTGTGCAGCCACCACCTCTTAGTTCCAAAATAGTTTCATCACCCCAAAGGAAATCCTCCATCCATTAAGCAGCTGTCACACATTTCATCCTCCCTCCGACCCTTGACAACCACCAATATGCTCTCTTTGGATTTACCCATTCTGGGTATTTCATATAAGTGGTATCATACAGTATGTGACCTTTTTGTGGCCAGCCTCTTTCTGCACATTGCTTTTATTTTTATCTTTGTAGACATGGAGTCTTGCTATGCTGCCCAGACTGGACTTGAACTCCCAGGCTCAAGCGACCCTCCCACCTCAGCCTCCCGAGTAGCTGGGATTACAGGTGTGTGGCCTTGTGCTGGGTTCTCAGCACAATGTTTCTGAGGTTCCTCCACGTTGTAGCAAGGGTCAGTCATAGCAGCTTTACCATTTTACAGCGGTGTTCACATTTCTCCACTTCTTTGTCAATACTTGTTTCTGGTTTGTTTTTAAAATAATAAGACATTCTGATGGGTATGGAGTGTTATCTCATTGTATTTTTGATTTATATTTCCATGATGGCTAGTGATGTTGAGTATCGTTTCATATGCTATTTGCATATCTTCTTTACAGAAAAGTCTCTTCAAGTCCTCTGCCCATTTTGATATTGGGTTGTCTTTTTGTTGTTGGGTTGTAAGAGTTCTTTATATGTTCTGGATACTAGACCCTTATCAGGTATATTATTTTACAGTGTCTTTTCTCCTATATTCACCTTTTTTTTTTTTGAGACGGAGTCTCGCTCTGTCGCCCAGGCTGGAGTGCAGTGGTGAGATCTGGGCTCACTGGTTCCAGGTTCACGCCATTCTCCTTCCTCAGCCTCCCAAGTAGCTGGGACTACAGGCTTCCACTACCAGCCTGGCTAATTTTTTGTATTTTTTTGTAGAGACAGGGTTTCACCACATTAGCCAGGATGGTTTCGATCTCCTGACCTCGTGATCCACCTGCCTCAGCCTCCCAAAGTGCTAGGATTACAGGCGTGAGCCACCACACCCGGCCTTTTTTTTTTTTTTGAGATGGAATTTTGCTTTCTTGCTCTGTCACCTGGGCTGGAGTGCAGTAGCATGATCTCGGCTCACTGCAACCTCCACCTCACAGCTTCAAGCGATCCTCCTGCCTCAGCTTCCTGAGTTGCTGGGATTACAGGCACATGCCACCACACCCGGCTTTTTTTTTTCTCTTTTTTTTTATTTTTAGTAGAGACGTGGTTTCACCAAGTTAACCAGGCTGGTCTCGCACTCCTGACCTCAAGTGATCCTCCCACCTTGGCCTCCCAAAGTGCTGGAATTACAGGCGTGAGCCACCACACCCAGCTCCTTTTCACTTTCTTGATAGTGTCCACTGATGCCGAAAGTTTTCAATTTTGGTGAAGTCCAATTTACCTATTTTTTCTTTTGTTTCCCATGCTTCTGGTGTCATATCCAATAAATCATTGCCAAATCCAGTGCCAAGAAGTACATGAAAAGATTTTCAACATCACTAGCCATTAGGTAAAGGAAAATCAAAACCACAATGAGATACCATTTCATACATGTTAGAGTGGCTATTATAAAAAATATGGAGGCCAAGTGCAGTGGTTCAAGCCTGTAATCCCAGCACTTTGGGAGGCCAAGGTAAGTGGATCACTTGAGGACAGGAGTTTGAGACTAGCCTGGCCTGGCCAACATGGTGAAACCCTGTCTCTACTAAAAATACAAAAAATAGCCATACATGGTGGCACATGCCTGTAATCCCAGCTACTCAGGAGGCCGAGGAAGGAGAATCACTTAAACCTAGGAGGCGGAGGTTGCAGTGAGCTGAAATGGTGCCACTGCACTCCAGCCTGGGTGACAGAGTGAAACTCCATTTCAAAAAAACCAAAAAACTATTTGGGTGTAGTGGCACCTGTAGTTCCAGCTACCCAGGAGGCTGAGGTGGAAGGATCCCTTGAGCCCAGGAGGTTGGGGCTGCAGTGAGTTATGATCATGCCTATGAAATGAGAGAGAAACAAACTAATTAATATTGGCAAGTATGTGGAGAAATTGGAAGCCTTGTGCACTGCTGGTGGAATGTAAAATGATAGTTGCACAATAATGGAAATAATGTACTTCATGCCACTGAAGTGTACACTTAAAAATAGTTAAAATGGTAAATGTTCTTATTATATATATGTGTATATATATGTGTATATGTGTATATATATGTGTATATATGTGTGTATGTGTGTGTGTATATATACATATATATATATATATATATATATATATATATATATATATATATATATATATAAAATCACACATGAAAGTCTCCCTTGGAACTGATCCTGAAATAATTTCATGTGTGATGAAAGAACACCCTGCTCTCCTGGAGTGATAAGTGGCCTTTTTGTTCATGCTGGCATTATACATCCCAGGCTCTTCCACACACACCCAGCATAATTTCACCAAGCAGAGGGAGTACACTCTCCAAAGGCCCATTTGTGCCTGTTTCTATCATTATATCCTCCTATTTAACTCACTCCCTGCCCTCTACAAACCGTCATCAATCACAGATATGTTTGCTACCCCTGTAGTTTCTGCTTTTCCATAACATCATAGAAATAGGATCATACAGCCTTTTCACACTGGTCTCTTTCACTTAGCAATATGCCTATCAGATTCATCCATGTCCTGCATGGCCTCAGAGCTTGCTCTTGCTGAACAGGACTCCATTGCATGGATGTACCCCAGCCTAGTTAGTCATTCACCTATTGAAGGTTATCCTGATTCCTTAAAGTATTTGTCTGTTATGAAAAGAGCTGCTGTACGTGAGTACATGCTGGGTTTTGTTTAGATCAAACTCCTATGTTTTCAAAGCAGTTATCTAAATACCTAGGAGTGTGATTGTTGGCTCATATTGTGAAGCTTTGTTTAGCTTTGGGGAAAAGTCAAACTATCTTCCAAAGTGGCTATACTATTATGCATTGCACCAGCAATGAATGAGAGTTCCTGTTGCAATTGCAAATTTACTTATTTTTAGATTATAGTCACTTTAATAGATGTGCGGTGCTATCTCGTTGTTTTAATTTGCTTTTCCCTCATGACAAGTGTCACTGAGCATTATTTGGTATGCTTATTTGCCATCTGTATATCTTCTTTTTTTTTTTTTTGAGACGGAGTTTCACTCTTGTTGCCCAGGCTGGAGTGCAATGGCGCGATCTCGGCTCACAGCAACCTCCGCCTCCCGGGTTCAAGCCATTCTCCTGCCTCCGCCTCCGGAGTAGCTACCACTTGGTGGCAGAGTAGCGCCACCACGCCTGGCTAATTTTGTATTTTTAGTAGAGACAGGGTTTCTCCATGTTGGTCAGGCTGGTCTCGAACTCCGGACCTCAGGTGATCTGCCCGCCTCGGCCTCCCAAAGTGCTGGGATTACAGGCGTGAGCCACCGTGCCTGGCCACCATCTGTATATCTTTGGAAAGTATGTATTTGGATCTGTCCCCATTTTTAATTGGGTTGTCTTCTTGTTCAATTTTAGGGTTTTTTTTTTATATTTTGCATACAAACACTTTTTCAGATTTTTTTGAATGATTTTATTCATTACAAATTCCAATTATTGCTATACATTATTTCAAATATATAGGAAATCACTTGACTTTTGTCTATGGCCATCTACTTTGCCTTTTATTATCTCTATCCATTCCAATTAAGGCATGGAATGATGGACTCTATTTCAGTTTCGTTTTCCAAAATTATGGCATGGAAAATCGTAAGATTGAATTTCAGGGGTTCACTGGGACTGCAAGAGGGGGCACATGGCCATCACAAAACAGGAAGCACTGACCATCCAACACTGTGCCTAGGTAGTAAGGAAGGGGTGCAAGCACACACCTTGTCTAGCCTGCTTGCAGTACCTGCATTCTGCTCACAGACCTCTGGGTTGAATCCACAGAGGACCAGGCCTTCCTTCTACTCAGGACCTGGGGATCACTAGAGGCTGCATCACAGTAAAGACTGAGCTGCCTTCTCCTCAGGACTGACCTGGGGACCCTTGGCAGGGGGGAATCCACAGTGACAAACAGACCTTGCTTCTACTCAGGACCCGGAGACCCCCGAGGGCACTTCACAGTGATGACCAGAATTTACCTCATCTCAGGACCAACCTGGGGGATGCATCACACTGAGAACCAGAGCTTCCTTCTCCACTGGCCAACCTGAGGACCACTGTGGGGCACAACCACAGTGAAGACTGGAGCTTGTTTCTCTTCAGGACTGACCTAGGGACCCTAGTGGGGCAAATCCACAGTGAGGTTCTGAGCTTCCTTCTCCTCAGGACCAACCTGGGGACCCCTGGGAGGTAGATCACAGTGATGACCAGAGTATCCTCCTCAGGACTGACCCGTGGTGGGGGATGCAACCACAGTGAGGACTAAAGCTTCCTTTTCCTCACAACCTGGGGACCCCCTAGGGGGATACATCACAGTGAGATCCAGAGCTTCCATATCTGAAGACTCCTGTAGGGTACACCCACAGTGACGACCAGTGCACTTTCCGGACCAATCTGGGGCGATGTCATCTCACCTTTGGGATACATGGAGGCCACAGGAGGAAAAGATGAGGAAAAGTGAGGCCTGCACCCTGAGTGCTGAGGAGGGAGCTTTGCTGTTTCACTTTGCCCTGTAATATCTGAACAAGATTTATTTTAGGAAATCGTACCTCTATTGAGGTTTCCACTAGTCATCTTTATAGCAAGCCCAACTACTTTTTATACATATGGGTTTGTTTCTGGGGAGAAATCCCAGTACAAAAAAAGGGAGAAACACTGCGACAAAACACTGCAACAGTCCAGGTCAAAGTTGGGGATGAACAGCACCTGTGGGATCACCCTGGATCCCAAGAGGGAAGGGCAAATGTGCACCCTATGTGCTTGCTTTTATTAATTTTTTTTGAAGGAGTCTCACTCTGCTGCCCGGGCTGGAGTGCAATGGCACAATCTCAGCTCACTGCAACCTCCGCCTCTCCAGTTCAAGCAATTCTCCTGAGTAGCTTGGATTATAGATGCATGCCACCACAGCTGGCCAATTTTTGTATTTTTAGTAGAGACGGGGTTTCACCAGGCTGGTCTCGAACTCCTGACCTCAAGTCATCCACCTGCCTCAGCCTCACAAAATGCTGAGATTACAGGCATGAGCCACCATGCCCAGCCTTTTTATTAATGTTTTAATGGCCTGTGTTTCTAACAAGTAGTTGAAACAATGTTGAAAATTAAAGAGTAGACATGTTAAAACTTGCAACTTCATTTAAATTTAAATATATCATTTATACCAAAATCAGAATTTATTTAAGATTTATGGCTGGGTGCTTGGCTCACACCTGTAATCCTAGCACTTTGGGAGGCCAAGGCAGGTGGACTGCTTGAGCCCAGGAGTTTGAAACCAGACTGGAAAACATGGTAAAACCCCATCTCTACAAGAAATAAATAACTCTACCTGGCCCTTTAGCAAAGAATTAAGAAAAATCAATACAGACCAGTGGCTCACACCTGTAATCCCAGCACTTTGGGAGGCTGAGGGTGGATCACGAGGTCAGGAGTTCAAGACCAGCCTGGCCAACATGGTGAAACCCCATCTCTACTAAAAACACAAAAATTAGCTGGGCGTGGTGGCGTGTGCCTGTAATTCCAGCTACTAGGGAGGCTGAGGCAGGAGAATTGCTTGAACCCAGGAGGCAGAGGTTGCAGTGAGCCAAGAACACACCACTGCACTCCAGCCTGGCAATACAGCGAGACTCCATCTCAAAAAAAAAAAAAAAAATGCAAATACTATGCCATATAAGGAGCTTGAGCATCCACAGGGAGTATCTGTGGTTGCGGGGGGGTCCTCCATGAATACTGACAACTGCATACTTGCTACTCTACTGGCAGTTCCAAACATTTGTTTGTGGTTTATTTTGGGTTTCCTAATTACACGATCACATCTCCAATTCATGGCAGTTGTTTCTGCACCCATCCCTAATTCCTCACATTCCTTGTTTTCACACCTTGGCTAGATGTTACTCATTTCATAAAAGTGATGCGCATTCTTGTAATTTTGCTTTGTTTTTTACAGACAGGGTCTCACTTTGTTGCCCAGGATGGAGTGCAGGGGCATGATCATAGCTCACTGTAGCCTTGAACTACTGGACTCAAGCTAACCTCCTGCCTCAGCCTCCTCAGTAGGTGGGACTACCGGCACTTGCCACTACACCTGGCTGATCTTTTTTTTGAGATGGAGGCTTGTTCTGTCGCCCAGCCTGGAGTGCAGTGGTGCAATCTTGGCTCACTGCAACTGCCACCTCCTAGGTTCAAGCAATTCTTCTGCCTCAGCCTCCCGAGTAGATGGGATTACAGGCACGTGCCACCACACCTGGCTGACTTTTGTATTTTTAGTAGAGACGGGGTTTCACCATGTTAGCCACACTGGTCTTGAAATCCTGACCTCAAGTGATCTGCCCACCTCGGCCTCCCAAAGTGCTGGGATTACAGGCATGAGCCACGGCGCCTGACCACACCTGGCTAATCTTTTTAAAAAGTTTTTGTACAGACAGGGTCTCCCTATATTGGTCAGGCTTGTCTCGAACTCCTGGGTTCCAGCAATCCTCCAGCCTCAGCCTTCCCAAGTGCTGGTATTACATGGATGAGCCACTGCACCTGGCTAATTTTACTTTAAAGGAATCTTTCTACTATTTTATCATTAAGTATGACATTTGTGTTTTCAGAACATATATTCCCTACCAAGTTACAGGAGTTAATTTTAATTCCCAACTTAATAGTATTTTAGTGTCATCTATGGGTGTTAAATTCCATCAAGTGATTTATCAGCATATACTGAGATAATCCTTATGAGTTTTATCTGGTAGTTAATTAAAATATTTTCTAATATTAAATCTTCCAAACATACTCTTCTGTTTTTTGAGACAGGGTCTAGTTCTGTCACCCAGGGTGGAGTACAGTGGTACGATCTCAGCTCACTGCAACTTCCGCCTCCTAGATTCAAGTGATTCTCCCGTCCCAGCCTCCCAAGTAGCTGGGATTATAGGTGTCAGTTACCATGCCCTGCTATTTTTTTGTATTTTTAGTAGAGAGGGGTTTCACCATGTTGGCCAGGCTGGTCTCAAACTCCTGACCTCAGGTGATCCACCATCTCAGCCTCCTGAAGTGCTGGGATTATAGGTGTGAGCCACCGTGCCTGGCCCCATATATCTCTTTTTAAGTGGGCATACTGCCATTATAAATAATAGTGATTCTGCTGGTAATGAACAAAGGATGCTGGATCCACTAATAGTCTGTTAAACCTAATATCATGACTTTCTTGTTAGCTATACATTGGTTTGCTATAATTCCATTTAGAATTTTTAAACCTATGTTCACAAATATGGATTTTTAAACCTATGTTCACAAATATGGATTTTTAAACCTATGTTCACAAATATGGTTTGCAAGTCATTTTTTCTCCTAAATTTCTATTTGATGGGGAAGTTGTAAAATATTGGGGTTATTTTTCCTTGGATTTTCCTTATAATAACTATTCCTGAAAAGTCTCTGGAATGTCTTTCTTTTCTGGGGCTGGGGTAGAAGGACTAGATAGATTTACAAACCAGTAACTCAATTTCTGTTTTGTAAAATTTTCATTTCATTAAATAATAAGTCCTAATCAAGTATTATTCTTTCCCACAGTATGTGAGTGCTGTCCTCAATACTGTCAACACTTCTGGCTTCTACCAGGCAAGGCTGCATGTAGATTTGCATCTGAAAAAACAACAAACTAAAATCTAACCCTAGGTAGTAGTAAACTGAATATAAACTTTCTCTTATGAATTTATTCTGTCTTCTTTGGTACATCAATAATAATATACACCTTTACAGTATTTCCCAGATTGGGGGATACACTTTAGCAAGTATCTGCGATTATTTGTTTATGTAAGATGTCCCTTCCCTTCTGTGAATCATCATTCTTCACCCCAAGTATCTTGAGATTGGATTCTGTATAAGCAGAATACAACAGTTAGGCATTCAGGTATCATTAAATTCCTCCGCTTCAAGGATGAAAATTTCTTTGGGTATCTAATAGAGTACAAAGCAGAAGGTGTTTCAGAAATATTTGCAGTATTGAATCCGCATATTCCTCCAAGATAGCCCTAATCTAACTGGCAGGGTCCCACTCTTCCCAGATTAATGCCCACTCACATAACAAACCTGATGAGGTAGTGAAGAAAACTAACTTTGTGAGTAAGCAACTGGCAGAGTTTTTCACCACTGTGACTCTATAGCTACATGTAACTAAGTAGTATCACTGACACATAATCTTAAATTGAAGTTTTAAGATCATTATTCTCCATGTTATACATGGGTATCAAAAGCATTCCCCTCTTGACCACTCCAGAATTCTGTTTAAAATTTTTCAATGACAACTTATCCATTTCCCCAAAGCCTCAGTGAGCACATGATGCCAACAATTCATTTCATGACTTCATAGCATGGGCCAAGTTTCTTGCTTAAAAGACTTCCATCCTGTCTTGGGAAACAACCATTTCCAAATATCCACATATCCTTGCAAGTTTCTGCCTACTCCTCTACCACCCATTTCTGAAGCCATCTGATTTAGTAAGCTGTATGCAAAAGATACACAATGGCTAATGCAATCAAACAAGGAATGTATTAAAAGCACACCCAATAGCTCAAAATAAAAGACAAGTGAACAAAGTTAAGAAAATGACAGTAACAAAAGCTGTTCTGGGAACCTCTATTGAAATAGCTACTTATTACATCAACATGCTACCACAGAACAAAAGCTCATGTTGCTTTTCTGAACTTGAAAAACCCATTAACAATGTACAGTTCTGAGCCTCAGCTGACCATAGTGCTCATGCCAAGTCCTGAGCAGGGCATCTTGAATGGTGGTTCCCTCATGACTACATACACCGTTAGGGAATGTTTCGTTAAGAGGAAATCAAGATGTTCTAACCTGTGAAGGTAGAATAGATTCCAGGCTACACAAACACATGAAGTGTGCCTTATATTGATTACTAAAGAGGTTGCTGCCAAGACTGCTTCCAAAGGGCAGAAGATAGCCCTAAAAAATGTTTGCAGTGTGGAAATGCATTTTTAGTAAGTCATATTCTAGTAACAAGTTGCATTTGGTAAGACACAAAGAAACAATGTTGGTATGCAGAGTAGAAATCTCTGGAAGATGATATTGTCATATCAGAGATATTGTCAGTATCAGAGATACTGAAATCTCTGGAAGATGATTTTTGTCTCACATATGGCATTCGCAAGTAAAATGCCAAACTGCAAAATTCATATTATGTAGTACACATAGGAAGATATCTAAATATCCCTGTAGGCTCTGGGATGTTATTTCTTATTCTTAACCTCCTTACTAGATTCACTTGTACAATGAAATAATCTGTATCTTATTATTTATAATTGAGAATTTTCTCAAACCTTTTCCTGAAATTTTGGAACACCTGGAATAAAATTTCTTAAAATGATTCCTAAAAGAAATAATTCTTCAAAATTAATATTAAGATATAATAACAGGTTGGTTTTTTTTTTTTTTTTTTTTTTTTTTTTTAGAATGAAGCTTCTAAGGTGAGGTTAACAGTCCAGCTGTGGTTTATTTGGTACATTCATAAGATGTTCACTCCTATATATATTTTTTCCCTAGGGGTTTCTCATTTCTAGATTTACACTTTCCCTTATAGCATGGTCCCTCCAAGGTATATGCTTCCGATACATAAAATGTTTGTAATTTTGTTAATTCTGCCATTCATTAGCTCAATAATTTCTCTCATTAAAATTCTGTAAACTATGAATTTCAAAGAAGTCTATTCTATATTCATCTGGTTCATGAAGTTTCCTCTTTGTGAATCTTATTTTAGTAAAATGACTTTACAACGTTTAACATGGTTCCTCACCTGTATGAACTTTTTAAAAAAAGGTATGACTTGCTGCTAAAAATTTTCAGAGTGGTTACTAAATTCAGTTTTCCTGTGTATTGTCTACTATCTTTTTGCATGTAAAGAACAGCTTTCTGTGGATGCCTTTCCATATGCTGTGCATTCATAAAGTTTCTATTCAGTATGAGTTTTCTGGAAGATGACAAGATGATTCCACTTACAGAGTTTCTCTTTATATATGATTGTTTCTATCTCTTGTGAATCCACTTTTCAGAGTTTCGTAAAATTATCAATGTTTGTCATCTACATGAGTTCTCTGATGCATAATGAGCTGTGACTTCCAACAAAAGGCTTTCCCACATTCAGTGCACTTACAAGGCTTCTCTCCTGTATGTGTTCTCTGATGTGCACTGAGAATTGATTTTTGAGAGAAGGTTTTCCCACATTCATTGCACCCATAGGGTTTCTCTCCTGAATGAGTTCTTTGATGTACAATGAGTTGAGAATTCCTAATGAAGGCTTTTCCACACTCACTGCATTCATATGGTTTCTCTCTTGTGTGCATTCTCTGGTGTACAAGAAGGCGTAATTTCCCACTGAAGGATTTCTCACATTGACTGCATTTATAAGGGTTGACCCCTGCATGAGTTCGCTCATGTACAATGAGTAGTGATTTCCAAATGAAGGCTTTCCCACATTCATTACATTCATATGGTTTTTCACCTGAATGAGTTCTCATGTGTATAATTAGGTATGACTTGCTGCTAAAAGCTTTCCCACATTCACTGCACCCATAAGGCTTTTCCCCTGCATGAGTTCGCTGATGTGAAATGAGCTGGTCTTTCCTATTAAAGGCTTTCCCACATTCACTGCATTCATAGGGATTTTCTCCTGTGTGAATTCTCTGATGCACAATGAGTTGTGAATTGAAACTAAAGGATTTCCCGCATTCCCTGCACTCATGTGGTTTCTCTCCTGTATGAGTTCTCATATGTATAATAAGGTATGACTTGCTCCTGAAGGCTTTCCCACACTCACTGCATCCATATGGTTTTACTCCTGTGTGACTTCTCTGATGTACAATGAGCTGGGACTTCAAACTAAAGGTTTTTGCACATTGACTGCATCCATAGGGTTTTACTCCAGTGTGCACTCCTTTATGTACAATGAGCTGTGATTTGAACGTAAAGGCTTTTCCACATTCATTACAACTATAGGGTTTCTCTCCTGTATGAGTTCTCTGATGTACAATCAGGTTTGACTTTGTATTAAAGGCTTTCTGACACTCACTACATTCAAATGGTTTCTCCCCTGTATGAGTTCTCTGGTGTATAATAAGCTGTGACTTTAAACCAAAAGCCTTTCCACAGTCGGTGCATTCATAAGGCTTCTCTCCTGCATGAGTTCTCTGGTGTGAAATAAGCTGGTATTTCCGACTGAAGGCTTTCCCACATTCATGGCATTCATAGGGGTTCTCTCCTGTATGAATCCTCTGATGTATAATGAGCTGTGATTTAAAACTGAAGGCTTTCCCACAATTGTTGCATTCATGGAGTTTTTCTCCTGTATGAGTCCTTGTATGTATAATAAGGTATGACTTGCTCCTGAAGGCTTTGCCACATTCATTGCATACATAAGGTTTCATTCCTGTGTGACTTCTCTGATGTACAATGAGCTGTGATTTCAAACTGAATCCTTTACCACACTGAATACACCCATAGGGCTTTACTCCTGTGTGAATCCCCTGATGTACAATGAGCTGTGACTTGAATGTAAAGGCTTTTCCACAATCACTACAAACATAAGGTTTCTCCCCTGTATGGGTTCTCTGATGTACCATAAGGTTTGACTTTGTATTAAAGGCTTTCTGACATTCATTGCATTCATATGGTTTCTCTCCTGTATGAATTCTTTCATGTATAATGAGCTGTGATTTTAAACCAAAAGCTTTCCCACATTCATTACACACATATGGTTTCTGTCCTGAATGAGTTTTCTGGTGTGAAACAAGCTGGTCTTTCCTACTGAAGACTTTCCCACATTCACAGCACTCATAGGGATTCTCACCTGTGTGAATTCTCTGATGTATAACAAGCTGTGAATGGAAACTGAATGTTTTCCTGCATTCACTGCATTCATGTAGTTTCTCTCCTGTATGAATTCTCTGATGTACAATGAGGTATGATTTACTACTGAAGTCTTTCCCACATTCATTACAACCATAGGGTTTCTCTTCGGCATGAGTTTGCTGATGCACTAGAAGGTATGACTTGCTGCTGAAGGCTTTCTCACAACAGCTGCATCCAAAGGGTTTTTCGCCCATATACATTTGTTGGCACATAAGTTGCGATTTCTTATTGACGGTTTTTCCAGATTCAATACTTTCACAGTATTTTATTCCAATAACAGTTTGCTCATGTTTAGAATGGAAGAATGATTTTCCATGTACCTGAAACCCATTAGGATTATTTCTAGCATAATCACTAGTGAAATCTATATATTTCAAACTCTTTCCATGCGTGCCACATTTATGAGGTTTTTGTCTTGAAAGATACTTTGTACTAAGAAGACATAGTTTTCCAAATGTAGTGCATTCAAAGCTTTTTGCCGTACTTCCCAGCTTGTCTTTATTTTCCTGATGCCAATCCATAAGATCATCAATTTTCCAGACTGTGTCTAGAAATGAGAACAATTGGTCACATGTTATAAATCACATGATTGCGGTATACTAGAAAGTTGCCTATGAAATAAGAACAATTAGTCACATGTTATAAATCACATGATTGTGGTATACTAGAAAGTTCCCTGTGAAATGCCATATCATGAGGTTTTTAGTTTCAGATATCAGATCTGAATATAAATAAATTCTCAGGTATAAAAACACTCAAACTACTGGGTACTGAGAAAAAGAAAAACCAAACTGAAGATAGGCATAGTAAACTGATAAGAAGTTTAAAAGTTTTGCATATTGGATAAAGAAGGCAAAATAGGCAAAAGGAACAATGAAGATAATATAAACATGTCATTAGGGATCTATGAACATTAGATTTATTCAAAAAATAATTAAATACCTACTATGTGCCAAACACTATGCTAACTTCTAGAGAAATGGCAGAGAACAATGCAGATTACTTCCCAGTCCTCCTGGGAATAACATCTCAATACCTAGTAAATGGATAAAAATAAACTGAGAGGGAACATCATTCCTTAACAGGACAAGAAGCAGTTCTTAAAACCATCCAGAGAAATCAAAACTGAAACAAAAACAAAGCTTTCTACAATGTAACAAAAATTAGAATGCCATCAGACTTCTCTTTAGGAAAACTAGAGGACAGAAAATAGAGCAATGAGGAATAAAGTCAAAACATTTTCAGATGCACAGGTCTCAATGTTTGTATCACCCTTTTCCAGGAAGCTACTCTTGAGTTGCTCCAAGAAAAGAAATGACAGAGGATATAGAAAATAAAATCAAAGAGGAGATCCCAGGATAAAAATTGCACAGCAGGCCTTAAAAAAACTAAGCTACTCTGAAGCAAGTCAGAAAAACTTAGCAGTCAATATCACTAGGAAGAAAAAAGGAATACAATTAATAATTTGGCTGAAAGTATCAGCCAAGAATATTCAGATACTGAAAGGAGAGTCTGGAATTGAATACATGATGAAAACATTAATGGTAACAAAATTAAATTAGCAAAAAATTAACTACAGAAAAAATACAAATTTAGAAACAAAAATAAATCACTGTATACTTGCATGATTTCCCTATAAACAGGAATTACAGTCATACCAACATAAAAACTAAAGACAGATTTAACCAAAAATATGAAATAACTGTATCAGAATGATGGAGGCATGGGAACATGAGAAGAGACATGTCTCCATCATGAGTGTGTATATGGTGGGAAGGTATGGAGGGAGGAGAGTGAAAGAGAAGTAAATTACCTTTCTATACTGAGCAATCATTAGGGGAGAAAGCCAAGGTCTAGCAGAATAAGCTGGTTATTTAGAAATATGGAGGTAACTACCACAAGAGTTAAAAAGAGACTGAAGATGTTTCCTCTAGCAGGCATGGAAAAGAATCGGCACAGGGTAGGCAAACAGCTTTGTGAACACAAAAACAAAAAGGGAAAGATAGAAAATAGATAGGAAATAAGACTAAGGATCAAGTCCTTTGTCACAACAGGAAATATCTGGAGGTTGAGTAGAAAATAGATAGATGCCCCAAAACAACATACTAACCAGGGTAATGAAAGAAAAGGATATTAAAAGAAAGCAGAGCTAATAGACATCTACAGAACTCTCCACCCCAAATCAACAAAATATACATTCTTTTCAGCACCACATCACACCTATTCCAAAATTGACCACATATTTGGAAGTAAAGCTCTCCTCAGCAAATGTAAAAGAACAGAAATTATAACAAACTATCTCTAAGACGACAGTGCAATCAAACTAGAACTCAGGATTAAGAAACTCACTCAAAACCGCTCAACTACATGGAAACTGAACAACCTGCTCCTGAATGACTATGGGGTACATAACGAAATGAAGGCAGAAATAAAGATGTTCTTTGAAACCAATGAGAACAAAGACACAACATACCAGAATCTCTGGGACACATTCAAAGCAGTGTGTAGAGGGAAATTTATAGCACTAAATGCCCACAAGGGAAAGCAGGAAAGATCCAAAATTGACACCTTAACATCACAATTAAAAGAACTAGAAAAGCAAGAGCAAACACATTCAAAAGCTAGAAGAAGGCAAGAAATAACTAAAATCAGAGGAGAACTGAAGGAAATAGAGACACAAAAACCCTTCAAAAAAATTAATGAATCCAGGAGCTGGTTTTTTGAAAGGATCAACAAAATTGATAGACCGCTAGCAAGACTAATAAAAAGAGAAGAATAAAATAGACGCAATAAAAAATGATAAAGGGGATTTCACCACCGATCCCACAGAAATACAAACTACCATCAGAGAATGCTACAAACACCTCTATGCAAATAAACTAGAAAATCTAAAGAAATGGATAAATTCCCTGACACATACACCCTCCCAAGACTAAACCAGGAAGAAGTTGACTCTCTGAATAGACCAATAACAGGCTCTGAAATTGTGGCAATAATCAATAGCTTACCAACCAAAAAGAGTCCAGGACCAGATGGATTCACAGCCAAATTCTACCAGAGGTACAAGGAGGAACTGGTACTATTCCTTCTGAAACTATTCCAATCAATAGAAAAAGAGGGAATCCTCCCTAACTCATTTTCTGAGGCCAGCATCATCCTGATACCAAAGCCGGGCAGAGACACAACCAAAAAAGAGAATTTTAGACCAATATCCTTGATGAACATTGATGCAAAAATCCTCAATAAAATACTGGCAAACCGAATCCAGCAGCACATCAAAAAGCTTATCCACCATGATCAAGTGGGCTTCATCCCTGGGATGCAAGGCTGGTTCAATATATGCAAATCAATACATGTAATCCAGCATATAAACAAAACCAAAGACAAAAACCACATGATTATCTCAATAGATGCAGAGAAGGCCTCTGACAAAATTCAACAACCCTTCATGCTAAAAACTCTCAATAAATTAGGTATTGATGAGACGTGTCTCAAAATAATAAGAGCTATCTATGACAAACCCACAGCCAATATCATACTGAATGGGCAAAAACTAGAAGCATTCCCTTTGAAAACTGGCACAAGACAGGGATGCTCTCTCTCACCACTCCTATTCAACACAGTGTTGGAAGTTCTGGCCAGGGCAATTAGGCAGGAGAAGGAAATAAAGGGTATTCAATTAGGAAAAGAGGAAGTCAAATTGTCCCTGTTTGCAGACGACATGATTGTATATCTAGAAAACCCCACTGTCTCAGCCCAAAATCTCCTTAAGCTGATAAGCAACTTCAGCAAAGTCTCAGGATACAAAATCAATGTACAAAAATCACAAGCATTCTTATACACCAATAACAGACAAACAGAGAGCCAAATCATGAGTGAACTCCCATTCACAATTGCTTCAAAGAGAATAAAATACCTAGGAATCCAACTTACAAGGGATGTGAAGGACCTCTTCAAGGAGAAGTACAAACCACTGCTCAATGAAATAAAAGAAGATACAAACAAATGGAAGAACATTCCATGCTCATGGGTAGGAAGAATCTATATCGTGAAAATGGCCATACTGCCCAAGGTAATTTATAGATTTAATGCCATCCCCATCAAGCTACCAATGACTTTCTTCATAGAATTGAAAAAAACTACTTTAAAGTTCATATGGAACCAAAAAAGAGCCCGCATCGCCAAGTCAATCCTAAGCCAAAAGAACAAAGCTGGAGGCATCACACTACCTGACTTCAAACTATACTACAAGGCTACAGTAACCAAAAAAGCATGGTACTGGTACCAAAACAGAGATATAGATCAATGGAACAGAACAGAGCCCTCAGAAATAATGCCGCATATCTACAACTATCTGATCTTTGACAAACCTGACAAAAACAAGCAATAGGGAAAGGATTCCCTATTTAATAAATGGTGCTGGGAAAACTGGCTAGCCATATGTAGAAAGCTGAAACTGGATCCCTTCCTTACACCTTATACAAAAATCAATTCAAGATGGATTAAAGACTTAAACGTTAGACCTAAAACCATAAAAACCCTAGAAGAAAACCCAGGCATTACCATTCAGGACATAGGCATGGGCAAGGACTTCATGTCTAGAACAGCAAAAGCAATGGCAACAAAAGCCAAAATTGACAAATGGGATCTAATTAAACTAAAGAGCTTCTGCACAGCAAAAGAAACTACCATCAGAGTGAACAGGCAACCTACAGAATGGGAGAAAATTTTCACAACCTGCTCATCTGACAAAGGGCTAATATCCAGAATCTACAATGAACTCAAACAAATTTACAAGAAAAAAACAACCCCATCAAAAAGTGGGCAAAGGATATGAACAGACACTTCTCAAAAGAAGACATTTATGCAGCCAAAAAACACATGAAAAAATGCTCATCATCACTGGCCATCAGAGAAATGCAAATCAAAACCACAATGAGATACCATCTCACACCAGTTAGGATGGCAATCATTAAAAAGTCAGGAAACAACAGGTGCTGGAGAGGACGTGGAGAAACAGGAACACCTTTACACTGTTGGTGGGACTGTAAACTAGTTCAACCATTGTGGAAGTCAGTGTGGCAATTCCTCAGGGATCTAGAACTAGAAATACCATTTGACCCAACCATCCCATTACTGGGTATATACCCAAAGGACTATAAATCATGCTGCTATAAAGACACATGCACACGTATGTTTATTGCAGCACTATTCACAATAGCAAAGACTTGGAACCAACCCAAATGTCCATCAATGATAGACTGGATTAAGAAAATGTGGCACATATACACCATGGAATACTATGCAGCCATAAAAAATGATGAGTTCATGTCCTTTGTAGGGACATGGATGAAATTGGAAATCATCATTCTCAGTAAACTATCGCAAGAACAAAAAACCAAACACCGCATATTCTCACTCATAGGTGGGAATTGAACAATGAGAACACATGGACACAGGAAGGGGAACATCACACTTTGGGGATTGTTGTGGGGTGGGGGGAGGGGGGAGGGATAGCATTGGGAGATATACCTAATGCTAGATGACGAATTAGTGGGTGCAGCACACTAGCATGGCACATGTACACATATGTAACTAACCTGGACATTGTGCACATGTACTCTAAAACTTAAAGTATAATAATATTTAAAAAAAAAAAAAAGAAAGGATCTAGAGAATAGAAAATCTGGAAAATAAAATTTATTAAAGGTATTAATATTAAAAAAAAAAGAAAGCAGAGCAGATCAGGGGATCTTAACATCTCACTCCAAGTTTACTGTGAAAAACTGCAGGTAGTTTTCCTATTAAATCTGATCCCTCTTATTCATTTTGTATACAACCATCAAATTCTATCTCCCCAAACATCAATTCCCCACTGGGGCATTATCTTCCGTTAATGCACTAACAAATAAATATGAGCACTTTCGGTTTTCACAATGGTTTGAGAAGGAGTGATATTATTAAATGGTCCTATAGTAAAAACTGTCCCCAACAAAATGAAAATAGGCCAGTGAATAATTACTCTGTGCCCTAGAATCAGATTTGCTCCTGTGTTTGACTGTCACTATTTTTTTGGTAGACTTTCATAGTTCATGGATACTGAAGCCATCCTAACTATCAAACCCTGTACTTTATCCTTCCATTCCTTCTGGTGCTGGTAACACACCCATCCTTATCTTTGCTCGGTTCCTGTATCTCTGCTTTCGTCATTGGAAATCTAATGTGTCTTCTCTACAGCATGCTCTTTGTAACAATAATGGCAAAAACAGGATTATACTTGACACCTCAAGGTAGAGTTCAAAGAATTCAAAAAATCAGGGAATACCAAACCCAGTAACTAAAAGACAGGCTTTTTTTTTTTTTTTTTTTTTAGATGGAGTCTCACTCTGTCGCCAGGCTGGAGTGCAGTGGTGTGATCTCGGCTCACTACAATCTTCGCCCCCTAGGTTCAAGCAATTCTCCTGCCTCAGCCTCCCGAGTAGCTGGGATTACAGGCATGCATCACCACGCCCAGCTAATTTTTGTATTTTTAGTAGAGATGGGGTTTCACCATGTTGGCCAGGATAGTCTTGATCTCTTGACCTCGTGATCCACCTGCCTCAGCCTCCCAAAGTGCTGGGATTACAGGCATGAGCCACCACACCTGGCCTTTTTTTTTTTTTTTTTTAAAGAGACAGGGTTGGCCGGGCATAGTGGTTCATGCCTGTAATCCCAGCACCTTGGGAGGCTGAGGCGGGATCACCTGAGGTCAGGAGTTCGAGACCAGCCTGATCAACATGGTGAAACCCTGTCTAAAAATACAAAAATTAGCCAGGTGTGGTAGCGCGTACCTGTAATCCCAGCTACTTGGAAGGGGGAGGCAGGAGAATCGCTTGAACCTGGGAGGTGGAGGTTGCAGTGAGTCGAGATCGCACCACTGCACTCCAGCCTAGGCAACAGAGCGAGACTCTGTCTCAAAAAAAAACAAAAACAAAAACAAAAAAAGAGACAGGATCCCTCTCTGTCACCCAGATTCAAGTGCAGTGGTGCAATCATTGCTCACTGCATCTTCAACCTCCCAGACTCAACTGATCTTCCAACCTCAGCATCCCAAGTAGCTGGGACTACTGGCAACAGTCATCATGACCACCTAATTTTTAAAAATTTTTGGTAAAGCTGGGGTCTCACTATGTTGCCCAAGCTGGTCTTAAGCTCCTGGCCTCAAGTGATCCTCCCACCTTGGCCTCCCAAACTGCTGGGATCACAGACATGTGCCACTGCACCTGGCACATGGTTCCTGTAAAAAATTTAGCCTGTTGAACATGATCAGGCATTCTTAAGCTTGAAGATTATTTAAACATGATTCGAGACCATATTAAATATGGTTCCTGGCTGTGGTCCAAAGGCAATCACTGGGAACCCAAATATACACCAAGAGAATTGAGATTCTGAAGCTACAGAAAAGCCATTTCCCCAACGACCATCTCGAGTTTAATCACAGATGATGACGGAAAAGGAAATTATGCTTGGAGAGCAGAAACAAAGGTTCACCAGGTAACTTATTTCACTGCCACAGAAAGAAATTGTGACAAGGCCAACAGTGTAAACCAGTGGCTACCATGTGGTGTTCACTGCTGCTGCCCTCCTGGAACTGGGGGACCCTAGACTTGTCTCTATCCCTCTACATTTGGATGGCTGGATGTGTTTAATTTATCTTTAATTATAGGTCTATAGACCATAAAGAACTACTCCCCACTCTGAATGGGAACAGGATCCTAGACTTGTATTAATGTAGTACAAGAACCAACATATGGGTTGCAGCAAATATCTGAAGATGGATGGCTGGGAAGAAGGGTGTGACAGGTGCTGCCTGGCCAAGGAAGGTGAAGGCAGACAGTGCTGCTTACCCAGTGGTTCTTCTGCCCTGTTCCTGGCTGGCAGTAACCTGATTTTTTTCCACCCCCATCTAGGTGATGTGCTTCAGTCAGGGAAGTGAAGACCCATTTCTATCCCCAGTCCCGCTTCCAAAAGGTAAAGCATAATTTATCTGAGCCAACGGAGATAGCCCCATTTCCCTTTCCAGAGCCTCCCTCAGACAGGGGCATGTGACAAAAATTTAGCCTGTTGAACATGATCAGTCTGCTTGGGACTTCCTGGGATGAGTTTTCCTGTCTGACAGACTCGTGTGTGAAGAAACAGCCCTTTTTATTTCATTGGCCACTGGTATATCCACAGGCATCAACTAGAACTGCAAGAGCCATCTGAGGGCCATTAAAGAAGGTAACCTAAGGAAAATGTCAACATACCTAGATGGGCCCTTGGCGATTGAGTGAGTCAATCACTTAGTTGATCCTGGAGCTGCCCCACTTCAGGACCTTTTGTGATGTGTAATAATAAATCACTTCTGCTTAAATTAGTTGGTCTGGGATTGACCAACAACTGCAGCTGAAACAATCCTAGTAATGCAAGGACTAACTGTTGATTTATGCTGTCATGCTAGTGATAGAATAAATGGGGTATTCAGGGAAATATATCTGACAGTAACATCGAAGATGAATTAATATAAAAAGAGTACAATGAATAAATTTAGCTAAATACAACAATCCAGACATGACAATACTGGCCTCGTTTTGAGTGGGAATTGAGACGATGAGGGTTTTAAAAGACCTCTTTTTAAAGGAACAAAATGCTAACAACACTGTACCAAAATTAGTAAGGGAGCCCTGCACAGAAAGGAAATTCAAGCTGACTTCCCCAGTGTTAGGAAAAAAAACTTAGAATTTAAAAAACAGGATAAACAAAGAGAAGAAAGATGAAAAGAAGGTGGTATGTAGGTGGAGCAGTGGGAGAGACGATTCCAGTTTCTGAAAACGAGGCCAGGGAGTGGTATGAGGGAGATGCCAGTGAATCAATCAAAACCAGGACCAAAGGGCAGATAAAAGATCAGTATGGCTATCAATTACCAGTAGAGGAAAAGAGCTTCAATCTTCCGAATGGAAGTTATTAAGGTTTGAATGTGTCCCCTCTAAAACTCATGTTGAAACTTACTCCCCATTGTGGTGGTATTAAGAGAAGATTAAGTTGTGCCCTCATGAATGGATTAGTCGTTTCTAAAAGGGCTTGAGGGAATGATCTTAGGCCTTTTTTGCCCCTCTTTCTGTCCCACAGTGTTCCTCACCTCCAGAGGATGCAGCAACAAGGCGTCATCTTGGAAGCACAGAGCAGGCCCTCACCAGACACCAAACCTGCCAGCACCTTGGCTTTGGACTTTCCAGCCTTCAAAACTGTGAGAAATAAATTTCTGTGCTTTATAAAATTACCTAGTCTATAGTATTTTATTACAGCAACACAAATAGACTGAGACAGAAGTCTTCTTTTTTTGAGATGAGATCTCACTATCACCCAGGCCAGAGTCTAGTGGCACAACCATAGTTCACTGCAGCATCAAATTCATGGGCTCAAGCAATCCTCCCACCTCAGCCTCCCAAGGAGCTGGGACAACAGGTGCACACCACCATGCTCAGCTAATGCGTAAGTCTTTTAAAAGTTACACTATATGAGGGAAATGAAGAATAAAGACCCCTTGGATTCAGAAGAGCAAGAGAAGCCCAGTGGAACATGAAGGGAAAAAGTGCTCGGTCATGCAGCAGAAGAGCAGGATCAACAGGTGTCACTGCAGGATCATGGACACTATCACATGACAAAGGAATGTGCTCAGAAGGTATAGAGTGATAATGTTAAAGCCATTAGCAAGGCCAGGCATGGTGCCTGACACCTGTAATCCTAGCACTTTGGGAGGCCGAGGTGGGCGGATCACAAAGTCAGGAGATCGAGACCATCCTGTCTAATGTGGTGAAACCCTGTATCTACAAAAAATACAAGAAATTAGCCGGGCGTGGTGGCAGGTGCCTGTAGTCCCAGCTACTTGGAAGGCTGAAGCAGGAGACCCGGGAGGCAGAGCTTGCAGTGAGCCGAGATTGCACCCCTGCACTCCAGCCTGGGCGACAGAATGAGACTCCGTCTCAAAAAAAAAAATCCATTAGCATAGAGAAGCACAAAAGGGGTAGAATCTACTAACAGGTTTCAAAAAGAAGGAAGATGGGACTGTGGTTGTTGAATTTATGTGTAAGGGATTTAAATGTAATTTTCAAAATGTAGAAAGGAAAGGGAAGGATCATGAGAGTCACATCAAGTGAAGGAAAGAGGAAAGGCTTGCTAAAATGCACAATGAAATGAGTCTATCACCAAGATAGAGTAAGGAGGGAAATAAGGGTGCCAACGAGAAGATTAAGAGTGGATGGTAAGGCCGGGCACGCTGGCTCACGCCTGTAATCCCAGCACTTTAGGAGACTAAGGCAGGCGGATCACCTGAGGTCAGGAGTTCGAGACTAGACTGGCCAACACGGCAAAACCCCATCTCTACTAAAAATACAAAAATTGGCCGGGCATGGTGGCGCACAACTGTAACCCCAGCTACTCAGGAGGCTGACACGGAAGAATTGCTTGAACCCAGGAGGCAGAGGATGCAGCGAGCCGAGATCACGCCACTGCACCCCAGCCTGGGCAACAAAGTGAAACTCTGTCTCAAAAAAAAAAAAAAAAAAGTGCATGGTAATACACGAGGCAAAGTACAAACAAGAGGAGCACATCACATTGGAATTCATGCTAATTCTAAATAAAGAAGAAAAGATTTGTCTCCATCACTCACTTGGACAGGTCTGATTTGGAACTTGGGCCTGCACCATACACAGCTCTTCTCCTTGTTCCAACTTGAAGATGATATCAGGTTTGGTGTGTTGGTACCCTATAAATAGAAAAATCACAGACAACCTGGAACAAACAGCTTGAGATTCAGAGATTCTGAAGAACGGGAAAGATTTGGTTTGGAGGTAGCATGATGAAGCTGCCTTTTTGCAATTTGGCAAAGTAAAGACCATTCAACTGGCATACTCTGCTGCCAATAGGGAACTAAGAAAATCTGGCCTTAAAATCTAAGTCCAAAATCACTAAGTATTTCATAGAAGCCCTCCAGTTTTCAGCAACCAAGAAGAAGCCTGGAGATCGAGCACACTCCTCCTCAGGGAGGCAGCACTTACCTAGGGACACCAGGTTGCTATAGTTCTCCAACATCACACTCCTGTACAGGCACTTCTGTGCTGGGTCTAGCAGCTGCCACTCCTCCCAGGTAAAATCCACAAACACATCCATGAATGACAAAGGTCCCTGAAATACAATATGCTCATCCAATTTCAAGTTATTTTACTAGGTTTGTGGAAAACTAGCTGTTTAGGGTGTCCATTATTTATGTTTAACTTTGTGAGAACAAAAATTGTATTGAAAACATCCATCAATGTGCATTAAATCAGTCATCTTTCTTTCTTTTTTTTTTTTTGTTGAGACAGAGTCTCACTCTGCTGCCCAGGATGGAGTGCAGTGGTGTGATCTTGGCTCACTGCAAGGTATACCTCCTGGGTTCACGCCATTCTCCTGCCTCAGCCTCCCGAGTAGCTGGGACTACAGGCACCCACCACCAAGTCCGGCTGATTTTTTTGTATTTTTAGTAGAGACGGGGTTTCACTGTGTTAGCCAGGATGGTCTCGATCTCCTGACTTTGTGATCTGCCCATCTCGGCCTCCCAAAGTGCTAGGATTACAGGCGTGAGCCACCGCGCCCGGCCTCTTTACAGTTTTAAGCTATCCTAGAAACCACCTATACAAGAGTGCTCAGATATGGGACCTTCAGTACTAAAGGCAGGACAGTCAGGCAAACAAGTTCGACTGATCACTCCTACATCTGCAATACAGTTACCAACCTCTATGTCCAGGAATATAAACATAAATGAAATACAGTCCTGCCACCAAGAAGCTTTTAGCACTGCAGAATGAAGAACAGTTACATATGCAAATGCAACTGAAAGTCAAAGAAGCTAAGAAAAAAGAACACAGATTACAACGTAGGCACAAAGGAAGAAGGAAGCAATGCTATTTGACAGTGTCAGGTGAAATCTGTGAAAGGGCACTATTGGTACCCAGAAGAGAAGACACATTAAAACTTTATGGACTAAAAAGGTAACTGCTGTAAGTAGCAGCCACTCTGTGGGATAAAGACCTAAACATGAAAATATACAGATGGTAAATGAGCATACAAAGCATGCTCAATACCATATGTCATTAGGGAATTGCAAATCCAGACAAAAGTAAGACACCACTACACACCTATTAGAATGGATAAAATCCAAAAAACTGACCACCAAATGCTGGAGAGGATGTGGAGCAATAGGAACTCTTATTCATTGCTGGTGGGAATGAAAAGTGGTAGAGTCACTTTGGAAGCCAGTTTGGCAACTTCTTACAAATCTAAACAGTCTTACCATATAATCCAGCAACTATGCCCCAGGTATTTATACAAATGAAAACTTACGTCAAAGCAAAAATAGAAGACACACATGACAAGCATCAGATATGAAAAGAAGTTATCATTACTGAATTCACAGACAAGAAAAGACTAACTGCTCTGCGCACATAAATTTGGTTAAGTTAGTTGAAAAGGACATATTCCTTGGAAGACGCAAATTACCAAACTTACTCAAAAACAGATAAACTTGGGCCAGGCGCCATGGCTCACGCCTGTAACCCTAGCACTTTGGGAGGCCGAGGCGGGCAGATCACAAAGTCAGGAGAACGAGACCATCCTGGCTAACATGGTGAAACTTCGTCTCTACTAAAAATACAAAAAAATTAGCCGGGCATGGTGGCACATGCCTGTAGTCCTAGCTGCTCAGGAGGCTGAGGCAGGAGACTCACTTGAACCCAGGAAGCAGAGGTTACAGTGAGCCGAGGTCGTGCCACTGTGCTCCAGCCTAGGCGACAGAGCGAGACTCCGTCTCAAAAAAACAAACAAACAGATAAGCTTAATTATTACATATCTATTAAAGAAATAAAATTTGTAGTTAACAGCATACAGATTGGAAAGAAACAAAACTGTCCTTTTTTACAGAGAGAGTAAGGAAACTGAGGATGCCAACGAAAAGATGAAGATGACACGACTGTTTATGAAGAAAATACCAAAAAACCTAAGAAAGTTCCTAGAACTAACTAGTGAATGTAGCAAGGTCACAGGATACATGGTCAATACATAAAAGTTGGCTATATGCCTATATAACAGCAATAAATCATTTGATTTTGAAATTAAGAAACTAGCTGGATGCCGTGGCTCACACCTGTATTCCCAGCATTTTAGGAGGCCGAGGCAGGTGAATCACTTGAGGTCAGGAGTTTGAAACCAGCCTGGCCAACATGGTGAAACCCTGTCTCTACTACAAATACAAAAATTAGCCGGGTATGGTAGTGCGCACCTGTAGTCCCAGCTACTCGGGAGGCTGAGGTAGGAGAACTGCTTGAACCCAGGAGGCAGAGGCTGCAGTGAGCCCAGATTGTGCCACTGCACTCCAGCCTGAGTGACAGAGCAAGACTCCATCTCAAAAAAAAAAAAAAAAAAGGAATTAAGACACTGATACTGTTTACAACAGCAACAACAAAACAGAAAGAACTTACATATAAATCTAAAATATCTGTGTAGGATCTGTATGCTCAAAACTATAAACATTGACTTTTAAAAATCAAAGATCTAAATAATGGGGGAATCCTGTGTTCATGGATTTGAACTCAATCCCAAAGGCACTGTAAATCGAAAAGTGAAAGGTAAAGTAATAAAGTAATAAAGAAAAAGATCTTTATGAGCTTAGGATAAGAAAACAATAGGACACAAAAATCATTAGCAATAAAATAAAAAAATTTGCAATCCAGACTCAGTAAAAGTTAGAAATATCTGTTCATCAAAAGTAAGCATTAAGAGACTAAAAAAGCAAGCCAATATTGGAAGTAAAAGAAGCACCCGAGGAAAAAATTTGAATATAGGCTTCATAGTAAGTTTGTTTTAAACTTTAATGTGCATGAATCACTGAATCTTATTAAAATGAAGAGTCTGATATTAACAGCATTGAGGTGAACTCTGATATTCTGCATTTCTAACAAGCTTCCCGAACAATACATATTACGTAAACACACATTTTTTAAAAAAAAGGATACACATAAAACACAAAATAACTTTTTGGGGATGGGAAAGGAGATGAAAATTGAGTATGAGGAAATAAGAGAATATATAAATAAAGGTAGATAAGGACCTTACATGAACCAATGATGATAAAAGGGCCATGGGCCAGGCACAGTGGCTCATGACTGTCATCCCAGCACCTCAGGAGGCTGAGGCAGGAGGACTGCTTGAGCTTAGGAGTTGATGACCAGCCTGAGCCACACAGGGAGACCTCCTCTCTACTAAAAATAAAAAACATCAGCCAGGCATGGTGGCACTTGCCTGCTGTCCCAGCTACTCAAGAGGCTGAGGCTGGAGGATCACTTGAGCCTGGAGTTTGAGGCTGCAGTGAGTTATGATTGCACCACTGCGCTCCACTCTGGGCAACAGACCAAGACCCTGTCTCAAAAAAAAAAGTGGGGGGGTTTTGAACTGAACTGAGGAGTGATTAACTTAACCCTCTGACCTAAGGATCTCCATCCCTCTCTGCACCAAAAAAAAAAAAGGTAATAAAGAAAACACTAGGAATAAACAAATGAGAAGCTCACCCAGGACTTGGTGATTTTTGGCTGCTCTTGGGAAATAAACAGCCACTCTAGGACTTTCTCTATTCTGCGACTCTTCTGCTTCTGCCTGGGTGTTCCAGGGAGAGGTTGCAGACCAGGAGTCCCTTGGCCCAAGATGGATTCCTGACCTTGGAGCTTTCTGATCCTATCCCATGAACTGTTTCGTTCTTGGAGAGGTGGGACCTGTGGACTCAAGAGCAAATTTACTTTAGCGAGCATTATTTCCTTTGGGGAAAAGGAAATAGGGGTCACATCACATAAATGTGAGAGAAACACGTTAGAAAACAAGGCAGGTTTAACTTCAGGAAATGCAGGGTTAGAGGCAGAAAAGAAATGGCTTCCTGACAAGGCTTAGCACCAAGAGTTCAAGTCAAGTTTTGAGCCCTTCATGATAAAAATACAGGTACGACCCTCAAACAGCAAAGCTAGAGAAAACTGTCCTGGCTCATCCTAGCCTCCAAACGGACTTCCTGCCACAAACCAAATGGCGTCTTAATAGGCTGGTTTGGTAGGGCAGTAGGAATACCCACACAACATTATTATGAGGGAATAAGGAACCAAACGAGGCTCTGACAGACAATAAAAACATAACCAAAATATCTGACCACATAAAAAATTGTAACATAATATTTCAAAATGAAGTAAAAGAAATCAGAAAAACGAAACTTTGAAAGGACAGATATATAAAAAATAAAAGAGCCTAGAAAGTAGATGCTTAGAAATGTGAAATCTGGAAAATGTGAAATGAGAAATATCAGAATAAATAAATAAATTAGGAAAAAAATTCAGAAATGAAGATTAAATTTAGGAGGAACATAAAAAAGCGCCAACGACCTAGAAGGCGGCACAGGTGAAAAGTGGGGAAAGCCTAAAAAAAAAGGAATAAAAAATTAGAAAAAGAAACAATGAATGAAATGCCATGAAAAGGCTGTTCACCAAGGCATTTTTATAACCCAAATATCTGTAACTACATAACTGGTTGAAAACACTATGGGCCATCCATACAGCCAGTAAAAGGTGATAAGAGATAGGGAAGAGGGAGCGAACAACCTCTATGTACCACTATTGGTATAATACAATGATCAATATATACTCTTAGTGATAATGACAAGGGGAAGAATAGTACGTACAGAAAGCTAGCTTTTGTGTTACAAAAAAGAAGTGGGATTGCAAGTATACGTATACGCATGTGTGTGCCATATAAATGGGATCATATAATATCTAGTCTTTTGTGTCTGGCTTCTTTCACTTCGCATAATGCTTTCAAGGTTTATGCTTGTCATAGCACATATCAATAGTTTGTTCTTTTTGTTGGTGAATAGTATTCCATCACGTTTCATCATTCACCATTAATGGACATTAAGATTATTCCCTGGAGGCTGGGCGCAGTGGCTCATGCCTGTAATCCCAGAACTTTGAGAGGTCGAGGCAGGTGAGTTGCCTGAACTCAGGAGTTCGAGACCAGCCTGGGCAACACAGTAAAACCCCGTCTCTACTAAAATACAAAAAAAAAATCAGCCAGGCGTGGCAGCGTACACCTGTAGCCCCAGCTACTTGGGAGGCTGAGGCAGGAGAATTGCTTGAACCTGGGAAGCAGAGGTTGCAGTGAGTGCCACTGTACTCCAGCCTGGGCAACAGAGTGAGACTCCATCTCCAAAAAAAAAAAAAAAGATTATTCCCTGGAGACCAACAGCTTATGTCTCAGAGCCTTCTCTGTGTACACTGGGCACAGTCTACCCGCTCCACATTTTACTCTACATTTCAGGGTCTAGGATCCTAGAATCTCTGCCTCAAGAAATCCTCAACCTACATCCAGAGACTAAATAAGGTACACAGGCCAGGAAAATGCATGTAGAGCCAGAATATCTGGGTTCAAGTCCTGGCTCTACATTGACCAGGGGTGCCACCTGGTCTCCAACTAGCCCTTTCTGGACCTCAGTACCCTTACCCATCAAAGGAGAAAAACAGTATTCACCACCTGGGGCTAGGGCTACTGTGAAGTTTTAAGGTGATAATACCTAATAAATGATTTAGCACAGAACCTCATACGTAGTAGACACTGAGCATTAACATTTGGTTGAAACGGCAAAAGAAAACAAAACAAAACATAAAACCAGGAATACTTAATGAAAATAAACCACACTACAAAATGACAATCAACAAGATAAAAAGCATATGCTGGTTCTTAGAAAAGAGGACTCCACCTTCAAACATCCCCCAACTCTGACCAGTGTCTCCATTTCTACCACACTACACAAAATCCCTGCTACCTCTTGTCTGAACGTGGTCACCTAGTCAGTCTCTGGCTTCCCCCTCTTTCTGTGCCTACTCTTGCCCACCTACAACCTGTCCCCCACTCAGCACTCAGAAGGGTCTTTGGAAACCCTAAGCAGCTCACGTTGCTCCCTGTCTTAGCGCCACACACTCTCCCGGGCCCCATGGCTTCCCAGCCTGATCTGGCCTCTGCACCTGTGTTCATCTGCTCTCCTCTCTCTCACTCCCTACCCCCAGTCACAAAGTCCTTCCTTCCAGGTTACCTGATCTGGCCTCTGCACCTCTGTTCATCTGCTCTCCTCTCTCTCACTCCCTGATCTGGCCTCTGCACCTGTGTTCATCTGCTCTCCTCTCTCTCACTCCCTACCCCAGTCACAAAGTCCTTCCTTCCAGGTTACCAAGGCATCAAACTTCTCTTGCCTCGCAGCCTTGGCCCTGGCTGTTCCCATCCTGGATGTTCTTCTACCTGCTCTTCCCAAGGCTGGCTTGCTATTGTAACTCAGACTTAGCTTAGACGTCACTTCCTCAGTGGGGGCCTTCCCTGAGCACCCAAGCTAAAGTAGCCACCACACATTCTTTGTTTTTTTTTTTTTTTTTGAGACAGAGTCTCACTCTGTCGCCAGATTGGAGTGCAGTGGCGTGATCTTGGCTCACTGCAACCTCCTACTCCTGGGGTTCAAGCGATTTTTCTGCCTCAGCCTCCCGTGTAGCTGGGATTACAGGTGCCCACCATCACGCCCAGCTAATTTTCATATTTTTAGTAGAGACGAGGTTTCGCCATGTTGGCCAGGCTGGTCTCGAACTCCTGACCTCAGATGATCTGCCCACCTTGGCCTCCCAAAGTGCTGGGACTACAGGCGTGACCCACCACACACAGCCCATCACCACTAAATTCCATTTAGGTTTTTATGACTGCTACGGTTTCAATGATTGCATCCCTCCAAAATTCATGTTGAAACTTAACCCCCATTGTGATGGTATTAAGAGGTGGGGCCAATTAGCTGGGCATGGTGGTGCGCACCTGTAATCCCAGCTACTCAGGAGGCTGAGGCAAGAGAACCACTTGAACTCGGGAAGCAGACGTTGTGGTGAGCAGAGATAGCCACTGCACTCCAGCCTGGAAGACAGAGCGAGACTCAGTCTCAAAAAAATAAACAAATAAATAAATAAATAAAGAGGTGCGGCCTTTTAATAGTGATTAAGTCATGACGGCTCTCCTTCAGGAATGGGATTAATACCCTCTTAAAGAGGTTTCAGAGAGCTGCCTGGCCCTTTCATCTCTTTGGCCATGTGAGGACACAGCATTCTTCCCTTTTTGCCCCCTTCCACCATGTAAGGATGTAGCAAGAAAGTGCCATCTTGAAAGCAGAGAGCAGAGCCGGGTGCGGTGGCTCACGCCTGTAATCCCAGCACTTTGGGAGGCTGAGACAGGTGGATCATGAGGTCAGGAGATCGAGGTCATTGTGGCCAACACAATGAAACCACGTCTCTACTAAAAATACAAAAAAAAAATTAGCTGGGCGTGGTGGCACACGCCTGTAGTCCTATTTGGGAGGCTGAGGCAGGGGAATCACTTGAACCCGGGAGGCAGAGGTTGCAGTGAGCCAAGATCGCGCCACCGCACTCCAGCCTGGGGACAGAGAGAGACTGTCTCCAAAAAAAAAAAGAAAACAAGAAAGCAGGCCTCATCAGATACCAAATTCACCAGCACCTTGATCTTCAACTTGTCAGCCTCCAGAATTGTGAGAAAGTAGTATCTGTTATAAGTTCCTCAGTCTGTGATATTTTGTTACAGTAGCACAAACAGACTAAGACAATGATCTAATATTACTTGATCTCCCTCATACATGTCACTTGACAAGCATTTTTGAGGTTTCCATTTCTTTAAGTGTGAATTACATGTCTCTATTTTGTCTTACTTTTCTTGGGTTCCATCTCAGTCTTCAACACCTCTTCCCCTGCTTTCTCTTGTCATTTCCCTGACCACTGTCCTCAGTTCTCTTCTTAGGGTACACATTCTCCCTGAGCTACTTTGGCCACACCTAATTTGCAACCTCTACCTAGAGGAGCCAATCCATACAAAACTGAAATCTTCCCCCTCTACCAATCACAATTCTGACAGTCTTCCCTTACTCAGCAAATGGTGACACTCCCAACCAGGCCCACAGAGTAGAACTCCAGTTGTCATCCCTGGCTTTTCTGCCTCTCTTAGCACTGCACCCAACTAGTTATGAAATCTAATTTCTTCTGCCTCTTTACCTCCTCTCCTTTTTTTTTTTTTGAGACAGAGTCTTGCTCTGTCACCCAGGCTGGAGTGCAGTGGCGCGATCTCGGCTGACTGCAACCTCTGCCTCCTGGGTTCAAGCGATTCTCCTGTCTCAGCCTCCCGAGTAACAGGGATTACAGGTGGGAGCCACTGCACCCAGCCACCTCCTCTCCTTTCTCAAAACCACTAATTTACTTAAACCCTTATATTCTCTTACCTGCTGCAGACTAGACTGTTCTACCCTCAAATCCGTTGTGAAAACACTTCAATAAGTAAACTCCTTCCCCTATACCAACAGTCCCCAACCAGGGACTCGTTTTGTGGAGGACAATTTTTCCATGGACGGGCAGTCGGGTGCGGCGATGGCTTCTGGATGAAACTGTTCCACTTCAGATCATCAGGCATTAGAGTCCCATAAGAAGTGCGCAACCTAGATCTTTCGCATGCGCAGTTCACAATAGGGTTTGTGCTATGAAAAGCTAATGCAGCCTCTGATAGGAGGCGGGGCTCCGGCAGTCATGCTCACTAAACCGCCACTCGCCTCCTGCCATGCACCCCAGTTCCTAACAGACCACAGACTGGTACCAGTCTGAAGCGTGGGGGTTGGGGACCACCTGCCCTATGTGATACAATCCAAGTTTTTAATGGGGTCCTCAAAGCCCTCTATGATCTTAGGCCTACGGCTCTAGCCTCATTTTTTAATATAACTCTACTATCACCATTAAACTCAACATTTTAGCAACCCTAAAGTGCCCAAAGTTCACCACATGAGGTCATTTCAAGCCTCTCAAATTTGCACGTTACTTCTTTTTCCTAGGCTGGTTTTAATCCTTTGTCTACTTTAGGTTTGTCATCTTTCAAACCTAAGGTTAAGAATCTCTTAATCATTGAAGCATTTGGGAGTAAGGGGTTAGGGGGTGTCCTTACTTCCAAAACTGACCCATTCCTGCATGTCTCCGTGTATTTCCACAGCCTGCTCCCAGAGCACTCATTAACTTGTCATTGTCTTTCTTATCCACCATTCCTAGACCACTGTTCTTCAAGACAGGGATGATAAGCAACCCATCTTTGCATTTTTAGCACCTGCCCCAGGGTCCAGCAAACAAAATACAATAAAAAAAAATGTTGAACAAGTGAATAAAAAAGTTTGTAATTTCCAAAATAAGGTTTAAAGATCCCAGATACAGAAGGCCCTCAGTAAATAAAGGCTGAAAAAACTGAAAGATGTGTGAGTATCCCTTGTTTAACTCCAAAGTTCAGCGTACAAAGTTGTTAGAAAAGAGATTGATGAAAGGAGGAAAAAAGGAAGTCGGATGACAAGAAGCATTTCTGGAAAGTCTAACATGCTATAAATGACGATCCAGTTGCCTAAAAGAGCGGTGGGGTGAGAAAGCTCCTGGCAAATTCAGACTGGAGTAGATGGAGTGCGCACACGTTGGCATTCAGGGAGAGCTTTTCAAGAATGAAAGAAAACCCCTACTCACCCAAATAGAAGCTGTCCGGACCCTGGTGGCCATCCCTACGGTCAGTTTTGTGTGCCTCGCTGGAAGTGACAGGACGCGAGGGATGCTAGAAGAGAGAGCACAGTGAAGAAAGAGGTCACCCAGCAGTCCCCAAACCCAGAGGGGGAGGGTCCGAGGCACCAGGGCTGCCTGCCATTCTCGGAGCTGAGGCTCCTTCCCTCCCACAGCACGGGATTCACCATCTCCACACCCTCACCAACACACAGGTTAGGGTCAGGCAACCGCCCCGGGTCAGCAGCAGGAGAGAGCTAAGGCAGATTAGTTCTGTCCCGTCCCGCCGCCTTGAAACCGGAGGAATTCCGCACCTCCGGCTCCTCCAAACCCTGAAGGGGCAGCAGAATAGAGTCCAGGGTACTGCCTCCACCTCCAGATCTGCAGCCAGAAGGGTTCGCAACCACTCCAGACTCGGCTGGCCCGTTGACCACGACGGGCGATGAACGCTATCTGAGGAACAAGGATCTCGCCATCGGCGCGGAACAATGGCGGCCGCTACGTATGTCGCACAGGAATTGCGTCATGGAGAGGCAAAGGCAAAAAAACTACAACTCCCAGAGGCCTCTGCGAGGAGTTACTCCCGCGCCGGAGGGCTCCGGCCAAGGGCCACCGGGAGGGGGCGTGCTAAGATGACCCGGAAGCTCAGGCCTTCCTGGCCAGGTCCCTGAGCTCCCGCGCTTGCAGGTTTTAAATTTTAAAGAGAATTAAAATACTTGACACCAATGGCTCAACGGTTGGAGGGATGTAAATTAGGTTACAAGTGTTCTAGTCCCTGCTTTACTGAAATGGTAAAAGTCTTATTTTGCTTTACACTTTAATAACAGATTCGTAAAATTCCCATTACATGTTAACATAAATAATATTTTAATGAAAATTACATATATTTTACAAAAGAAAAAATTTAGTAAGGAGTGGCTTCGCTTTTTAAGTCTTTTCTGACTTACTAGAAAGCTGGATTCTCATATCTGCTTCTATGTTTAATCTGTTGCGTATGTTGTTTTTGTTAAAGTATATAAAGATACAAGTCGAACAAGGGATAGTTTTGTTAGTGTACAATCTGAAACCACGTAGATGAACTTTTTCTACTCTATTACATAAAATCCGTTGGTCTACACTGCACTTTGAATGGATTCTTTTATCACGCATGATTTCGTAACATCATGTATTGGCCAGTTGGAAAATATTGGTTTACTTTAATGGCAAAAGCCGCAATTACTTACTTTTGCACCAACGGAAAATATCCACTAATCATTATTGATCTTAAGTATTGGGAAGAGGTGACATTCACAGAGGCAGATACAAGTTTTCTAGAATTCTTTTGTTTTTGGCTTTTAAAAACTTTTATAAATTTATGAGGTACAAGTGTAATTTTGTTACATGCATCAGTTGTGTAGTGGTGATGTCAAGGCTTTTAAGGTATCCACGCCCTATAGTACGTTATATGCATTGTACCAGTCAGGTAATTTATGATTATCCCTGAAACCCCCCCACACCTTTTGAGTCTTCATTGTCTATCATCCCACACTCTACATCCATGTGTACATATCCTTTAGCTCATACTTAAAGTGAAAACATGTGTTTTTCTTTCTGTGCCTGAGTTGTTTCACTGAAGATAGTGGCCACTAGTTCCATCCATGATGCTGCAAAAGACAATTTCATTCTTTCTTATGGCTGAATAGTATTCCATTGTGTATATATAACACATTTTCTTTATTCATCCATTCATGGACATTTAGGTTAATTCCATACCTGTGATATTGTGAATAGTGCTGTGATAAACATATGAGTGCAGGTATTTTTTTTATATATATAATGATTTCCTTTGGGTAGATACTCAGTAACAGGATTGCTTTATCAAATGGTAATTCTATTTTTAGTTCTTTGAGAATTCTCCACACTGTTTTCCATAGGTTATACTAATTTCACTTTCTCACCAACAGTGTATAGGAGTTTCCTTTTCTCCACATCCTCACCAACATCTTCTTTGTCTTTTTATTTTTATTATTTTATTTTATTTTTTGAGACGGAGTTTTGCTCTTGTTACCCAGGCTAGAGTGCAGTGGCCCGATCTCGGCTCACCGCAACCTCCGCCCAGGTTCAAGCAATTCTCCTGCCTCAGCCTCCTGAGTAGCTGGGATTACAGGCATGCACCACCACACCCGGCTAATTTTGTATTTTTAGTGGAGACAGGTTTCTCCATGTTGGTCAGGCTGGTCGCAAACTCCCGACCTTAGGTGATCCGGTCACCTCAGTTTACCAAAGTGCTGGGATTACAGGCATGAGCCACCGAGCTCGGCCTGTTTTTGTTTGTTTTGATTTTTTTTTCCTTTTGAGACGGAGTCTCGCTCTGTCGCCCAGGCTGGAGTGCAGTGGCGCGATCTGGGCTCACTGCAAGCTCCGCCTCCCGGGTTCACGCCATTCTCCTGCCTCAGCCTCCCAAGTAGCTGGGACTACAGGGGCCCGCCACCACGCCTGGCTACTTTTTTGTATTTTTTAGTAGAGACGGGGTTTCGCCGTGTTAGCCAGGATGGTCTTAATCTCCTGATCTCGTGATCTGCCCGCCTCGGCCTCCCAAAGTGCTGGGATTACAGGCGTGAGCCACCGCACCCGGCCCGGCCTGTCTTTTTAATAACAGCTACTGTGACTGATGTAAGATAATATCTCTTTTTTTTCCCCCACAACCTCGCTCTGTCGCCCAGGCTGGAGTGCAGTGGCTTGATCTCGGCTCACTGCAACCTCCGCCTCCTGGGTTCAAGCAATTCTCCCCGCCTCAGCCTCCCAAGTAGCTGGGATTACAGGTGCCCACCACCATGCCCGGCTAATTTTTGTATTTTTTATGAGAGACGTGGTTTCGCCATGTTAGCCAGACTGGTCTTGAACTCCTGATCTCAGGTGATCTGCTCACCTCGGCCTCCCAAACTGCTGGGATTACAGGCGTGAGCCACAGCGCCCGGCCTCATTGTGGTTTAAATTTGCATTTCTCTGATGTTTAGTGATGATGTTGAGCATATTTTCATATGCCTGTTGGCCATTTGTATGTCTTCTTTTGTAAAGTGTTATTTGTGTTCTTTGCCTGCTTCTTAATGGGATTATTTGGGTTTCGTTGTTGTTGTTGATCTGTTTGAGTTCCCTGTAAACTCTAGATATTAGTCCCCTCTTGTATGCAAAGCTTGCAAAAATTTTCTCCCATTCTGCAAGTGTCTCTTCACTCTGCTTACTGTTTATTTCACTATGAAGAAGATTTTTAGTTTAAGTCCCATTTCTCTCTTTTTCTGTTTGTTGCATGTGCTTTTGAGGTCTTAGTCATGAATTATTTACCCAGACCAATGTCCAGAGGGGTTTTCCGTAGGTTTTCTTCTAGTATGTTTATAGTTTCAGGTATTCCATTTAAGTCTTTAATACAGCTTGAGTTGATTTTTGTATATGGCGAGAGATAAGGGTCAAGTTTCATTCTTCTGCATATGGCAATCCAATTTTCCCAGCACCATTTATTGAAGAGGTTGTATTTTCCCCATGCTTGTTCTTGTTGACTTTGTCAAAGATCAGTTGGCTGTAGATATGTGGCTTTATTTCTGGGATCTCTATCTGTTCCATTGACCTATGTGTCTGTTTTTATACCAGTACTATGCTGTTTTGGTTATTATAGCCTTATAGTATAATTTGAAGTCAGGTGAAGTTATGCCTCCAGCTTTGTTCTTTTTGTTCAGGATTGCTTTGGCTGTTTGAGCTCTTTCTCGGTTGCATATGAATTTTAGGATTTTTTTTCTTTTTCTTTTTCTTTTCTCTTTTTTTTTTTTTTTTTTTTTTTTTACACAGAGTCTCACTCTGTCACCCAGGCTGGAGTGCAGGGTCATGATCTCGGCTCACTGCAACCTCTGCCTCCCAGGTTCAAGCAATTCTCCTGCCTCAGCCTCCAGAGTAGCTGGGATTACGCGTGTGCACCACCATGCCCGGCTAATTTTTGTATTTTTAGTAGAGATGGGTTTTCACCATGTTGGCCAGGGTGGTCTTGAACTCCTGACCTCATGATATGCCCATCTTGGCCTCCCATAGTGCTGGGATTACAGCTGTGAGCCACCGCACCCGGCCTAGGATTTTTTTTCTCTAAATCTGTGGAGAATGACGTTGATATTTTGATAGGGAGTGCATTGAATCTGTAGATGGCTTTGGATAGTATGATAATTGTAACATTATTAATTCCTCTGAACAGCATGGGATGTTTTTCCATTTGTTTATATCATCTACAATTTCTATCATCAGTATTTTGTAACTTTCCTTGTAGAGAGTTTTCACCTCTTTGGTTAAATGTATTCTGAGGTGAGCTTTTTGTAGCTATTAAAAGTAGAATTGCCTTCTTGATTTTGTTCTTAGCTAGATGTTGTTAGGGTACAGAAATGCTACTGATTTTTTGTTTTGATTTTGAATACTGAAGCTTTCCTGAATTCATTTATCAAATCTAATACTTTTTCAGTGGCATCTTTAGGTTTTTCTAGATATAAGATTATATCATTTGCAAACAGGGACAATTTGACTTCCTGTTTTCCAATTCAGATGCCTTTTATTTCTCTTGCCTGATTGCTCTGGCTAGAACTTGCAGTACTATGTTAAATAGCAGTAGTGTAAGTGGGCATTCTTGTCTTGTTCCAGTTCTTGGAATGTTTTCAACTTTTCTCTCATCAGTATGATGTTGGCTGTGAATTTGTCATATGTGGCCTTTACTATTTTTTAGTATGTTCCTTCTATGCCTAGTTTCTTGAGGATTTTTATCATGAAGGGATGCTGAATTTTATTAAATGTTTTCTCTGCATCTATTGAGATGATCGTGTGGGTTTTGTCCTTAATTAGGTTTATGCAGTGCATCACATTTGCTGATTTGTGTATGTTGAACCATCCCTGCATCCCTAGTATAACACTCACTTGATCATGTGTATTATCATTTTCATGTGCTGTTAAATTCAGCTTGCTAGTATATAGTTAAGGATTTTTGCATCTGTGTTCTTGAGGGATATTGGTCTATAGTTTTCTTTTTTTTGTTGTGTCCTTGGTTTAGGAATCAGGGTAACATAGGGCCTTGTAGAATGAGGTAGGAAGAATAATTCCCTCCTCCTCAATTTTTTGAAACAGCTTTAGGGGAATTGGTATTAGTTCTTTGTACATTTGGTAGAATTCGGCTGTGAATCGATTTCACCCTAGGCTTTTTTGGTGGGGGAGATATTTTATTATTGATTCAATCTTGCTCCTTATTATTGGTCTGTTCAGGGTTTTTCTTTGTTCATGTTTCAATCTTGGGAGGTTGTATTTTCCAGGAATTTATCCTTATAATCTAGGTTTTATAGTTTGTTAGTATATAATTGTTCATAATGGTCTCTAATGATCTTTTGTATTTTTGTGGTATCAGTTGTAATGTCTTCTTTTTCATTTCTGATTTTGTGTATTTGGATATTCTATCCTTTTCTTGGTTAGTCTACCTAGTAGTTGTCAGTTTTAGGGTTTTTTCCTTTCAAAGAACCAATTTTTGGTTTTATTGGTCCATTATATTGTATCCATTTTTGTCTCTATTTCATTTAGTTTTACTTTGACCTTTGTTATTTATTTTCTTCTGGTAACTCTGGGTTTGGTTTGTTCTTATTTTTCTAGTTCCTTGAGAAGTAATGTTAGGTTGTTAATTTGTAATCTTTCTGCTTTTTTGATATGGGCATTTAATGCTATCCACTTCCCTCTTAGCACTGCTTTTGCTGAATCCTATAGGTTTTGATATGTTGTATTTCCATTTTCATTTGTTTCAAAAAACTTTTAAATTATAATCTTAATTTTTTCACTGACCCAGTGATCATTCAGGAGCATATAGTTAATTTCTACATATTTGTATGGTTTCGAAAGTTCCTCTTGTTGTTGATTTCTACTTTATTCCCCTGCAGTCTGAGAAGATAATTGATATGATTTTGATTTTTAAAAATTTGTTGAGACTTGCCTTGTGGCCTAACATATGGTCTATCTTGGAGAATGTTCCATGTGCTGATGGGAAAAGTGTATATTCTGCAGTTGTTGAGTAGAATATTCCATAAATATCTGTTAGGTTTGCTTGGTTTGAAGTCCAATTTAAGTCCAATGTTTCTTTGTTGATTTTCTGTCTTGATGATGTGTCTACTGCTCTGAGTGGGTGTTGAGGTCCCCCACTACTATTGTATTGCTGTCTATCTCTTTCCTTAGAACTAGAAATATTTGTTTTAGGAATATGGGTGCTCTGGTGTTGGGTGCATATACATTTAGAATTATTATATCCTCTTGCTGATTTGATCCTGTTATCATATATTGATTTTCTTTTTCTTTTTCTTTACTGATGATTTAAAGTCTGTTTTATCTGATGTATATCTATTTCTGCTCACTTTTGGTCTCCATTTGTGTGGAATATCTTTATCCACCCCTTTTTTTTTTAGTCCATATGTGTCTTTACAGGTAAAGTGAATTTCTTGTAAGCAGCATATAGTTTTATTATCTTTTAAAATTCATTCTGCAAATCTATAGCTTTTAGGTGGAGTATTTATTCCATTTACATTCAAGGCTAATATTGATATGTGAGGTTTTGTTCTTGTCATATTGTTGTTTTCTAGTTGTGTTATAAGTTTTTTATTTCTTTCTCTTTCTCTGTCTCTTTGTGCTTTGGTGGAATTCTGTTGTGTTGCCATTTGATTTATTTGTCTTCCTCCTCTGTTTAATTATTTTATAAGACCTGTGAGTTTTATACATTCATGTATTTTTATGATGGTGAATATTAGCCTTTCATTCCCATAGTTAGGACTCTTGAGCATTTCTTATAGAACCAGTGTAGTGGTGACAAATTCCTTCAGTGTTTGCTTGTCTGGGAGGGGCTTTATTTCTACTTCATTTATGAAGCTTAATGTTGCTGGATATAAAATTCTTGGCTAAGTTTTTTTCTTTTAGCACTTTGAAAATGCCACCCCATTCTGCTCTGTCCTGTAAGGTTTCTGCTGAGAAGTTCACTGTTAGTCTGATGGGGTTTTCTTTGTAAGTGACTAGGCGCTTTTCTCTTGCTGATTTTAAAATTAGTTCCTTCTACTTTGATTTTAAGCAGTCTGAAATTGTATGCTGTGTTGAAATCTTTTTTGCAATAAATTTTCTGAGGATTGCTGGACCTCCAGTATCTGAATGTCCAAATCTCTGGTTAAACTTTGTAAGTTTTCGTCGATTATTTATTTCAATAGATTTTCTACCCTTTTTTATTTTTCTTTCCCCTCAGATGACAGTAATTCATAAGTTCAGTCACTTTATGTCGCCCTAAATGTCTTGAGGGTTTTGTTCATTCTTTTATTTATTTTTAAATTTTTGTCTGACTGGATTACTTCAGAAGAATTGTCTTCTTTCTTCTGCTTAATCTAGTCTATTGTTGAAGCTTTCAAATGTATTTTGTAATTCCTTCAATGAAATTTTCAGATCAATAATTTGTTAGGTTTTTTTTTCAAAGGTATCTTATCTTCTTGGTAAATTTCACATTTATATCCTAAACTGATTTTCTGATTTCTTTGCATAAGTTTTCAGATTTCTCTTGCATCTTATTGACCATCTTTAAAATCAATATTTTGAATACTATATCTGGCATTTCAAGACTTTCTTTTTGGTTAAGATGTATTGCTGGAGAATTATTACGTTCCTTTCAGGGTATCATAATATCTTGCTTTTTCATGTCTCCTATACCTTTACACTGATTTCTGCACATATGAAGCAATAGTTGCTTCTTTTACTTTTGAATTTACTTTTGTTGGGGGGACACTTTTTTCTTAATGATGTGACTATGATGTTGGTCGGGTAGAGCCATTTTACTTTGCTTCTAGGTATTTACAGTGGCAAAGTCTGTATTATTTCATTGGCTACAAATACCCTCGGTGTAGTGCCTTTCTCAAATGATGGTTGTAGTAGCAGCACACCAGGCAGGTGAATGGGCTCACAATCTCCTGGGAAACTGGGGTGGCATGGACAATGGGAGTAAGACTGCTCTGACAAGTTATTGTATTAGTCCGTTCTCACATTGCTATAAAGAAATACATGGCTGGGCCGGTGGCTCAAGCCTGTAATCCCAGCACTTTGGGAGGCCAAGGTGGGCAATCACGAGGTCAGGAGATCAAGACCATCCTGACTAACATTGTGAAACCCCATCTCTACTAAAGCCACAAAATATTAACCAGGCGTGGTGCCACATGCCTGTAGTCCCACCTACTTAGGAGGCTGAGGCAGGACAACTGATTGAACCTGGGAGGCAGAGGTTGCAGTGAGCCGAGATCGCGCCACTGCACTCCAGCCTGGGTGACAGAGCGAGACTCCATTTCAAAATAAATAAAGAAATAAAGTAGTACCCGAGACTGGGTAATTTATGAAGAAAAGAGGTTTGATTGGCTCACAGTTCCACAGACTGTACAGGAAGCATGATGCTAGCATCACTTAGCTTCTGGAGAAGCCTCAGGAAACTTACATTCACAGCAGAAAGTAAAAGGGGAGGTGGCATTTCACAAGGCCAGAACAAGAGCAAGGCAGAGTAAGGGGGGAGGTGCTACACACTTTTAAGTAGCCAGATATCATGGGAAACCACTTACTACCTCAAGGACAGCACCAAGGGGATGGTGTCAAGCCATTCATGAGAAATCTTCCCCCATGATCCAGTCACCTCCCACCAAGCCCCATCTCCAACATTGGGGATTACAAAGTAACACAATATTTGGTGGGGAAACAGATCTAAACCATACCAGTTATTCTCATTCCTAAGTGCTGTGCTCTTGTAGTAGGAGTTGTTTCAGTGGGCTGTGTGGGCCAGCATCCAGGCCAGTAGGTGGTACTTGTAGGTATGAGCTAGCTGCAGTAGTAGCCGTGGGATTTATGCCCAACCTCTGTTCCTTAGAAGAAGTACTTGGGTGTCCCAGGTGGTGGATTGGGCCATGAAACCCCCAGAGGCCAGGATCCCACACGCCCTCTCAGAGGGATGGCAAGGCTGGATAGAGCTGGACCAAGCAAGACTGCACCGAGATCACCAATGACAGGTGCATGCACTAACACTGACAGGGCTTGTGGGGCCATCCTCAGGCCCCTAGTGAAATGCCCAGCTTAGGGGCAAGTGCTCCTGTGTCAGGGGCTCAGCATGGAGAGAGTAGGGCAGTCTCAGCACTGCAGCCTTGGCAGGCAGGAGTGGGGCCTGCTTCCCTCTCACATCCCAGTCCCAGTAAGGCTCACTCCCTAACCCAGACTGTGTCCGCCAATCTGCATATTTATTCAGTCACTGCAGTTTCCTTCTATTCTGCAATGCAGCCCCAGGCAATAGGAGTCATTGCCTGGCTCAATACCATGCCTCCCCAGAAGTTCTCCCCCTGCTCCAGTCAGAAGGTGGGGACAGCCCAGTTCAAGTGCCAGCAGCTGGAGCACACACCAGACTTGATTCTCCATTCTGGCTGTAGGAGTCCCTCACCAACTTGAGCCCCAGTTCCCTGAGTCCCAGCATGAGTCTCTAACACAGTCAACTGATGCCACTGCTAGCTCCCTGGACTCAGTACAGCTTTATAAGAGCTAGGATTGAGAATAACATCCTATTATTGTAGACGCCCAGGTCTAGAGGAGTTCATGGGATACTTCCCAAAGCAGCTCTTCCTCACAGTCTACTGACTGCTCCCAAGTTAGATCCAGGGCTCAGGAGGATCAAGGTGCTCTCCTGTGGCCTGGATTGCACAATTCCCTAGAGGGAAAATGAACCACAGAAAGGCACTCAGTTACCCTCTCCCATATCAGGGATTCACTCCCAGTTTTTGGCCAATTGCAGCCCTGCAGGCTGCCTGCCCTCCTTCTCTTCCCCAGATTCTGGAGATTCCCTTTGCTTTTCTTTTGAACTCCTATGTTCCCTCTTGGATAATATGTTCAAAGTGTGATTGCCCAGACACTAGTTTGGTTCATAGAAGTGGATAAGGTGAACTGAAAAAGCCTCTAGTCAGCCATCTTGGGGAAAGAAAACCAAAATTGTATTTTTCTCTTGAAAATTCTACTTTTATATTGACCAATAAATAAATAAATAATAAAACCCTGTCATTTGCCTTCCTTTAAGTGACAAGTTTACTTGGTTGATTTTTGAGAGAATACCTGCAAAGGTTTCTCAGTCCTTCTTTAATGCAAAGTTCAGCTCCCAATGTAAAGTTCACCTCTCAATGTAAATAATCACACAAATGCTTTTTCTTGAGACAACTGTGGAACTTCAGTATACAGCACAGAACGTTCATTGCACAGATATTAAAAAGAGATGTATTTAGGCCAGGCGTGGTGGCTCACGCCTGTAATCCCAGCACTTAAGAACGCCGAGGCAGGCAGATCATGAGGTCAGGAGTTTGAGACCATCCTGGCTAACACGGTGAAACCCCGTCTCTACTAAAAATACAAAAAAATTAGCTGGGCGTGGTGGCGGGCGCCTGTAGTTCCAGCTACTCGGGAGGCTGAGGCAGGAGAATGGTGTGAACCCAGGAGGCAGAGCTTGCAGTGAGCCGAGATCGCGCCACTGCACTCCAGCCTGTGCGACAGAGCGAGACTCCATCTCAAAAAAAAAAGAGATGTATTTAAGAGTTGATATTTAATAAAATGACTCTTTACTGCTTTATCAAAGACATCCTAAAGTTAAATTGACTTCCTTTAAAAAATACAAATCTGGGTGGAGAGGCTCATCTCTGTAATCCCAGCTACTTGGGAGGCTGAGGTGGGAGGATCACATGAGGCCAGCAGTATGAGACCAGCCTGGATAACATAGCGAGACCCCATCTCTAAATAAAATAAAATTACCCAGGTACGGTGGTGAACACCTACAGTTCTAGCTACTCAGGAGACTGAGGCAGGAAGACTGCTTGAGCCCAGGAGTTTGAGGCGGCAGTGAGCTATGATCATGCTACTGCACTCCAACCTAGGCAACAGAGCTAGACCCTGTCTCAAACAAACAAACAAAACTATGAACGTGTAGTGATGAAGAATACAATGGCTGCTAATAAATATCTTTTTTTGCTATTACCTTGATTGATGCTGAAGTGCCAGCAGTTTTACCCACCATCGTTTTGTACCATCAGTGCAAATTTCAACACAGTAGATAACCGCTTAAAATTGGAAATATCAGTGTTTACTGTAAAATTATTTAAACTCTTCTGTAAGTTTGAAATTTTTCATAAGAAAATATTAGGGGAAAAGTCATTATGGAAAAGATAAACTTTTCAATAAACTGTATAGGAACAACAAGGTAGCTATATAATAATATAAATAAAGATGGCTGTCTCACAATATATTTAAAATAAATCTCAGGTAGATTAAGTACGTCAACTAGGCTGGGTGTGGTGGCTAATGCCACCAAAGCACTTTGGACAATTTGAGAAGACCTCATCTCTAAAAAAAATTTGTTTAAATTAGCTGGGGTGGGGGTGCATACCCGTAGTCCCAGCTACTCAGGAGGCTGAGGCAGGAGGATCCTTTGAGCCAGGAGTTTGAGGCTGCAGTGAGCTATGATCATGCCACAGTACTCCAGCCTGGGTGTCTCTTTAAAAAAAAGTATGTCAGGCTTTAAAAAAAATCAGGCTTTAAAAAATTTTATATATTATATTATATTTTATTTTTATTTTTAGGAACATGATCTTGCTCTGTTGCCCCAGATGAAGTGCAGTGGTATAATCATAGCTCAAGGTAACCTCAAACTCCTGGGCTCAAGTGATCCTCTCACCTCAGCCTCCCAAGTAACTAAGACTACAGGTATGCACCACCATGCCTGACTTTTTTTTTTTTTTTTGGAGAGATACAGTCTCACCACGTTGCCAAGGATGGTCTCAAACTCCTGGCCTCAAGTGATCCTCCAGCCTCAGGCTCCCAAAGTGCTCTTTAGCAAAGCTCATTACCCAAGATAAGGGAAAAGATATTCAGGTATGGTGACATGCCTGTAGTCCCAGCTACTTGGGTGGCTGAGGTGGCGGAGGATTGCTTGAGCCCAGGAGTTCGAGGTTTCAGCGAGCTATGATTACACCATTGCACTCCAGCATGAGTGACAGAGTGAGACTTCCATCTCTTAAAAAAAAACAAACAGAAATGTTCACACAAAGACATGTACATAAATGTTACCAGAAGCATTATTCATAATAGCCAAAAAGTGGGAACAACCCAAATATCCAACAACTAATGTTTGAAAAACAAAATGAGACATATCTATACAATGTAACACTATTAAGCAAAAAAGGACTTAAGTACTGGTACATGCCTGAGCAAATAAACCTCAAAACATTATACTGAATGGAAGAAGCAAGTCTTATAAGACCACATATTGCATGATACTATTTACATGAAATGTTCTCAGAAGGCAAATCTGTAGAAACAGTAGCTTATTGGTTGCCTAGTCTGATTACTAATGGATATGAAGTTTTGGGGAGGGGGTATATGAAAATGTTCTAAAAATTAATTTTTTTTTGGAGACAGAATCTCACTCTGTCACCTAGGCTGGAGTGCAGTGGTGCTATCTCAGCTCACAGCAACCTCCAGCTCCCAGGTTCAAGCGATTCTCCTGCCTCAGCCTCCTGAGTAGCTGGGATTATAGGTGTGCCACCATGCCCGACTGTGTGTGTGTGTGTGTGTGTGTGTGTGTGTGTGTGTATTTTTAGTAGAGACAGGGTTTCACCATGTTGGCCAGGCTGGTCTCGAACTCCTGACCCCAGGTGATCCACCCATCTCGGTTTCCCAAATTTCTGGGATTACAGGCGTGAGCCACCACGGCAGGCCCTAAAATTAAATCATAGAGATGGTTGCACAATTCTGTGAAAATAATTTTTTTCTTTTTTCCTCTGTTTTTTTTTTTGAGACGGAGTCTCGCTCTGTTGCCCGGGTTAGAGTGCAGTGGCAAGATCTCGGCTCACTGCTAGCTCCACCTCCCGAGTTCATGCCCTTCTCCTGCCTCAGCCTCCTGAGTAGCTGGGATTACAGGCGCCCGCCACCATGCCCAGCTAATTTTTTGTTATTTTTTTTTTAGTAGAGACGGGGTTTCACCGTGTTAGCCAGGATGATCTCGATATCCTGACCTCGTGATCCGCCTGCCTCAGCCTCCCAAAGTGCTGGGATTACAGGTGTGAGCCACTGCGCCTGGCCTGTAAAAATAGTTTTAAAATGAAATTATATACATTAAATGGTTACATTTTATGATATGTAATTTGTACCTTATGTTTTCACATATCATAGTGCAATGAGGGTTGGGGGAATCTCTGCTAAAGTCAATCATTCAGAGACCCATGTTTACAGAGTCTGTTGCTTTCAGTATATGATTCTGATAGATTTCTTATGTTGAAATCCAGCTTGCAAATGGTGGATGGGAGAGACAGTGGAAGTTATACAGGGTGTTTTAAGCAACTTTCACAAGATTTTTTTAAAAAATATAAAATCAGCTGGGCACGGTGGCTCATGTCTGTAATACTAGAACTTTGAGAGGCCAAGGTGGGGGGATTGCTTGAATCCAGGAGTTTGAGGCCAGCCTTGACAACATAGTGTAACCCCGTCTCTACAAAAAAATACCAAAAAAAAAATTAGCCAGGCATGGCGGTGTGCCACCCATAGTCCCAGCTACTCAGGAGGCTGAGGTAAGAGGATCACCTGAGCCTGGGAGGTCAACACTGCAGTGAACCGTGATCACGACACTGCACTCCAGCCTGGGTGACAAAGTGAGACCCTGTTTCAAAAAAAAAAAAAAAAGATAAAGTCATGACTCTCATACAAACACAAAATAAACATGTGCCGAATATTTTAATTACCTTCTTATTTAATGAGTGTACCAGTAAGCTGTTGTAAATAGTCCAAAGAAGAATTCAAGGAACCACAGATAAATAGGTAAGAAATACGAGGGTGAATTTACAAAAAGATGCAAAACTAAAGAATTGCATTCAACTAGACATAATATATTTGCATTTCTATGGAGAATAATATATTACAAGTTTTCGATAAAGTACAGGGTTGTAAAACATCTCAAAGACAATGAAAAGCAGATATAATATGGAAGAGTGCTTTAAATAATGCCTAGATTTACACTGAAAATACAAAGTAATATTTTATTCATGTCTAATTCTTTTTCAAGTTTCCCTGACAGTCTTTCCCACTTTGTGTAATAATCTAAAGAACGTTCATTCTTCATCACATGGGACATGACTGAAAGCAGTATATCCCATTTTAGCCCATATTCCATGGCCAGAACTTGGTCACTTGACTCCATGTAACTCAAGGTGTGTTTGGAAAGAGTTGCTAATGAGGAAAAAGCAAACAGTTTTGATGAGCACTGGCAGATCCTCTACTACAGAAAGTTGTCACAGTAATCAGGGTGGAATATGCTTATGTCTCAAGCTATTTATTTGAGATATTTAGATTTTCCTGTTGAGTTTGCCATTTATTATTATAAAATTTTCCTATCTCTCATGATATTTCTTGCCATAGTCTGATGTTAATATAGCCATGCAAGCTTTTTTTTTTTTTTGGTTACTGTATGCATGGTATATATTTTTTCCTCTCCTTACATTTCACCTCTATTTACCCTTATATTTAGAAGGTCTTTCTTACATCTGTTCTTTTAAAAATAAATTAAAGAGACAGGGTCTCACTCTATCACGCAGGATGGAGTTCAGTGGCACGACCATAGCTCACTGTAACCTCAAATTCCTGGGCTCAAGTGATCCTCCTATCTCAGCCTCCTAAGTAGCTAGGAATACAGGTGTGCACCTGTATAATATATATTATATAATGTATGCTACATTATATAATATATATAACATATATACCTGGCTAATTTTTTAATTTTTTTGTAGAAATGGTGTCTCCCTATGTTGCCCAGGCTGGTCTTGAACTCCTGGCTTCAAGCGATCCTCCCACCTTAGCCTCCCAAAGCACTAGGATTATAGGCATGAGCCACCACAACCAGTTCTCTTTAAAAATGTTTTTCATAAATCACATTAGCATAAAAATTTCTTGTCATCTATCACTATCAATAAATATATACTAAAGGCCTGAAAACACCCCCAAACACACACACACAGACAAAATAATTGTGAGGGGAAATTAGCCTATGCTTGAAATGCAAAATTCAATATGATGTAAAATTGGCTAATTCTAACATTTTAAAATTACTCTCTTTAAATTTTTAAAATTTCTTTTTATCTCATTGTGGATATATATACATAATAAAAACTTCCATTTTAACTATCGCTAAGCATACAATTCAATGACATTAATTAGATTCACAATGTTGTGTAACCATCACCACTATTTCCAAAACTTTTCCATCACGCCAAACAGAAACTCTGGTACTCATTTAGCAATAACTCCCCATTCCCCCTATTTGCCTGGAAACCTCTGATCTACTTTCTGTCTCCATGAATTTGCCTATTTGACCTGGGTCATATAAGTGGAATCATACAATATTTGTCCCTTTGTGTCTGGTTTATCTCATTTGGCATAATGTTTTTCAGGATCACCTATGTTGTTGCATGTACCAGAGCTTTGGTTCTGTTTTATGACTGATAATCCTGTTGTATACTCCATTTTGTTTATCCATTTATCTGTTGATGGACATTTGGGTTGATCCACCTTTGGGCTATTATGAATAATTCTGCAAGGAATATTGGCATAAAAGTATCTGTTTGACTCCCTATTTTCAATGCGTTGGGGTATATACACAGTGGCGGTATTATTGGGTCATAGGGCAATTCTGTCCTTTCCAAGAAACCACCAAAATGTTTCTCACAGTGGCTGAACCGTTTTACATTCCCACCAGCAATGTACAGGGGCTCCAATTTCTTCACATCCTTACCAAACACTTGTAGGAAAACAGTCTGTTGCCAGTCAAGAGTAAGGCCATCTTGAAATGAAACTGACATAATGACTAATGTTTGAAGCATGCATACCAAGACATTGCTACGGTAAGTTCAAAAAACAATGCCCGTGCCATAGACAATCCCTCATAGAGATGCTTCTCTAAATTCCTATTGGTCATGAGTTTTGCAAGAGAGTCTGAAACATGGCCAGCTGAACATGTCTTAACAAAAAAGCTTGTGATATAAAGAATTCCTTCTGGAGGGTGAGTGCAGTAATCCGCAGTCTCATGGTTGCCCAAGACATCACTTCTGTTTATAAGTCCCTATTGAATGTTTCTGAGAAACTGGATTTATTAGCTTCTTTCTTTGGCTTCTCAGTTCCCTTGGACTGTAGGGGTAGGTTTGAATATACCTGTTCACTGGGGAATAAGACTTAATACTTTCTGCTTTAAAAAAAAATTACACCTATCCTAGAAGATGTGGAGTGGTATCTCATTGTGGTTTTGGTTAGCATTTCCCAAATGACTAATAACTTGGACCATCTTTTCACATGTTTAGTGGCCATTAGCACATCCTCTTTGGAGAAATGTCTATTCATGTCTCCACTCATTTTTCAGTGGGGTTGTTTTTTGAGTTGTAGGAGTTGTTTAAATGTTCCTGATATTAAACTCTTACATGATTTGCAAATATTTTCTCTATTTCTGTAGGTTACTGTTTCACTTTCATGATAATGTCCTTTGATGCACAAAATTTCAAAATTTTGATGAAGTCCAATTTATCTATTCTTTTCTGTTATTGCTTGTGCTTTTGGTGTCATAATTAAGAATCTATTGCCAAATCTAAGGTTGTGAATATTTTTTCTTTTTTTTTTTAATAGAGATGGGATCTCACTAGGTTGCCCAGGTGGGTCTCCAACTCTCGAGGTCAAGTAAGCCTCCTGCCTCAGCCTTGCAAAGTTCTGGCATTACAGGTGTGAGTCACCATGACAGGCCCTATGGTCATGAGGATTTTTCCTTTATGTTTTATTCTAACAGTTTTACAGTTTTAGTTTTTAAGTCATTGGTCTAGTTTGAATTAATTTTTGTATGTAGTGTGAGAAGGAAGCCAATTTCATTCTTCTGCATGTGGAAATCCAGTCATCCGGTGCCATTTGTTGAAGAGATTATTTTTCCTTACTTAATATACTTGGCACCCTTGTAAAAATCAACTGGACATACATGTATAGGTTTATTTTTGGACTCTAAATTCTATTCCATTGATCTAAATGTTTATAGTTATGCAAATACCACATTGTTTTGATGACTGTAGCTTTGTAGTAAGTTTTGAAAGCAGAAACTGCCTCCGACTTTATTCTTCTTTTTCAAGATTGCTTTGGCTATTCACAGCCCTCTGGACTTCCAAATAAATTTGAGGCCAATATAGTCTGAATTGATACAAAGTTAACTTCAATATCATGCAAAAACTCTGCTCTTATATAGTTCTGTTTCCTGCTTCCCTTTATGTTATTGTCCCAAGTTACATCATTATATATTGTGTGTCTGATAACATAAATTTATAGTTTTTTTTTTTCTTGAGATGGAGTCTCGCACTCTCGCCCAGGCTGGAGTGCAGTGGTGCCACCTCGGCTCACTGCAAGCTCCGCCTCCCGGGTTCATGCCATTCTCCTGCCTCAGCCTCCCGAGTAGCTGGGACTACAGGCGCCAGTCACCACGCTAATTTTTTGTATTTTTAGTAGAGACGGGGTTTCACCATGTTAGCCAGGATGGTCTCAATCTCCTGACCTTGTGATCCACCCACCTCGGCCTTCCAAAGTGCTGGGATTACAGGCATGAGCCACCACGCCCAGCCATTTATAGTTATTTTTATGTATTTTCTTTTACACTGACACTAGCTTCTATAAGTGCCCATGTAGTCTTTTCTTACTGAAAATCTTTCTTACTCTCTATATACCATCAAGTTACTGTCTAGTGTCCTTTCATTTTGACCTGAAGGATTCCCTTTAGAATTTCATGTAGGACAGTAACAAATTCCGACTGCTTTTGTTTATCTCATTTACCATTCTGAAAATCCTAGAGCCCTTAAGAATTATGCTAAACCTATTTTGCTGTGCTCTATAAATGGAACAACAAAGCCTGGGTGACAGCACATCTGTTTATAACATGGTTTACTGAATATTTTAAGCCCACTGTTGAGACCTACTACTCAGTAAGAAAATATTTCTTTCTAAATAGTACTGCATATTGGCAATGCACCTAGTCACCCAAGAGCTCTGGTGGAAATAAATGCTGTTTTCACACCTGCTAACACAATATCCATTCTGTAGCCCATGGTAAAGGAGTAATTTTGACTTTCAAGTCTTATTTCAAAAATATATTTTGTAAGTTTACAGCTGCCATAGCTAGTGATTACTCTGATGGATCTGGGCAATGTAAATGGAAAAAACTCTAGAAAGGATTCACCATTTTAGGTGCCACTAAGGACATCTGTGATTCATAGGAGGGAGTCAAAATATCAACATTAATAGGACTTTAAAATAAGTTGATCCCAATGCTCATAAATGATTTTGAGGAACTCAGAACTTCCATGAAGGAAGTAAATCTAAATGTGGTGGAAATAGCAAGGAAACTAGAAGTGGAGCCTGAAGATTTTAGTCCTTTCTCTTCCTTGTGTCTTTGCTCTACCAGTAGTAGGCTTTATATTTTCATATGTTTTCATGATGGTAGATATTGCTCTTTTGCTTCCAGGTGTAGGACTCCCATACGAATTTCTTGTTTAGCCAGCCAGTCTACTGGTGATGAATTCCCTAAGTTTTTATTTGCCTGGGAAAGACTTTCTTTCTTCTTCATTTATGACTTCATTTAACTTTTCTGGATATAGCATCCTTGTTTGCTGGAGAGTTACTGTGTTCCTTTGGAGGTGTCATTTTTTCCTTAGTTTTTTTTTTCATATTTCTTGTGTTCTCAACATTGATATATACACATCTGGTGAAAAAGTCACTTCTTCCATTTTTTTGAATTTGCTTTAGTAGAGGAGGACTTTTTCCTAAAGATGTATCTATGGTGACTGCAACTATGTGTCTATGGCTGACTGCAAGCTTTACTTCCCGGGCTTAAGCAATCCTCCTACCTCAGCCTCCCAAGTAGCTGGGACCACAGGCATACACCACCTGGCTAAGTTTTGTATTTTTTGTAGAGACTGGGTTTCACCATGTTTCCCAGGCTGGTCTCAAACACCAGAGCTCCAGTAATCTCCCTGCCTTGGCCTCCCGAAGTGCTAGGATTACAGGCATGAGCCACTGCACCTGGCCAGGTAGGGCACTTTTTAATTTAATTTAATTTTTAAATTTTTTTTTTGAGACAGAATCTCACTCTGTTACCCAGGGTAGAGTGCACTGGTGGGATCTGGGCTCACTGCAACCTCTGCCACCCGGGTTCAAGCGATTTCCCTGCCTCAGCCCCCTGAGTAGCTGGGATTACAGGTGCCCACCACCACACTTGGCTAATTTTTGTATTATTAGTAGAGATGGAGTTTCACCATGTTGGCCAGGCTGGTCTTGAACTCCTGACCTCAGGTGATCCGCCCACCTCCCAGAGTGCTGGGATTACAGGCATGAGCCACTGCGCCTGGCCCGGGGTAGGGCACTTTAGTTTTTATTTTGGGTCCATGCAGCAGTGTAGTCTCCATATAATTTCTTCAGCTGTAAGCAGTTTCAGTGGTACCTGTGATTTCCTCAGTGGCTTAGAGCACCATCGTTGGTGTAGACTGTAGTAGTTTTGCTGGAGATAGGGATTCCAGGTGGGCCAGCCCTTGTGCCCCAGGGCCCAAGGGAGTGGGAGTGGTGGGCCAAGCATGCTTGTCAACGGGGCTCCTGGGATGCAGATATGCAGGAGCTATTGAGCACCAATGCAGGGTGAAGTGTGGTAGGGTCTGGGCTCTCAAAATGGCACTGTGCTGCAGCTACTTAGGACTCAGGGTGTGTGTAAGACCCAGTGTATGCCCCATCTCTGTAGCAATGCCATCATGTGGTCTCCAGGCAGCTACTATGTTGGTCTTAGGGCCTGTGAGGGTTGAGGAAATTTCCCATGCTAGGATTGCAAGAAACCATGGTGGAAATGTGGACTGCTAGGGAATCTCTCACATACCCTTTCCTCACATTGGGGTGTTTCTCTGGGTTCTCAGTCAATCTCCAGTGGCTGAGCAGGCTACCTCACCTCCCTCTGCTTCCTTGCCTTAGGTGTTTTCTATCACTTCTCTGTTGAATTATATGTCCTCTCTTAGATGATCTACTCAAAGTGTGATTATATACTTGCCATTTTTGGTTCCTCTTTGTGAATGAGGTGAGTACCAAATGCCTTTAGTCAGTCATCTTGAAGCCCGCCCTCTAAACATAGGTTTTATATTCACTAGGAAACCAAAAATATTGTGTGACTTCCTTATGATGATTGATTGCTTTGTTGTGGTGGTGTAGAATGAAGCCTGCAGTATCTCCAAGGAATGCCTGTAATCTGTTCACTTTTTAAAATTTACTTTCTGTTCCTCACACATATAATTCCAATTGTTTTATCTCCAAGTTTGCTGATTTACCTTCTGTCTGCTCAAATATGCTGTTAAACCTCTATACTGAATTTTTCATTTCAGTTATACTTTTCATCTCCAGAATTTCTCTTCAGTTCTTTTTAATAATTTCTATCTGTTTATCGATATCACCATTTTGTCTAATAAGTTCAATGTCTAGGCAGTGAGGACTGATTCAGGAACACTCATGTGAAAAGCTTCTATTTCCCAAACATATTATCACAGCATTCTCCAGCACTTTTTAACTGAAAAACCCTTCAGATCAGTATATGACAAAATTCATTAGAATTTTAAAAAATTGGCCGGGTGCAGTGGCTCACGCCTGTAATCCCAGCACTTTGGGAGGCCGAGGTGGGCAGATCATGAGGTCAGGAGATCAAGACCATCCTTGGCTAACAGGGTGAAACCCCGTCTCTACTAAAAATACAAAAAAATTAGCCAGGCGTGGTGGTGGGCGCCTGTGGTCCCAGCTACTCGGGAGGCTGAGGCAGGAGAATGGCATGAACCCGGAAGGCAGAGCTTGCAGTGAGCCAGATCGCACCACTGCACTCCAGCCTGAGTTACAGAGCGAGACTCCGTCTCAAAAAATAAATAAATAAATAAAATAAAGATTAATTTCGGGAGGACTGCCATCTTAACAATACTGAGTTTTCCCATCCTTGACCAAGGTATATTTCTCCGTTTCTTTTGTGTTATTTATTCTTATTATATGTTCCTTAACTTCTTCCAGCAATGTTTTATAGTTTTCACTGTGCAGGTCTTTCATGTTTCATTAAATTTATCTAAGTATTTCACATTTTTTCTATCATTGTAAATGGGATTATATTTCTAATTTCATTTCCTAATTGGTCACTGTTAGTCCAAGCTGCAACATTTTATAAACCCCCAACCATTTCACAGACCCTGGTCAAGGCGATTCTTCAGGGGCTTGGGCCATGAGAAACATCCTACCTAACCACCTGACAACAGGAACATCTTTATCAAATGCTGCCAGGCAGCAAGCCATACCACCCAGACCCCTTCCACCCAGACCTATAATTACCCCAGCCTGAAAGCAGCAGTGGGCTCCGGCACTAAGCTGGTCCCCTCTCTGCAGGTTTTTGCTGGCAATAAACCTGTGTTTCTGTTGAGCCACTCTCTCTTTAACCCTCACCTTTCCTTCAAAACCTAACTTTTTTTGTATCATTATAAATGGAACTGTATTTCCAATTTCATTTCCTAATTGGTCACTGCTAGCATATAGAAATAAAATTGATTTTTGTAACCTCATATCCTATGACCGTGCTAAATTCCTTTATTAAGGTTCTAGTAGCTTTTCTTTTTAACGGAAAACGAAGAGTCTCACTCTGTCACCCAGGCTAGAGTGCAGTGGTGCGATCCTGGCTCACTGCAATCTCCGCCTCCCGGGTTCAAGAGATTCTCCTGCCTCAGCCTCCCGAGTAGCTGGGATTACAGATGTGCGTCACCACACCCAGCTAATTTTTGTATTTTTAGTAGAGACAGGGTTTCACCATGTTGGCCAGGCTGGTCTTGAACTCCCAACCTCAGGTGATCCACCCGCCTCAGCCTCCCAAAGTGCTGGGATTACAGGCGTAAGCCACCGTGCTGGGCCTCTAGTAGCTTATTAATATGTATGAGCCCTCACACCCCTTTTTTGGAGACAGGGTCTCACCCTGTTGCCCAGGCTGGAGTGCAGTGCTGTGATAATTCACTGCAACCTCAAACTCTGGTCTCAAGTGGTCCTCCTGCCTCAGGGCCTTTTAAGTAGCTAGGACTATAGGTATGCACCACCACACCTAATTTTTAAACTTTCTGTAGAGACAGGGTCTCGCAATGTTGCCCAGGCTGGTCTTGAACTCAGTCAATCCTCCTCCCTCAGCCTCCCAAGTTGTTGGGATTATAAGCATGAGCTAACACACTGGGCCTTGGTATGAGCTTCTGAAGAAAAAAAAAATTCCATCACTGAGGAGATTGTTTTCCTAATTCTACAAGTAAGATATATTATTTCAGGAGGCTTTGGAAAGAACTGAAAAGTGTAAAAATAGAAAAGGAAACACCAATTTTCCCAATATATAGGCTAACTACTGTTAATATTTTGACAAATCTCCTTAGTTTTGGGCAACACTCATTTTTTACATTTATTTTGACATATTTGAGCTTATTCCATATTAACAATTATTTATCATGCTTTTGTAACACATGACAGCATTTTTCCTTTACCAAACTTTTTGTGTACATATTTTAATGCCTGCATAATCTTCCATTACACGGATATGCCACAAATATTATGCTAGTGTACATTTTTTATTTTGCAAATTATGCACTGTCATAAATATTTCAGTGATCATCCTCATACATATTTCTGTCTTCATTACAAGTTAGACCCTTAAGGTGTTAACAATAGTAATATTATTAATGGCACCTACTATGTGCCAGGCACTCTTTTATGTGATTCATACATATCATCTCAATCCACATGACAACGCTTTGAGGTAGATACTAGTAGTAACCTCATTATACAGTTGAGGAAATTGAGCCACAGGTTATTAGCAATGTTAAGAGCCCCAGTTAAGTGACTATTCTACTCCCTTAATGAAAACCATTTCTGATAGGTATGTTGTATGTGGGCATGGTGTGTACACAGTGAGAAGAGCAGCAGGAAACATGAAACCCAGGACCTAGTTCTGAGTCTGACTTCACTGAAAATGTGAGACCGGGGCCAATTCACTTGATCTCAATTGTACAACGACAAGTATGAGCTAGAGGCTGCCATGTTCCTCGTAGTTCTCAAGTCTCCTGATTCTAACCATCATTTCTAGGTTTTTTCCTCAGAGAGAGATCAAGATCTCTGGTTGGCTTCAGCAATACTTCATCTATCATTCAACAATCAATCATTGAGCAGCTAATATTTATGCCAGAAAATGGAGAATCATGGTCAGTCCCTATATACAACAGACTGATTTATAGAATGAAAGAGAAAATTAAAATAGATCCTCTTCCTGAATCTTTTGTGGGTTATTAACTTACCAGAGAATCTGAAGACTGGGATCCTCTCCATAGAATGGAAAACCTTTGTACAAACAGAATAAATGTGTATACAACATTACAAGCTGTTTATTGATCCTCAGAAATGAAACCTATATCCACTATTTGTCAGTGATTTTCCCAGGCTGTTGAGTTCTGATTTAGGCAAAAGGGAAAAACCATGTATGACTGTAAGGGAAGTGAGAACTCAGTAAATTCTTATAAGCACACAAGCAGATTTCAATTAAATAACAGATATTAGGGTGCGGCAATATTATTAATAATCACAGCCAGTAACTACAGAGAACATAATATATGTCAGGCACTATTCTAAGCTGTTTCCATTTACTCATTTAATACTCACCATAATCCTACCAGGTAAGTACTATTATTATCGCTAATTTACAGATGAGGATATCAGTAAGTTTGGCACAGAGAAGCTAAGCAGCATGTTCAAGATCACCCAGCTAGTGGGGTTTCAACCTGGGTAGTCTAGCTCAAGTCTACGCTCTTAAACACTAATCTTTCTTTATAAAGATAAAAGACTACCTTGAGAAAGAGGGTATCTTTGGACTGTGCTCTGTTTATCACATGAGGACACTTGCTCTAAATATTGTTTAAATACTTGTTCCCACTAAAATGGGGACCCTCCCTGATATGTTCAAATGCCCAATGTTCCCCTAGGTCCTAACATCCAGAGAATTACTGTGTTTTTAAATTCTCAGGAGCTTTTGCAGTGCTAATAAGAGTGGAAAAAGTGGAACTCTGTGACCCAAAACAATTTAGAATAGGAAAGCTCATTAACAGGTGGTACTCAAAAGCTTCTTTGATGGTAGAATAGAGAAACTAGATATCCTCTTACAATATTTAAAAGTTTCTTAAAATAATTATTACAGCAACATTAAACAGACTATAAAACTCAGTCAAAATCTCCTTATCTAACAAATCAATTCTGTTCAATTATCTGTATACTTTCAATTCTTGCCCACATGCAAATGTACTTAAAAATGGGTTAGCACTGGTAGTGGAGATGTGTTGTTTTTAATTGTACTACATTATAAGCATTTTTCTTGCTGTTAACCAAAATATGGTTTCTACCAGACACATAAAACATACCAAACACTACTAAATGTCCCAGAAGAGAGACATAGTCAAGAAAACAATGACATATTGACTGAAATATTATTTTCCATCTTTTGTTGCATTAACTGTATCATTTCTTAATTCTCAGCAACAACTCTCCCTATAGTAGCATACTCATTTCTTTTCAAATGAAGGGGTTCTCGCTCAACAACTCACCTATTTAATAATTCCTTCTCAGATTCTAGCATTTAAGACTTGGTCAAGAATGCTCTCAGGCCAATTACTTCTGTAGGAATTCATGAAAAGAAGAAAATCTGATGGATTTGTGTACTGAAATAAAATCTGTGGTTTCTTTCCCTTCCAGGACCAATTCTCTAATGTGCAATAGGATAGTAACAAGACTGAAAGCATTTCCACATAGATTCAATTTGTACAGCTTATCTCCAGGAGTTCTCCAATGCAAAATAAAGTCATTGCTCTTTGTGAAAAATTCCCATATTTATTAGTAAGCATTTTCTCTAATATGATTTGTCTGGTATCCAATAAGGTTAGAGGTATTAACAAGCGCTGTCCCACATTGATTGCATGTTAAGAACTGCTCTCCAGTGTGAGCTATTTGATGAACTATAAATGGAGAGTTCTGGCTGAAGATAATGCCACATTGATTACATTTATAGGTCTCTTCTCCAACATGAATTCTCTGGTGCTTAATGAGGTCATTCTTCCGGATGAAGGCTTTCCCACACTGACAGCATTCATATGGTTTCTCTCCAGTGTGTATCCTCTGATGCACAATAAGGGCAGAACTCTGGCTGAAAGATTTTCCACAATCATGACACTCATATGGTTTCTCTCCAGTGTGGGTTCTTTGATGTGAATAAAGGTGAGAGCTTCGACTAAAACATTTTCCACAATCCTTACACTCAAAAGGTTTTAGTCCAGTGTGAATTCTATGATGCACAACAAGGTGAGATCTCTGGCTGTAAGACTTTCCACATTCATTGCATTCATAGGGCCTCACTCTCACATGGGTTCTCTGATGCAGAATGAGATGTGTGCTCTGTCTGAAAGATTTCCCACATTCAGGACATTCATAGGGTTTCTCTCCAGTATGTGTCCTCTGGTGTCTAATAAGCCTAGAGCTATGAACAAAAGATTTCCCACACTGATTACATGTGTACAGTTTGTCTCCTGTATGAGTTCTCTGATGAGTAACAAGGTGAGAGAACCAGCTGAAGGATTTTCCACATTCTTTACATTCATAGGGTTCCTCACCAGTATGGGTCTTTTGATGTCCAATGAGGTGAGAACTCCGGCTGAAAGACTTTCCACATTCTTTACACTCATAGGGTTTTTCTCCAGTATGAATAAGCTGATGCCTAGTAAGATTAGAGCGCCAGCTGAAGAATTTTCCACATTCCTTACATTCATAGGGTTTCTCTCTATGTATGCCCTTTGATATACCAAGAGATGAACCATGAGTAAGAGAGTTGTCATTATCAGGGCATTTGTAGGATTTATCACCTGTGTGAGTTCTTGCAAACTGAATAAGGTGAATGTTTTGACAGAAAGTTTGACCACATTCATTACTGTTACTTGCACAACTGTCCTGATGACCATTAAGAACTAAATCATGTTTTAAACTTTTAGTATGTGAGTCACGTTTATGGAAATACTCTCTCAGTACTAGCTGAGCAGGAAGAAGACAGTTTCCCCCATATTTACCACTTTCAGAGACTCTCTCCTGAGTAAGTACTTTCTTTTGGGTGAATGCCACTTGCCTCAAATGTCTCTCTGGGTTTTCCTGATACTTGTCTAACTGGTCTCTACATTTCCAGACTTCTTCTAATGACAAATACCAGAGATCATTCCTTGCCATTCCTTCCATTTTAATGTCACAGGATTGCTTATCTTTAAAAATGCTCCTGCTGGAAACTGATGATTTGATTTCAAATGCAGTCTCTGAATCTGAAAGAAATGAAAAATGTTTGTGTAACTAAACAGAGTATTAAGGTGAGAATGCTAGGATGTATGTGGAGACAAAGTATGCAAGATGTACACAGTTGCTTTCAAATATGGCTTTATAACTTTGATAGAGAATGAGAAAAGGAAGAATGGAGCGGTAAACAATAAATGCATTGTGGTATACAGTACTCACAAAGGGCAAAAGGAGTAAGGAGAAGCCACAGGACACAGCATGACACATGGGATCAGGGTATCAATGGTGAGGGTAGAAATAAGGGAAATTCCATAAAAAGGACTGCACTCTCATTTTCTAATCCAGATATTAACAGTCTAAGTTCCTCACCTGTCTACTTGTTGTCAGGACTTTCCCCTGACACACATTCTTCACATTACTATCAATTTAGTATTCTCTCTCTTTTTTTTTTTTTTGAGACAGTTTCGCTCTTGTTGTCCAGGCTGGAGTGCAATGACACAATCTTGGCTCAATGCAACCTCCGCCTCCCAGGTTCAAATGATTCTCCTGCCTCAGCCTCCCAAGTAGCTGGGATTACAGGCACCTGCCACCATGCCTGGTTAATTTTTAATATTTTTAGCAGAGACAGGGTTTCACTATGTTGGCCAGGCTGGTCTTGAACTCCTGACTTCAGGTGATCCACCCGCCTTAGCCTCCCAAAGTGCTGGGATTATAGGCGTGAGCCAGTGCGTCCGGCCCAATTTAGTATTCTTAAACCATGAATGCAGCCATACGTCAGGCAATGCTTTCTATCCAAATCACAGAAGCACTATAGAATAACACCCAGATGAGTGACACAACAGACCTCTCAGAGCAGCTACATGACAAGGTGGAAGAGTAACTGCACAAAAGTTACCAAGATGCAAGTTCTAAGTTTTATATTACGACTAGTGGTGAATTTAGACGAGTTGCTAAACTTTGAAGAATTCATTTTGCTTATCTGTAATCTAAGGATGACAGTATTTGTTATTTAAGATTATTATATTATATAAAGCATGAGCCTATTACAGTCTCTGGCACATTTATGGTCAAAGCAATAAGATTTACAATAATCATCATCATTCTTCTCATTTTTTTGATTTCTTCGCTCTGAAACATAAGGACTTAACAACTGATAGGACTACTACCACAAGATGTGAACTTAGAATCTGAAGCCTGACCCATACGCTCTTAGAATTTCTGCCATCTGCTACCTGTGTATATTACTGCAAATTATTTCTCTTGAATAAGAGCTTTATCTGTTTCTCAATGTCTTTCAGGTAAAACATATAATCCCAAACCTAAAAAATACACTGATGATACCACTTCATCTTACATAAGTGGGGTGACATTCCACTCTTACCTGGTATTATGGGTTAAACTGTATCCCCCCCGCCGACAAAAAGGTATGTTGAAGTTTTAATCCTCAGTATCTCAGAATATGACCATATTTGGAAATACAGTCTTTCCAGATGTAATTAGTTATGATGAGGTAGTACCAGAAATAGGATGGGCCCCTAATCCAGTATGAGGGTGGTCCTCCATAAAAAAGACACAGACACAGGGGAAGAGACCATGTGAACATGGAGACCAAGACTGGAATGATATATCCACAAGCCAAGGAACACCTGGGGCCAGCAGAGCCTGGAAGAGATAAGGAAAGACCCTCTCCTAGAAGCGTAGCAGAGCCCCACTGACATCTTCATTTTAGACTTAACAGCCTCCAGCTGTGACATGATACATTTTGGTTGTTTTGAGCCACCTAACTGCTGGTTCTTTGTTACCGCAGCCCCAGGAAACTAATACACCTGGTAAATGATCCCTGTGCCAGGCCTGGTCCCTAAATGACTTCCTTATACAATCCCACCCCGACCAGTCCTGTCCCTTACCACTTAGTTAGTTCCTAGTTTCTTCCCCATCCTGATGATTTTTAATAGGAAATACACCACCCTTTCCTCCCTTTCCCCAACCCAGAACATCAGAAAATCTTATGGAGAAGTTTTTCAACCTACAAATGCCAACTGGAAGATTCTATGAAGAATATCTATGATAAGGGGGGTGCTGAGCACTTATGGAGGACAATTCTGAGTGGAGAGTTTGGTCATAAGAATGAGGTGTTTTATTAATATCCTAAAATCTTCCACATATTATGTAATACAACCATGCCAGTAAGTTATTGTCGAAGTCTGTTGGACCCATCAATCAACTAATCATCTGATTTTTAAAAATCATCATTCATTATATTTTTTGATTTGATAATGAATTTAACAGCCTTGTAGATTCTGTAAAACTCCATGCCTTTAAGCCCATGAAGTCTGAGTATTTCTTTTGACAATAAATTCTCAATAAAAATATAAACTGCTGGGTCCAGTTAATAATTGTTATTTTTGGATACTTGTCAACAGACATTCAGGAAAGCTTACTAGATGAACAAAATAGAAAAGAAAGAAAGAAGGTAAGTAATAAAAAGAAAATATAACAATATTTCCTCCCATGGTCCCAAAGAAAGACTTGCTTTGAGATACCATTTTGATACAATCACCTACAAGGCAAATACTAAAAAGTAAAAAAGAGCTTATGATAATATTTCAAAGTAGAGATTTAAACTAAGTGGAAGTTCAGAAGAGGAAGAGGCCAATACTTAATGAGGAATCATAAAAGCCTTCATGGGAAAGAACTTGAGGCTAAATTACAGGACAAGTAAGACTCAGATTTAATTTACATCACACTCAAAGTCTGAGATGCAGGGAAATGCCTATAAATAAATTTTTAAAACATTAAATACAAAACTAGATAGAGGCTGGGCATGGTGGCTCACGCCTGTAATCCCAGCACTTTGGAAGGCCGAGGTGGGCGGATCACTTGAGGTCAGGAGTTCGAGACCAGCCTAGCCAACATGGTAAAACCCTATCTCTCCTAAAAATACAAAAATTAGCTGGGCGTGGTGGTGCATGCCTGTAATTCCTGGTTCTTTGGGAGGCTAAGGCGGAAGAATCGCTTAAACCTGGGAGGCGGAGGTTGCAGTGAGCCTAGATCGCGCCACTACACTCCAGCCTGGGAGACTGAGTGAAACTCCATCTCGAAAAGAAAAAAAGATCTAAAGTACAGTAGGAAAAACTGGTGTTTCTGTGAGCAGCCATTCTGGAAAGGAAGGAGAGTTGAGGCAACAGGAATTATGAGCTCTCTGCAGCAGTTTTCTACCTGGCAGAAAACAAACTCTCAGAAAAGAAGGTGATAAGAGTCCCACTCCAGAGCTTGCACAGAGAACTGAGTTGTGGGAAGGGGTCACATGAAAGAACAAAGAGAGGCAAAAATGCAAGAAGTGATTCTATGACAAACGAAAGCACAAGATGCTAGAGTGAGTGGTAACAATTAGGAGAGCGACACGTGCAAGCGCTGAAACCAAGCACGTCAACAGACAGAGAAACCTTTGCCTCTGAATGCAAATGGAATGTAAAGACTGGCAGTGGGGAAACAGGGGCCAGATAAACTCAGTCTTCCCAGGAAGAAGGGCCTGTGAGGAGGGCCAGTGACCACTATCTCTAGAAGTTCTGGCACCTCACAGCCCATCTGGGCTGCTGCCTATGACAACTCTTGACTGGTCCTCACCAGGATGGGTCTCTTGGTGAATTTCTCTCTCCACCAGCCAGGGCTCTTCTCCCTTCTCCAACCGGAGGATCACATCTGGCTTAGTAAGCTGATAACCTGTTCACAGTGAAAGACAAAGAACAGGGTAAGAGTCAGGGGAGCTCTGAGGTAGGCACGAAGAAACATCTCAGATTCAACCTGACCACCAACCCTCTGCAGGACTGGCAGGGACTCTAAAGTTGACAGAGGCAGGAAAACTTATTTTATTTTATTTATTTATTTTGAGATGGAGTCTCTCTCTGTTGCCAGGCTGGAGTGCAGTGGCATAATCTTGGCTCACTGCAACCTCCACTTCCGGGGTTCAAGTGATTCTCCTGCCTCAGCCTCCCAAGTAGCTGGGACTATAGGAGCACGCCACCACGCCCAGCTAATTTTTGTATTTTTAGTAGAGACGGGGTTTCACCATGTTGGTCAGGATGGTCTCAATCTCTTGACCTTGTGATCTGCTCACCTCGGCCTCCCAAAGTGCTGGAATTACAGGCGTGAGCCACCATGCCCAGCCAGAAAACTCCTTAAAGAGGCATTTTTAAAACTTCAATACATTAAAACAAGTTTTCCACAAAAGCTGGAGTAAAAAAACCCTGTTCTATGCCTCAAAGAAATTAGGTCTCTGAACGCCAAGCCTATACTCTGGTGTGATACATGCTTCAGGGTCTCTGTACCTTTTGATCAATGGAGAACCAAAATCTTCAAAAACAGAGCTAGTCTTACCCAAGGAAACCAGGTTCTTATAGTTCTCCAGCATCACATTTCTGTACACGATCTGCTGAGCAGTGTCCAGCAGCTTCCACTCCTCCCTGGTGAAGTCCACAAATACATCCTTGAAGGTCACCAGTGTCTACAACATCAAACACATTTGCATTGCACCAGATATGCATCTTTGCTATCCCCCTTTCCTGATCGCTAACAGGAAGAGAAATTAAGCTGACAGCACTGGGGCAGGTAAAGTGGATGGACCACAATTTATTCTAGGAGTGAGTAGTATTTATTCTAGTCAAGTCTTAAAAGGAATGGCTATTAGGTACCTACTGTCTGAAAACAAGTTTTATGTGATGCTTTAGGTTAAAGAAAACTGTCATAAGCATTTTTATTTAAATTAAATTTTAAACAGCTATGGCAGGGGGAATCATCCATTCTCCAAAAAAGTTAACCCACTTTTATACTACGTAAATAAAGAACCTAATTCAAGTACACCTTAATGCTTAAGAGATTTACCACCCTAGCCATGTTTTATAACCTAAAATAATTATCCAAAACATTTTTCATGACTATTGGTAGGTACTAAAAAAAAAAAAAACAGAAGAGTTGGGAGATTATATTTTAGCAGTAGCAAAACAATTTGACAAAGAAACAGGAGACAGATGCAAGGCCCTTATCAGCCACATCAAAAATAAGTGTTGATTGTATCTAGAGAAAAACCTATTTGAGTGACTGAGGGTCTCTCATCAAAGACCATAAAGGTCAGAAGACAGTGGAATAATGTTTGTTTGTTTTTAAATGTTGAAAGAACAGACAAACCAGAATTTCTACGTCCAGTGAAAATATCTTTCAAAAATGATGCAAAATTAAGATATTCTCAAATGAACTAAAACTAACAGAATTTGTTGCCCGAAGTTCTGCTCTAGAAGATGTGCTGAAGGAAGTTCTTCAGGCAGAAGGGAAATGATACCAGAGAGAAACCTGAAATCTCAGAAAAGGAAGATAAATAACAAAAACAGTAGATATCTGGGTAAATATAACAGATTTGTTTTCTTCTCTGAAATTTTTCAAAAATATACAGAACAGTTGAAAGAAAGACCTGTAACATTTTCCGGTGCAGTTTTTCAACGTACACACAACTTTAACAAAAAGGGAGGAATGTAAAGGGACCCACATGTTGTAAGGCTTCTAGATTTTGCTTGAAGTAGTAAAAATTAACTCTAAGTGGACTGTAAAAGATTAGATATGTATATTCTAATCCCTACAGCAAGTATTAAAAAATACAAAAATATAAAGCTGAAAAACCAAGACATTAAGTGAAATACTAAAATATATTCAAATAATCCAAATAAAGGCAGTAAATTAAGAAGGGGGAAAAGATATACAGAGAACATATAATAAAATAACACACTTAAATCCAATTGTATTAATTAATAACATTAAACAAAAATGGTCTAAACATAACAATTAAAAAACAAGTAGCCAAACTTTATCAAGAAAAAAAAAAAGCAACCGGGTGCAGTGGCTCACACCTGTAATCCCAGCACTTTGGAAGGCTGAGGTAGGTGGATCACTTGAGTTCAGGAGTTCAAGACCAGCCTGGCAATATGGCAAAACCCTGTCTCTACAAAAAATACAAAAATTAACCAGGCGTGGTGGCATGTGCCTGTAGTCCCAGCTACTCGGGAGGCTAAGGTGAGAGGATCACTTGAACCCAGGAGCCAGATGTTACAGTGGGCTGTGATCACACCACTGTACTCTAGCCTGTGCAACAGAGTGAGAACCTGTCTAAAAAAAAAAAAAAAAAAAAAAAAGCAATAGCAAAAACCACAAGCCCTTGAGCCCTGGAGTTTCAGACCAGCCTGGACAACATAGGGAGATCCTGTGTCTACAAAAAATTTAAAAATTAGCCAGATGTGGTGGCTCATGCCTATAGTCCCAGCTACTGGGGAGACAGGTGGGAGAATCACTTGAGTCCAGGAGTTTGAGCCAGACTGCAGTGAGCTGTGATAGCACCACTGCACTCCAGCCTGGGCAACAATGAGACCCTGCCTCAAAACAAACAAACAAACAAACCACAAGCCTCAACTATCTGCTACCTAAAAGAAAACACTGGGCCGGGCACGGTGGCTCATGCCTGTAATCCCAGAACTTTGGGAGGCTGAGGCGGGCGGATCACCTGAGGTCGGGGGTTCCAGACCAGCCTGACCAACATGGAGAAACCCTGTCTCTACTAAAAATACAAAATTAGCCAGGTGTGGTGGCACATGCCTGTAATCTCAGCTACTCGGGAGGCTGAGGCAGGAGAATCGCTTGAACACAGGAGGCAGAGGTTGCAGTGAGCCAAGATATCGGCATTGCACTCCAGCCTGGGCAACGAGAGCAAAACTCCAACTCAAAAAAAAAAAAAAAAAACCAACATTGAATACAACCTAGAAACCTAGAGAGGTTAAAAGTAAAAGGACAGAAACAGATATACTATGGAAACACTAATCATACAAAAGCTAGAGTGGCTGTATTAGTATCAGACAACATAGAATTAAGAACAAAGAATATTAGCAGAGATAAAGAGGGATATTACACACTGATAAATGTGTCAATCTGCAAAAAAATTTCAAATCCTAAATAGATCAAAATGTAACATATAAATTTATAAAACTTCTGTAAGAAAACATAGGAGAAAATATTTGTCATTTTGAGTTCTTCAGAGGGTTCTTAACAATAACACCAAAAGCACAAATTGATAGGTCAGGCATGGTGGCTCACGCCTGTAATCCCAGCACTCTGGGAGGCCAAGGCAGGAGGATCATCTGAGGTCAGGAGTTCGAGACTAGCCTGGCCAACATGGTGAAATGCCGTTTCTACTAAATATACAAAAATTAGCTGGGCATGGTGATGCACACAAGTAATCCCAGCTACTTCGGAGGCTGAGGCATGAGAATCGCTTCGACGCTGGAGGCAGAGGTTGCAGTGAGCCCAGATCACACCACTGCACTCCAGCCTAGACGAGAGAATGAGACTCTGTCTCCAAAAAAATAAAAAAGAACAAATAGAAAATTGACAAAGTGAGCTTCACCAAAACTAAAAATATTTTTCCTCTTCAAAAGACATTGCTAAGAGAATGAAAAGACAAGCCAGAGACCAGGAAATAATATTTGCAAATCACATTATCTGACAAAGGACTTGTACATATAAGGTACAGAGAACCCTCAAAACTCAGTAAGAGGCTGAGCACAGTGGTTCACACCTGTAATCCCAGACTTTGGGAGGCCAAGGCAGGCCTCGGGAATGCCTCAGGATTGCCTGAGTTCAGCAGTTCGAGACCAGCCTGGGCAACACGGTGAAACCCCGTCTCTACTAAAATACAAAAAAAAAAAAAAAAAATTAGCCAGGCATGGCGTCATGCACCTGTAGTCCCAGCTACTCGGGAGGCTAAGGCAGGAGAATTGCTTGAATCCGGGAGAAGGCAAACGTTGCAGTGAGCTGATATCGTGCCACTGCACTCCAGCCTGGGCTACAGAGCAAGACTCCGTCTCCCAAAAAAAAAAAAAAAAAAAACTCAGAAAACAGACTAGTTTTCTTACTGAGCAAAAGACTAAAATAAACATTTCACCAAAGAAGAATATAGGTAGTTGGTAATAAATAAGCAAATGATGCTTAATATCATTATTTATTAGGGAAATGAAAGTTAAAATGACAGTGAGATACCTCTAAGACACTTATTAGAAAGGGTACTTTTAAAATGTGTGATACCAAGTGCTGGTGAGGATGCGGAATAACTGCCACTCCCACACATTACTGTGAGAATGCAAAAATGCTACAACCACTTTGGAAAATTTGCATATTTTTCATAAAGTTAAACGTACTCTTGGCACACACCTATCATTCTCTTGGCTAAATACCTGAGTATGAAAATTTATGTCCACACAAAAACCTGTATGCAAATGTATAAACCTGAGAAAGGGCTTTATTTATAATTGGCAAAAACTGGAAGAAACTCAAATGTCCCTCAACAGGAAATGCATAAACAAAACGTGGTACAGCCACACAGTGTAAATCTACTCAGTAATAAAAAGGAACATCCTACTGACTCATGCAACAACAGATGAACCTCCGATACATTATGCTATATGAAAGGAGCTAGAGGCTTCATACTATGAGATTCCATTTATGTGACCTTCTGGAAAAGGTAAAAATCAATAGATCAGTGGTTGCAAGGGGCTGGAGGGGGAGTTAGCATGGACTATATACACAGGGGCAGCACACAGGGAATTCTAGGATCATGGGTTTGCCCTGTATCTTGGTGTTTTGTTTTTTTTTTGAGATGGAGTTTCGCTCTTTCACCTAGGGTAGAGTGAAGTGGCACAATCTCGGCTCAGTGCAACCTCTGTTCCCTGAGTTCAAGCAATTCTCCTGCCTCAGCCTCCCAGGTACCTGAGTTTATAGGCGCCCGCCACTGTGCCCAGCTAATTTTTGTATTTTTAGTAGAGACGGGGTTCCACCATGTTGGCCAGGCTGGTCTCGAACTCCTGACCTCAAGTGATCCACCCGCCTCCGCCTCCCAAAGTGTTGGGATTACAGGCATGAGCCACAGTGCCCAGCCTGCTCTGTATCTTGAATGAAGTGGGGGCTACACAACTATATGCATCTGTCAAAAATCACAGAACTGTAAATCCAAAGTGGAAAACGTTACTGTATGTAAAAAAAAAATTTTAAATGGAATGTCCTATGAGATCTGTATGCTGGATATCTTCTCTCCTTCCCTCCAGGTTTCCTCTCCACCCTACTCTGTTCCCCAGGGAGGGTGAGCTGTGTGGATTATACCAAAGGTTTCTCTTGCCCTCTGCCTTTCTGATTTATTTCACCAATGGAGATCACCAGCTGGATATGGCAAGAAAGTTGCCCCAGTGCAGTGGTGGTGACGTAATGGAGGTACCTTGACAGATGGGAACAGCCTCTGTGAACTGCAAGTCTGGTTTCCAGAACCTGTTCTCATCCCTTCAGGCCTAATGGTGATGACACTCTGCTCCCACCTCATTCTCGTATTACTGAAGTTCAGTGTGCCTGCTACTTTCCACTAGTCCTTGACTCACTCATTGCTGCTCAGTTTCTAAGAAGCCTGCCCAGTTTTAACTTCAGTGGCTATCTGATTTCTGGCCTGGTGCTTTTAGCATTCCTATAAGTAATACATTGCACTTTTACTGTGAACACAGAGACAAAGCATATCATGGGGACACCACTGAAAGGTGCATGACATGTTAGCCAAGAACCGGATTTGAAATCAGGCGAACCTGTGGTCAAATCTGTACATCTTAAATTTTGTGTTTTTTTTGTTTTTTTCTTTTTGTGGGGGTGGGGGGGTGGGACAGAGTTTTGCTCTGACACGCGGGCTGGAGTGCAGTGGCATGATCTTGGCTCACTGCAACCTCCGCCTCCCGGGTTCAAGCAATTTTCCTGCCTCAGCCTCCGGAGTAGCTAGGACTATGCCACCACGCCTGGCTTGCTTATTTTTGTATTTTCAGTAGAGACAGGGTCTTACCATGTTGGCCGTGCTGTTCTCAAACTCCTGACCTCGGTGATCTGCGCACCTCAGCCTCCCAAAGTGCTGGGATTATAGGTATGAGCCACCGCACCTGGCCTATATACCTTAAATTTTGGATTGGATAATGCTTATTTAACTTCACCATGAGTCAGTTCTCTTAGCTGTAAAATACCGTCTGTCTCATAGTATTATACACACTAACACAACAGTACAATACCGTGTTAAAGAAGACAGAGATGAGAAGTGCCATCTGCTGCAGTCCAGCATGTACAGACATGCCAAGAAGGTATATAGCCTAAGTATGCTTTCATTCCTCCTAATACTTTTGAAATATCTTGTGTGCTTCTTGTTCTTTGCTGGAAGTAAGCATTATCCTGAATTGTGTTGTTTATTATTTTCAAAATGCCCTTACCTCATATGAATATAATTGTAAACGAATAACTGGTTGGCCGGGCGGGGTAGCTCACACCTGTAATGCAGTGCTTTGGGAGGCCGAGGCAGGCGGATCACCTGAGGTCAGGATATTGAGACTGGCTAACACAGTGAAACCCCGTCTCTACTAAAAATACAAAAATTTAGCCAGGCATAGTGGCACACGCCTGTAGTCCCAGCTACTTGGGAGGCTGAGGCAGAAGAATCACTTGAACCTGGGAGGTGGAGGTTGCAGTGAGCTGAGATCGCGCCACTGGACTCTAGCCTGGGTGACAGAGCAAGACTCCGTCTAAACAACAACAAAAAAAGAATAACTGTTTGTAAATACCTGTTTTTGAATTTTTTGGTCAGCATGAGTTGATCTTTTTCTTGTATTAGCCTCCAGTCCATTTTAAATGTAACACTAATCTCATTCCATTCTGTCATATTTTCCACTACTATTCTACTATTTTTATTTTGTATATATTTGAAAATTTCTATAATAAAAGAAGAGAGGGAAAGACCAAAGCCCACAGTGATCTGTCTTCTTCCTAACTCACCTGGAAACAAAACAAAAACCTAATTCTAGTCTGCTGGAGAAGAAGATATAATTTCTGAAGATCTTTGGCAAAGGAACTAAAGCAAAAAGGAATTCCCAGTTGGAAACTGGGAAGAAAGCCCAGCTTACCCGGGACCAGGCAGTTAGTGACTTAGCATCCATGCCCTCCTTGTTCTTGATGATACTTCCTTGAGTGACAGCAGAGTGCTGAGGAGACAAAGCTGGGAAAAAGAAAGAAACATAAGTTAAGTTTGCTATGACTGGGAGGCTCCCTAAATTGTCAGTCTAAACTTCTTCATACCAGCTGGGTATGACACAAACACCCACTATACAGAGGAACATCAGAGATATTCTATAAGCAAATCTACAGTGCCCGAAGCTCCCCAAGATTAGGAAGAGAAGAGCTACATAAATTGCATTTTTACCCCCTTAATCTCTGGAGTTCCACACCACATTTGAAGATTTAAAACTGAATGATCCTACCTACCATTACAAATTTTTTTTTTGCGGAAAAAAATACCAAACCTGACCTAATCAAATAGTCTCACTTTACAGATTAAAAAAACAAGTGTTGTCTCCAGCTGGTCACAGAACGGAAGTCAGAGATAGAAGCCCAAGAAAAATGTGACGCACCATTACTGGCTTGAAGATGGAATGCAGTGTGAGGAACATGGCAGGCTCCAGCAGCAAAGAGCAGCACCAGCTGAAAGCCAGCTAGGAAGCAGGGACCTCAGTCCTGCAGCCACAAGGAACTGAATTCTGCCAAGAAGAGTGAGCTTGAAAGTGAATTTTTCCCCACGGCCTCCAGATGAGAACTCAGTCCAGGTGACACCCTGATTTCAGCCTTTAGACATCCTGAGCAGAAAACCCAGCCATGCTGTGCTTGCACCGCTTCTGACCAACAGAGCTGATAAGGAAATGCTGTTTGAAGCTGCCAAGTTTGTGGTATATGCTACAAGCAACAGAAAACTAATATAGCCAATTACATTTTAAAGATAATTTAAATATTAAGGAAAAATATTATATATTTACCTAGGTAGTTACCATTCGCCAGTGCTGTTTACTCGTTTGTGTAGATCCAGATTTCCATTTGGTTTCATTTCCTTTCTCTCTGAAGCACATTCTTTAATGTTTCCTGTAACGGAGGTCTCCTAGTGATAAATTCTTTCAGCTTTCTTATAGCTAACAATGTCTTTTTTGTGCCTTTGGCTTTTTTTTAAAGAGCCATATGGTACAATTCAACCATTTAAACTGTGTATTCAGTGGGTTTTGGTATATTATATAATTTTTTAAATTGCAGTAAAATAATTTTTTTTTTTTGCCATTTTAACTGTTTTTAAGTATCCAATTCAGTGGCATTAAGTACATTCACAGTGTGGTACAACCATCACCACTATGTAATTCCAAAACTTTTCCATCGCTCCAAACAGAATCTCTGGTACCCACTCAGTGGTAACTCCATATTCTCCCCTATTCCCTGGAAGCCCCTAATCTACGTTCTGTCTCTATGAATTTGCCTGTTCTACTTAGGTCATGTAAGTGGAATCATACAATATTTGCCCTTTCGAGTCTGGCTTATTTCACTCAGTATACATTTTTCAAGGTTCATCTATGTTTTAACATGTATCAGAACCTCACTCTTTTCATGACCAAATATTCCACTGTGTAGAGACTACATTTTGTTACCCACTCATCTGTTGATGAACACTTGCATTGTTTCCATCTTTTGGTTATTATGAATAACACTGCCATGAGCACTGGCATACAAGTATCTGTTTGAGTTCCTACATTCGATTCCCTTGGATATACACCTAGGACTGAAACAGCTGGGTCATATGGTTTTATGTTTAGCTTTTTGAGGAACCAACAAATTGTTTTCCATAGTGGCTGCATCATTTTTACATTCACACCAGGAATATATATGCATATTCTAATTTCTCTACATCCTTGCCAAATACTTGTTATTCTATTTTTTTTTAATTACAGCCATCCTAGTAAGGATGAAGTGACATCTCATTGTAGTTTTTACATTTCCCTAACGAGTGATGATGTTGAGCATATTTTCATGTGCTTACTAGCCATGTGTATATCTTCTTTACAGGAATGTCAAGTCCTTTACCCATGTTTACAATTGGGCTGTGTGTATTGTTGAGTTGTAGGAGTTCTTTGTATATTCTAGATATTAAACCCTTAACAGATACATGATTTGCAAATAGTTTCTCCCACTTTTTTTTTTTTTTTTTTGGAGACGGAGTCTCACTCTGTCACCCAGGTTGGAGTGCAGTGGCAAGATCTCAGTTCACTGCAACCTCCACCTCCCAGGTTCAAGCAATTCTTGTGCCTCAGCCTGTAGCTGGGACTACAGGCATGCAAAGCTAATTTTTTGTATTTTTTAGTAGAGACGGGGTTTCACCATGTTGGTCAGGCTGGTCTCGAACTCCTGACCTCAGGTGATCTGCCCGCCTCGGCCTCCCAAAGTGCTGGGATTACAGGCGTGAGCCACCGCGCCCGGCCTGTTTCTTCCATTCTATAGGTTGAGTTACCTTTGTTGTTGAAAGATGTTTTTTCCTGAATGTGTAATTCTATTTAATAGGTAGACAGTTATTTTTTTCTTTCAGTACTTTGTAGATATAGTTCCACTCTTCTTAGATGTCTTATTTCTGGTAAGAAATCCAATGTAATCCCTTATTCCTCTGTATATAGCATGTATTTTCCTTCTGGCTGCTTTTGAGATTTTCTCTTTTATTGATTTGAGTAATCTGATTATTATTTTCCTTGGTATACTTTTCATGTTGCTGGAGTTTAGGGTTCCTTGAGCTTCTTGAACTTGCGGGTTTATAGTTTCATTAAGTTTTGACATTTCCAGCCATTATTTCTTCATATATTTCTCCATCTCTCCTTTACTCTCTTCTTCAGGGACTCCAATTACTCATACGGTAGGCTACCTGATGCTATCCACAGCTTACTCAAGTTCTTTTCATTTTTTTTCTGGTTTCTTTTTTCTCTCTGCATTTCATTTTGGATAGTTTTACTGCTATGCCTTCAAGTTCACCCAACTTTTCTTCTGGAAATCTAATCTTCTGTTAACCTGGTATATTTTCATTTCAGGCAATATAGGTTTTCTCCCTAGAATCTCAATTTTTTTTAATACTTTCTATTGCTGTACTTACCTTCTTAGCAATACGAAATACAGTTATAACTAATGTTTTACTATCCTCCTCTGCTAATAATAATATCTATGTTAAGTTTGGATGAGTTTCAAATCATTATTACCGTCCTCACTATGGGCCATGTTTTCATCTCTTTGCATGCTTGGTGAATTTGATTGGATGCCAGATACTGTGAATGTTATTGTATTGGATGCTGGATATTTTTATAGTACTATAAATTTCCTTAAGCTTTGTTTTAGGATGGTTAGGTTATTTGCAAACAGTTTGATCCTTTTGGGTCTTTCTTTTACAATTTGCTAGACAGATTTAGCAGTGCCTAGTATAGGGCTAATTATCCCCCATTACTGAAGCAAGACCTTCTTGATAGATACTGATTGGGTAGACACGACCTATCCAATGCTCCAGGAATTGGAAGAGTTTTCCAGTCTGGCTGGTGGGAATAGATATACTCTTCTCAGCCCTATGTGAACAACAGATACTGTTCCCAATAATCCTTTAGAGGACTCTTTCCCTGGCTCAAGTAGTTTCCTCACACGTATGTACTAATCTGTGCTCTGCTGAATACTTGAGGGAGAACCTTTGCAGATCTCCAGAATTCTCCTGCTGTAAGATGCTCTCTTACAGAAGCCATATTGCTTTTACTTATGGGACCATGCATAAAACTGAAAAGGAAACCCTTAAATCTTCAGAAGACAGAGCAAACAATATACAGGAACAAAGTACAAAAGAAATGCAAATGTAAACATATAGGAAATAGTCAAATTTAGTATTCAAAAAATGGAAATTAAAAAAATCTAAATTTAAAATAAATTTAAAATGCAATGTTTATAAACTTCTGCTTCCAGCCGAGATGGAATACGAGAGAATAGAATTAACCTCTTGCCCCAACAACAACAAAACAGACAAAATACATTAAACAGTGGTTTTCAAGACCAAGAGAGATAAAATAGTATTGACCTCATAGGGTTATTGTGGGAATTAAATGAGTTAGTATTTGTAAAACATAGAATGGTGCCTGACACGTGGTAAGACTTATTTAAAAAAAAAAAAAAAAAAGACGTCTAGTGACCCAGTAACACAAGTGTCTTTCTTTTCTTTTTTTTCCAAAGTCGAGGCCTCATTCTTGTCACCTAGGCCGGAGTGCGGTGGCATGATCATAGCTTACCGTGGCCTCAAACTCTTGGGCTCAAGTGATCCTCCCTCCTCAGCCTCCCAAGTAGATAGAACTACAGGTGTGAGCCACTGCACCTGGCTTTTTTTTTTTTTTTTTTTTTTTTTTTTTGAGACAGGGTCTTACTCTGTCATCCAGGCTGGAGTACAGTGGCACGAACACAGCTCACTGCAGTCTTGACCTCCTGGGCTCAAGTGATCCTCCCGCCTCAGCCTCCTGAGTATCTGGGACCAAAGGCACATACCATCACACTCAGCTAATCTTTAAATTTTTGTAGAGACAGGGTCTCACTATGTTGCCCAGGCTGGTTTCAAAGTCTTGGGCTCAAGTAATCCTCCTGCTTTGGCCTCTCAAAGTACTGGGATTACAGGTGTGGGTCACCATGCCCAGCCTGGCTAATTAAAAAAATTTTTTTTGCAGCGATAGGGGTCTCATTATGTTGCCCAGGCTAGTCTAGAACTCCTAGCCTCAAGCAGTCCTCATGCCTTGGCCTCCTAAAGTGCTGGGCCTCTCAAAGTGCTCAAATGACAGATGTAAGCCACTGCGCCCAACCAGCAAGTGTCTTTCTAGAGTTTCTTTTTAACATCCAATCAGTCACCACAACCTATAAATTCCCCCTCTTAAATGTCTTCCACCAACTCCTACTGCTGTGGCCCTGATTCAGGGCCTCATAATTCTTCACCTAGAGACCTCCTACTTGACTTCTTTGCCTTTGGTCTCTCTCACTCCAATGAGTGTTTGCAGCAACATCATCTCTGTAAAACACAAAAGTTTCACTCCCTGTTTAAAATTCCCTTTTGGTCTCCCAGTACGTATAGAAAAATGGACTAAGTCCTTGGCATAGATTTAGGATCCTCTGTGATTGTGGCTTTTCTACCTCCCTATGCCCTAAATGTTTTATCAAACTACCATACATTTCCCTATAACTATGGTGAACCACTTGAGTTGCCTGAACATCTTTATCTATGCTATTCCTAAGCCAGATATGTTCTTCCTTTTCTTGTCTCTTGGTAAAACCTTACCCATGTTGCAAGATCAAACATTATCCATTCTTATGTCATTACCTAATTTCTCCAGGAAGTTTTAGTGTTTCTTACTCTTTGCTCCCACAGCCACTGAAAGAAGAAGCAACAATGACTGAATTAAAGTACAGCAAGAGAGATCCACAATTAGCTGACCAAAGGGTCATGTCCTTATGGAGAGAAGTTTCTGACATCAGGTACAGGTCTCTGTCCTTACCCTGTTTTTAATCCTTTCACCAGCAATATAAGTAAAGATCAGTTACAAATTTTAGCTGACAATAAAGGCAATGCCATACTATTTCAGGAAATTAAGATATACAAGTGGATGCTATATGTACTTTGTATGGATGTTATCACAGGAGTACAAGGTTCCTTTTAAGGAGTCAGAATGCCAGAGTTAGCAGGATAAAGAGGTGTACGAACCCAGACGGTTCCTTTATTCATCCCTTTTTACACCAGACATTAACTGAATACTTACAATATGCCAAGTACTATCCTAGGGGCTAAGAACAGAGTAGTAGCCATTCAGACATGGGTCCTTCCCTCATAGAGCTTGCTTTTCAAGATAAGCAAAGGCTGAAGTAACTGGAAATACTCAGCCTGAAAAAAATTACTTACAGGAAGCAAGAAAATAGTTTTCACACATTTGCACATCCTATCCTCGGAATAATATTTATTCTGAGTTGTTGCACAGGGAAGGATTAGGACATATGTGTGGAGTTACAAAGAAGTCAATTACAAGTCAATATAATGAGATACTGTTAATCAAATGACATATCTGGAAATAGTACTGGCATCCCAGGGAGGTTATTGTGGCCTCAAACTCCTGGGCTCAAGTGATCCTCCCAAGCAGCTAGAACTACAGGTATGAGCCACTGTACTTGGCTAATTTTTTTTTTTTTTTAGACAGGGTCTCAAAATTTCTGGTCACTAATAAATTTTCAATAGGATCTCATTAAAAAAAAAACAAAACTACAGTAAGGCTTCTGGTTTAGACAGACACATAAGGTCCATTCTAATAACTACCATAATTATAAACAGTTTGGGTTAGGTCTCACTCAATTCTAATTTCCCTTAGCAACTACTACTAGATAACTCACTCAAACCTTTATCTAACCCAGCGGTTTTAAACTCTGGCTGCACGCTGGAATTGCTAAGTATGTTTGGCATTTATTGATACCTGGGTCCCATACCAAGAGATTCTGATTTAATTATCTGAGAAGGGATTAAGGATTTTTTTTTTTTAAGAGCTCCACCTGGTACAAATGAATGTATAGCTAAGGTTGAGAAACACAGATGTAAACCATTATTTATTTAATTCCAGGTTTCTACCATTCTTGAGGTAATCAGATCCATCACAAAGGATCCTTTTATGTGACTGGCCAAAACTGACTTCTCTAAAGTATCAGTCATTCTCAGAGCAGGGATACTGGGAGAAGTTTTGTTTGTTTTTGAGGAAACAGCTGGTAAGTTAATAACTATCTTAGTGGTATAGATTTGGAACTTCTGCCATTTTAATAAATCTCTACCGAACACTTATATTCCTAGCTCTGTACCAGGCCTTGAAGATAGAAATGTGAACAAGGCATTTAATCCCTTACCTCAAGCAGCTGAGGCTACTGGAAGAAACTGAAAACACACATTTACAGTAGAGTTTGATTACTGCTATAATAACAGCAATGGACAAGGGCTCACAGGAGCATAGAAGGTGGTTTCTAACACAGCCTAATGGTTTCAGGGAGGAATGGGCTGAGTGTCAGAGCTGGTTTGGTAGGTAAGGGAGGTTGGGGAACATCGTGAGCAAAGGCAATGCCTAAGAAGATTATGTGTAAGGGGAAGAATTTCAATACTTCTAGTGCATATAGTTTAGGCCAGAGAACAAAAAGAAACAGGGCCAGAGGTGTGCAAAGCCAGATCTAGGTCACAGCCAGCCAAGAATGCCATTCTCAGAAATGTGGACTCTTTCCTAAATGTTGTAAGCCAGGAAACAATATTAGTGTCTTCAAAGTGCTCTTCTAGGGGTAGCTGTGTAATGGACTAGAGGAAGATATAATAGTAGCCCCAAAAAAAACCAGGTAGTAGGCTAATACTTTAATCCAGAAGATTTGGGAACACAAATTAGGGCCATGATGGTAGAAATGGAGAGCAGGTAGATTTGGGTAGGATCAGTATGTCCTGGAATTTGACTGAATGTGGGTGTGAGAAAGGGCTAGCAGCTTCACATGACTCTCAGGCTTCTGTGTGACTAAATGGAGAACAATATCAGAAGGGTTACGTACTAGAGAAATGATGCGATTGGTTTTGAACATAGTGAGTAGGCCACATGAACACAGTGAGTAAGCCACAGAGAAGTGGCATCTAGGAGGCTGTATTTAAATGTGAGGGTTATCCAGATGTACATCATCTGCCTTCCATATCTGTATTCTATCTGAATCCACTCAAGCTGCCTGGCTATATACTCAAACAGGACAAGCTTTTCGGGAGGAGGATGGTCTTTTGTCACATATTTAAGAGTAACTATATTCTCCTGCTATAAGATATAGGTGAAGTAAACACATGAATAAAGGAGTCTAAGGGGGATCATATGTTCCTATCAACAACCCTGTGACATATTTCATATAAAGCTTACTAAGAAACAGTAATATTCAGTAGTGCCACGTAATGGCATTATCAGATGAAACCTTGGCATAAAACCAACCAGAGAACTTGAAGAGTAAAATAAACGGTAGGACCAGGATTATAGAGAAAAATCAACGTTTAGGAAGCAAATAAAAGAGAAGCCCAAAAAGGAGGCAGAGAACCTCCAGATAAAGAGAACTAAGATATGTAAATTTCAAGGATGGGTAGATCAAAATAGAGTTAGATAAATTAAGGATTGAAAGGTATTGGATTGGTTAGATAAGCCTTCACTAATAATTTGAGGAGATCAGTTTCAATACACTAGTGGAAACAGCAGACAAATTCCACAATAGGAATGAAAAGTTTGGAAGTGGAGAAGGAAGAGAAAGGGCAGGTAGAAGAGGTGGTGGGGTCAGAGTGGAGACTAAAAACAGAGGAAGCAATTAATAGACAAGGGAGTTGGAACTAGAGGAGAGAGAAGGGGGGAAGGATGGGGTCAAATCTCTGATGAAGGCATCAGGCTTCTAAAGGAAGAAGGATGCTTCATTCTCTCCTACCTCCTGGAAGTCAGGATAGGTGGGATGTTGACAATTAGCAGGCAGTTCAATAGAAATGTGAGTCAAAAAAGAAAGCAAGGCTATTTGCTAACAATGAGAGGAACAACAGATGGCCATGATCATTGAGGACAGTGATAAAGGTTTGGGCCATGCAGTGACAAACTAGCAAAAGCTGCTGACAAAAGATAAGCTGAGGTTACGGAGAGTATGTCTGTCATACTTGTCTGCCTAGCTGTGATTTCCTCAAGCAGCACTCGCTGCCTGAACAGAAGAAAAGGCAAACTGTGCAGTGTTCTGGGCTGGGATTTCTATGTGTGCAGGTAATGCAGAGCAAGAGAAGTAAGAATGCCTCATGTGAGAAATGTGTGCAATCAACAACAGGATCTAGTTTTGGTATAGACATGAGTCAAGGAAGGAGCTGACAGATTTGAGGAGAACCTCCAAGAAGAGTCGTGAGAATAAGGACATAAAAAGAGCCAGGAGAACAAGGGGTAAGAGTCAGAAAGAGGGATACCGAAGTTTGCAGAGGCTGTGCTGTTTGGGTCATGAGTGGAAGTCTGAGACACACAGGAGTGATGACATGAGCAGAGTGAAGTGAAGAGCCTCCAGAGATGAGAAGGCAAGGTAGGCTCAGCTCATATAACGAAGTCCTGGAACACTGCGATGCCACAGAGGAAAGCTGTTTCAAATCCTCTGCCTGATGATGTCCAGCATTATTTATTTCCTGTTTTGGCTGCAGCAGCATAATGGATCTTGGTATTCAGGGAGCATTGAGTGCCCTTTCCCCAGCTCACAGTGCAGAGTTTGGAGCCCAACTTACTATTTGGTCACTGCTGTGTAAGAACAAAAGATGAGAGGTAGTCTGGATGCTCTGAGATCCAATAATCTTCCCAGTAAGACAAGGCAGACCCATGAAAGGCAAAAGACAATTCTATATGCGCACACTAAGATCAAAAGGCATTTCAGGTAGCTATCAAGAGTGACTGAGCGTCCCCTACCTGAGAAGCTCTTTTTAAGATGTTAGGAACACAACTATGAGAATAATTTCCCTCCCTCAAGCAGATTGTAACCATGGAAGGATGTTAAAAGTCTAGTACCACAGACATGAAGAGAATGGAGAAAGGAAATGTGGCTGGGGAAATCTGCAAAACTTCCTGGGGAAGGAAAAACTGGAACAACGATGAGAAAAGGTCCAATGTTAGGAGTTAGAAAGCACAGCAACAGCCATTCCACAATGTGAGCTTTACATTTGCAAAGAGATTTTTCTTCCCACCTCCAAATGGTAAAATCTCCTAGAAGACTATATAATTCTATTTGTGAACATAAATGTTACAATAAAGTCTATATTTTCTACCAGAGTGGTCACAAAAAATATTTATAATCACTCCATTTTTCTTCTGAGGCAAAGTCAAAACATAGTGCCAGAGAAAGGGAGACTATTTTTATTTTGGTAAACTCTTAAGGACAGAGGGCTATATTAGTTTTCCATTGCTGCCAATTATCAAAACTTTGTGGTTTTCAACAACACACATTTGTTACATAACAATTCTGGAGGTCAGAAGTCTGATACAGGTTTCGGAGGGCTAAAATTAAGGTGTTGGCAGAGCTGTGTTCCTTCTGGAGGCTCTAGAGAAGAATCTATTTCCTTGCCCCCGTCCAGTGTCTAGGACCATCTACACTCCTTGGCTCCTGACCCTTCCTCCACCTGCAAGGCCAGCAATGATACATTTCTCTGTGCCTTTCTTTCATGGTTATATTTCCCTGATTGCTAACCTTCTTATCCCCCTTTTACTTTTTTTTTTTGAGAGGGAGTCTTGCTCTGTTGCCCAGGCTGGAGTGCAGTGAAGCAATCTCGGCTCATTGCAACCGCCGCCTCTTGGGTTCAAGTGATTCTCCTGCCACAGCCTCCCATATAGCTGGGATTACAGGCGCCCACCACCACACTCAGCTAATTTTTTTTTTTTTTTTTTTGTATTTTTAGTAGCGACAGGGTTTCACCAAGTTGGCCAGGCTGGTCTCGAACTCCTGACCTCAGGTGATCTCCCCACCTTGGCCTCCCAAAGTGCTGGGATTACAGGCGTGAGCCACCGTGCCCGGCCACCCAGCTCTTTTACTTTTAAGGACCCCTGTTATTACACTAAGCCCACTGAAATAATCCAGGATAATCTCTCCCCATCTTGAGATCCTTCATTGAATCACAACTGCAAATTTTATTTTGCAGTATAAGGTAAAATATTCCCAGGTGCTGGGGATATCTCTGGGGAGCCATTATTTTGGCTGCCACAAGGGCAGAGATGGGCTGAAAAGAAGCTCCAAGTATCGGCAAGAAGGCTATGAAAGTTACTATTTGAGGCACACGCAGTTCCAAAGCACAGCTCCAATCAAACACTTAGCGTACAAGTTTCACAACAACGTTCTGGACCCTTTTCAACTTAACTCCCACTACACTTGCCCCATATTCTCTAAGGATCACTTTAATGCCATCTATGCTGTGACGCCTTCCCACTATCTCAGAGAGGATCAGTGGTTCTATCATCCGTAAACATGAAGGACTCTGCCCATGCCCTATTCCAGCACTTCAACGCTGCCTTACGGTACCAAGATTTGTCTGTCTCCCTTATGAGATAGTGAACCACTTAAGAATTAGGACAATCTCATTCTAAATCCTGGGAAGAGGCTAGCAAAGTGCTTAGCACTTCATATTCATTCACTCTGACATGTGACTATACTTAACCAGCACTCACATTGACAGGTACAACCTCGTCAGGAACCGCATTTCACTTGGGGACATGGAGTACATGTTCATTAATAAAGAGAACAGGGTCTCTTCAAGTTCTGAATAGGTTTACCAGTATTTGCTTCAGCAAAGGGCAAGGTATGATCAGCAAAAAGGACCCAGCAGCCACAAAGTTAAAACTCGGTAACCAATAGACATGGCAAAGATATACTTAAAGATACAAAAGGCAAAGATCCTGCATCTGTCAAAACTCAGCAAATGTACACTTAAGATTTGCGCTTTTCATGTTATGTAAATTTTACATCTAAAGAAAAATCTAAACAAATATAGAATTCTAATTAATAATACATACGTATTCTGAAATTTTTAAGGAATACGTACCCATGTCAATTTACTTTGAAAAAAATTTAAAAATACAATGAACTGATGGATAAAAAGAGGGACAGATGGGTATGTGTTAAAATTAGGTACAGTAAAATATTAATGGTAGAGTCTAGATGGGAAGGTTTATAAGTATTCACTGTAAACTTCTTTTAATTTAGCTGTATGCTCAAAATTCTTCATAATAAAATTTTGAACAGGAAATGTTAGGATCAGTCAGCAAGGAGATATTGTGTGGAAAGAGGAAAAAATAATGCTCTTGGATGTTCATTACGAGTCAAAGAGGCACATACACAGACAAAGGTGGCCTATATCATATCTTGTCCCAACCTTGCTTCATAGCCAGAAGAATTAAAAGCCCTGGCTGACATGAGACATGCTAGAAAGAGTACTGCTGATGAAAGTAAAAGAGTCTCTTGTAGGCACAACAGAGATATTAACAATAAGAAATTTCTTTTTCCTTAAAATACTTTTTTTTTGAGACGGAGTTTCGCTCTTGTTGCTCTTGTTAATTTAAGATGTGTATCTCAAATCTCTGCCCTTGTGACTGGCATATGTTAATTAGCTGGGCATGGTGGCTGGCGCCTGTAATCCCAGCTACTAGGGAGGTTGAGGCAGGAGAATTGCTTGAACCCAGGAGGCAGAGGTTGCAGTGAGCCAAGATCGAGCCATTGCACTCCAGCATGGGCAACAAGAACAAAACTCTATCTCAAAAAAAAAAAAAAAAATTCTCAGATTTTCTTGACAATTGAATATAATCTATAAACAGAACTGTTTTTATTCTTACTCATCCTTTATTCTTCTAGTAAGAATTGCCTAGTAAGGTTTTGAAGTTTTTCTCATATAGTTCACATATATTTCTAGCTAAAATTATTTTCTTCCTATTGTGAAGACTTTTTAAAAATAAAAGTATGTGCTAACTTGTTGAGGACGGCAATCAATCTATTAGCTTATATATTTCCTTTTCAGTCACTTTACTACAAATTATTGATAGTAATTGAATCTCTTCTCATTTTGGGGACTTAATTAGTTAATTAATTAACAAGGATAATTTTGTAATCTCTTTTCCAGAAGGTAAGCCTCATATCTACTTAAATATTGTCCTAAGTAGAATTTCCAGACAGTGCTTATATAAAATACTGATAAGCAGAAATTCTCATTTAATTTATGATGTGTATCTCAAATCTCTGCCCTTGTGACTAGCATATACTAAGAGCTAAAGAAATGCATGCTGAGAGAAGTAATCAAAAAACAAATGTAACTTTCAAAAAGAGGCAGGAGCGTGTGCAACTTACCATCCAAGAGGCTTTGGAAGATGGGGGACAATTTTAGTAAAACAGAAGAGATTAGTTATGTCACAAGAGAAAAGTTAGTGTGGAGGTAATTTTCAAAAGGGTAGGGAGGATTTGTGCTATCCAGTTCTCGGAGACCTAACTGCAGTCATTTCTAACCTAATAACACTTGTTGGCTGGCATTCTGGGTGACATCCTGCCTTCCCTTTTACTTTTTTTTTTTTAATTAACAGTATCTTTCTGCAATTAATGTATAGCTGGAATTGAAATTGTTCACCTTCTGCATACACTTTGGGTGGGATCTACGTACGAAATCTTGATGTTAACCTTATCTTTGACACTCATATTATGTGTTAGATGGCGTATATATATCTAGTGTCAAGGGAAAATAAAAATATAGTAATTAAACTTATGATCTGTCTCTGAAAATAAAAAAAATAGATTAACCACACAAACACGCCTTCAGTTAATCTATCTGATTAAAAAACAAAACAAAGATGAGGAAGCTAAGAGCTAGAGATGCAGGATTTGTTTTTAAAAGACCACACACGAATCGGCGTCACTATTTCAACAAATACTAGAAAGGCCATATGCAAAATTTTAAACATCTATCCCAGCTGGGGGGAAAAATGGAAGTTAGACTAGAAGAAACCTTATTTTGTATTACTGAAAATATCTGGTTCAAACTTACCACCACCGCCGCCCACTCTGCGTCAATCTCCAGGTGCAGCCGTTATTCTCCACAGAACAAGAACGTCCGCCGTGAACGCCGGGGCCGCGCGAGGGACAGAAAGTGACTGAGGCAAGGGGTGACGATCACCGTTAAATTTTTTCATTGACGAAATTACCGTCTACCTAGAAATACGAAGCTAATACACTGCTACATTACTAAAGGGCTCAACACGCGCCTGATGACGATGCAAACACAAAATTCAGCACTTTCGTATATACCTGCAATAAGCAACTAGAAGGTTCGATGGGAGAAAGCGATCCCGTCACAAAGGCAGCAGCAACAGCAAAACAGAGAACGCGACTCCATTCACCAGCGGAGCGCGAAGAGCGGCGTCAGAGGTGAGTCTGAGGCCGGCTCGGCACGGCGGCGCCACCTCCCCGTGGCCTGACGTCACGCACGCGCACGCGCCCCGCCCCCATTGGTCCTACGCCCGCCCCTGCTGCGAACGCACGCACACGCACCCACAACACACACCGTTACGCACGCGCCCCAGCCTGGCGTTCAGGCCACGCTCCGCCCCCAGCCCGTCAGCCGCGCGCCCCGGGACCCTAGAGCCGGCGATTCGTCGCCGGCGCCGCAGCCGCCACTCTGTGCCGGACCCTGCGGGCCTTCGGCCCAGAGCGCGTCCGTGACGCACAGACCAGGCCCCTCTGCGGGGCGGCGCAGGAGCTCCTGGGAAACGTAGTTCGGCCTCGCGTCCCCCTCGGGCGGGACCGCGGACGCCTGGAGGCAGGCACTGAGGACGGGTGAGCATGCGGGCCTGTGGCTCGTTCACCCGGGACAAGTCCCTCGTGGGATCAGCCTGGCCCGCTGAGTTCTCCTGCGTGCAGGGATCGCCTCACGGGAGTCTGAGCAGCAGGGAGCCTGCCCGGGAGGCGGCGGTGGGAGAGGCCCTTGAGGGAGGAGGGGCTACTTACCGGGTGCGAGTGGAGCGCGGGGAGCGAGTGGGGACCAGGGGCGCGCGGGGCGGAGGGGTCCCGGGCTGGCTGCGGGTGCCACGCAGGGAGCGCTGGGGGGCCGGGGATGCGCGTTTGCCTCCTTCTCTAAGCAACACGGGAGGGCTAAAGGGTGCACGCCTCTGTCCAGCAGCCTCTCTTGAATCTCTAAACCTAGTAATGAGTTGAATCACAGCCATCGTTTTTTTCACCTATTGCCTTATACTGTGGTTGAATGCGATATGGTTTTATTTCTTTAATACTCTGGTGTATTCAATTGGCTGTTTCCCTTTGACTTCACCTATGCTCACAAGATTGTGTTTTAATCTTTTTGTGTACTATCCTTGCCCGTTATACTAACAAGATTTTACAAGCTTCATGAATAATTTGGACAGCACAGTCTCTCTTCTATTCTGTAAAACAGGTCACCACCCCTCACCGCCCCCCGCCCGCCTCCAAAAGTTTGGTGCTATTTGGTCTTAAAATATTTAGTACGCATTTAACTTCTGACTCAATTTTTTTTTTTTTTTTTTTTGAGACAGAGTTTCGCTCTTTGTTGCCCAGGCTGGAGTGCAATGGCGCCATCTTGGCTCACAGCAACCTCCGCCTCCCGGGTTCAAGTGATTCTTCTGCCTCAGTCTTGTGAGTTGCCGGGATTACAGACATGAGCCACCACGCCCAGCTAATTCTGTATTTTTAGTGGAGATGGGGTTTCTCCATGTTGGTCAGGCTGGTCTGGAACTCCCGACCTCAGGTGATCAGCCTGCCTCGGCCTCCCAAAGCGCTGAGATTACAAGCGTGAGCCACCGCACCCGGCCCTGACTCAATTTTTTAAAAAGTCTCATTGATTAGGTTTTTTAGTTCGTATTCTGTTTTAGATACCTTTCCTAGATAATTGTTTTTAATCTAATTTTTCAAATTTATTGGCATAAAATTGCCCATGCTATTTTATCACTGTAAGTAATTTCTATGGTGATTTTTAAAATCACCACTTTTTAATATTTTACTGCTGTAATTGTTATTTTTTTCTTTTTTGAACCTAATTATCTAGGCCTTTTTTTCTTGATTACTCCTATAAGGTATATGTGTACATAGTCTTTTCAAAAATGTAGATTTGGTTTTGGTTTTTTTGTTGTTTTGTTTTGGTCTTTTTTGGGGAGGGGGGTCCTATTACAGTAAGTTTTGCTCTTAATTTTTAAATTTTTCTTTTACTTTGTCTCTGTTTTTCTACTTTTTTTTTTTTTTCGAGACAGAGTTTCACTCTGTCTCCAGGCTGGAGTGCAGTGGCGTGATCTCGGCTCACTGTAGCCTCTACCACCCGGATTCAAGCGATTCTCCTGCCTCAGGCCCCACCACGCCCGGCTAATCCAGCTAATTTTTGTTTTTGTTTGTTTGTTTGTTTTTGAGACAGAGTCTCTCTCTCTCGCCCAGGCGGGAATGCAATGGCAGGATCTCTGCTCACTGCAACTTCCACATCCCGGGTTCAAGCCATTCTCCTGCCTCAGCCTCTGGAATAGCTGGGATCACAGGCGCACACTGCCATGCCCGGTTAATTTTTTGTATTTTTTAGTAGAGACGGGGTTTCACGGTGTTGCCCAGGCTGGTCTCGAACTCTTCAGCTCAGGCAATCCGCCCGCCTTGGCCTCCCAAAGTGCTAGGATTACAGGCGTGAGCCACCGTGCCTGGCCATCTGCTTCTTGATTTGACTGGGTAATTAATTTACTACTCTTTATTTGTGCTCCAAGAAATGTGTGTGTACATTTTTAAGAGCTGAATATGTTAAAAGACTCATAATAAAAACAGGAAACACCTTAACCCCATCTCTTCCCAGTGGCAACCACTTGGAAATATTTAAGCAGTTCTGGCTTCGAACTCCTCTCAGTATTTTTTTATTCACCGATTTGTGACATTATTTTAAAATTTTTATCATGTTAAATAAGAACTTTGGCTGCCTTCTTTCTACATCCTTAAATCACAATGTAATTATTTTACAAATATTATAATGTAGTTCTCCCACAAATTTTGGATAAATATGTTCAGTGTTTTCATTTGATGACTACTCTTTAGTACTGAGCCATAATATGTTTCTTTCTTGTGCAAGGTTTACCTTTCTTGTTTTTAATGACTGCCTTTTTTATTCATTTGCTTAGTTTTTCTTAAATCTATGTAAAATGTCTTTTGGTTCCATTTTCCTCAAGGGCTAATCTGTCATACAGTCTTATCACTTTTCTCCTTTCCTGGACATCCCCCTGCAATGTAGATTGATCAGTTACTCTGTAGGCATGCAGCACGCTGGCATACCACTGGGCTTCCCTTTTGCCCTCATCAATTTCCTCATCTCACCTCTGTGTTAAATCTCCTGTTTCCTGTAAAGCACTTCTATTCCTGTTTGGTGGATTGTAATCTTAACTGCCTTGAAGAAAGGGTCCATATGATCTACATATATTAAAGTTGTAGAAATGATTAGAAATTACTTTTTCCTCACATTTGTGTGGTGTTTTCACCGAGTATACACATCTCAATAGGAAATTACTTTCCATTAGAATTTTGAAAGCCAGTGAAGCTAGATAGGAAATGGAGCAGTGTTACTGTTACTGTTGAGAAGTCCTATTTCATACCTTGTTCTTTTATGTGTAATCTGTTTATCATCTCTTGGAGCTCTTTGGTATTCAAAAATTTCATGATGATGTGTGTTCTAATTATTTAAAGAAATTACTTGCTTTGATGGATCAGTTCTTAGATACTGTGTTTTTTTAAGGAATAAGAAGTTTCTGGCCGGGCACCGTGGCTCACGCCTGTAATCCCAACATTTTGGGAGGCCGAGGTGGGTGGATCATGAGGTCAGGAGTTCAAGACCAGGCTGGCCAAGATGGTGAAACCCCATCTCTACTACTAAAAATAAGAAAATTAGCCGGGCGTGGTGGCCGGCGCCTGTAATCCCAGCTACTTCGGAGGCTGAGGCAGAGAATTGCTTAAACCCGGGAGGCAGAGGTTTCAGTGAGCCGAGATTGTGCCACTGCACTCCAGCTTGGGCGACTCCGTCTCAAAAAAAAAAAAAAAAAAAAAAAGTTTTCCTGTACTTGTTTGTTTCTTCCTCTTGTTTTTTCTTTCTGGAACTCTGAGTAATCTGGGGTACCTTAAATTGCTCATATAGTGGTCTTTTTTTATTTATTCTTACTTTTTCTTTTAGATCAGCTTTACTTATTTATTCATTTATTTATTGAAACAGAGTCTCACTGTGTTGCCCAGGCTGGAGTGCAGTGGCACATCTCGGCTCACTGCAGCCTCCACCTCTTGGGTTCAAGCATTTCTCCTGCTTCAGCCTCCCGAGTAGCTGGGATTACAGGTGTGCACCAACACATCTAGCTTTTTTTTTTTTTTGTATTTTTATTTGAGACGGGGTTTCACTGTGTTGGCCAGGCTGGTCTTAGAATTCTGACCTGAAGTGATTCGCCTACCTCGGCTCCCAAAGTGCTGGATTACAGGCGTAAGCCACTGTGTTCAGCCAAGATCAGCTTTCTAGAAAAGTTCCTTAAGTTTATCTTTTTTTTTTTTTTTTTTTTTGAGACGGAGTCTCGCTTTGTTGCCCAGGCTGGAGTGCAGTGGTACGACCTCGGCTCACTGCAAGCTCCACCTTCCAGGTTCATGCCATTCTCCTGCCTCACACTCCCGTGTAGCTGGGACTACAGGCACCCACCACCACGCCCGGCTAATTTTTTATATTTTTAGTAGAGATGGGGTTTCACAGTAGCCAGGATGGTCTCGATCTCCTGACCTCATGATCCACCCGCCTCAGTACTGGGATTTCAGGCATGAGCCTCCGTGCCCGGCCCTAAGTTTATCTTTTAACCCTTGTACCTTTTTGGGGAGTTTTTAAATTATAATTTTTAACTTCCTGGGAAATTAAAAAAAATCCATAGAGTTGTATTCTTATTTCATAGAGGAAATATCTCTCTGATTATTTTTCAAATTATGAAGTTTTCAAACACATACACAAATATAGTAGTACAGTGTACCAATCATCCTATTTTATTTTTTCCTGATGAGAAGATGTACATATTTAGAATTAGCCAGCTGGACTCAGTTTAGATTATTCAGTTTTGTTGGCAACATCCAGAGCATGGGAACCAGGAGCCAGTCAAACATATGCCTTCTTCTCTCCATCAGGCCTGATCAAGGTGTTGACCTTGGCCACATCAGTGTCATAGAGCTTCTTCACAAGCCTGTGAGGAGGGCATGTTGACCTGGTGCTTGTTGGCTTTAAGATCCACAGTGAGCACAAGTGTGTTACCTTCTATCCTCTTCATGGCAGACTCAGTAGGAATTTGATGATAGCATGGTGGTCAATCTTGTTTCTCCTGAGGGTGCTCTTCTGAAGATACGTGGGCTGCCTCCAGAGCCTCAGTGTCTTGGGCTGCTAGAAGATGGGTGACATGCGGATCTTCTTTTTTTTTGTTGCTGTGAATACCTTTCACCACTGCCTTTTTGACCTTCAAAGCCTTTGCTTTGGCTTTAGCCATAGGAGAGACAGGAGTTTCCTTCTTCGCCATCAGTGCCATCTTGTGAAAAAGGCCCCATTGTTCTATTTTGAAGCAAATCTTGGACATTATATATTATTTGCAAATATTTCAGAATGCATCTCTGAATGATAAGTACTCCTTTTTAAGTAGGATAGTCTCACACCTGCAAAATTTGTAATTCCTTTATATCAAATTTATAGGCAAAAGCCAAGGGATGGGGTGGGGAGGGTATGCCTGTAGTCCCAGCCATTCAGGAGGCCAGAGGCTAAGGTGGAGGATCACTTAAGCCAGGATTTCAAGGTTAGCCTGGCCAATATAGTGACACCCTGTCTCTAAAAAATAAGTAACTAATGTATAGGCAGTGTTCAGATTTTTCCGTTTTCTCGTGAATTTTTAAAATTCATTTCTTTGACTCATGGTCCAGATAATGTTTATACAATTTGAAGTCTGTATGGTTTTTCCATAGAAAAATTATGTCTCCATATTGTTTTAATTCCAATATCCCTTGCTGTGTGCTCTTTTGAATATGCTGTTGTTGCTTTGAAGTTTGTTGTTTTCTGTTTCTTACATTGTTTCCTCTGAATTCCTTCTTTGCTTTTGTTTTACTCCTACACCCCTCTGCTTTCTTCTGAGTTCAGCTTACATCCTTTTAGTAGTTCCTTCAGGAACTATCTTGAGTGGTTAACACACACACCCATATAGAACACCCATATAAAACAACAACAACCTAGAATTCAATCGTATGCTAAAGACTGAGAGCAATATAAAAGGCCTTTTATATTGCTCTCAGTCTTTAGCATACGATTGAATTCTAGGTTGTTGTTGTTTTCCTTTAGTACTTTGAAGATATTATTTTATTGCCTTTTTGGCCTCTATCTTTGCAACTGAGAAGTCTGTAGTCAGTATAATTGATATTCCCTTGTAGATAATTAGCCTTTTTTCTTCGGTAACTTTAAAGTTTTACACATTATTCTTGATATTCTAGTTTACCTTCAGTGTAGCTGGTAGCTGATGTATTTTTAAAATGTATTCTACATGGCACATGGTATATAGGCTTTCAGATCAAGGACTTATATATCCTTCTTTCATCTTGGAGTAAAAACAATCATTCATTATATCTCACATTGCTTCTTTTCTGTTCCCTTTTTTCTCCTCTTCTGGAATTCCTGTTCAACACATATGCATATCTTTAATCCATCTGGAATTTGTGAATGTGAGGGGTGTGTTTTTTTCCAAACAGAAAGCCATTTGTCTTGATATCATTTGTTAAATAGTTCATCCTTCCCCCCACCGATTTAAAGTGCCATCTTTGTTATGTACTAAATGTCTAGCTACACAGAATCTGTTTCTGAAGATACTGTTTTGTTTTCTATTATTGCCCTAATATCATTCTGTTTTACTTACTAGAGATTTATAATGTATTTTGAAACATAATAGGGTAAGGCATTTTAAAGTATTTGCCTTGATTTTTTATATATCTTTAGTTTTCTATAAAACTTTAAAAGCTACATTTCAGGAAATCCCTATTAAATACATAGATTAATCAAAATCCCATGGTGATTCACCTAGTGAATCTCGCCATTTATTCAAATATTTTTTCCTATTGTTTAGTAAAGTTGTTTAGTGTTTGTAATTAGTGCTATAACTAGAAAAGAAAGAAAACTATGAGGAATGAAGGGTTAAACCTGCAATACAATTCTTAATATCTTTTACTACAAGGCAAACAGATTTTCTTTCTTGAAGAGGAAGCCTAACTTTGTTGTTGTTGTTGTTGTTGTTGTTTGTGTGTGTTTTTGTTTTTTTTTTTTCAAGCAAAGGATTTCACTCCGTTGCCCAGGCTGGAGTGTGGTAGCATGAACATGGTTCACTGCAGTCTCAACCTCCTGGGCTCAAGTGATCCTCCCATCTCAGCCTCCTGAGTAGCTGGGGCTTCAGGCGCATGCCACCATGGTTGGCTAATATTTAAATTTTTTGTAGAGACCCAGAGTCCCACCATGTTGCCCAGTCTGGTAGCAGTCCTCCGCGTTGGTCTCCCAAAGTGCTGGGATTACAGGCATTAGCCCCTGTACCCAACCCAGAAGCCTAACAATTTCCTTTTCCTTCTTGAAAGAAGGGTGTGGGTGTGGAAAAAATACCCCCATGCACAAAACCTTAATTATCATAGGTTCATTTGGTTTACTCAAATTGTTGAGTTTCTGCCATGGGCTGAGGACTCTTCTAGGTACTAGGAATATAGCAGTAAACAAATCAGACAAAATCTATTTCTAAATGAGTTTCCCTAAAGTGACAGACCTATATACGCTCCTGGTTTAGGGACATAGACTACCTGATAAAGATCTTTGTCTAAATAAAAATGTCAGTTCTATAATTTTGTCCATTAAAACTGAGTTCTATTGATGTACAGTATTCACAGAAAAGACTTGCATTTGACGGTTAACTACCTAGTCTTCCAAAAGTGAGAACTTTAAAAATATTAGTATAATAAATTGTTTTGTGATTTGTCATGATCCTTAAAGTCCCCAAGCATGTATCTTTTGTATTTACGCTATATGTTATTTTGTTATTTATATTAAATCCATTATAAAAATTATCCAGGAAAGTACAATATCTAATGTTAATAGTTAGTGCCTCACTCCTAAACTTGGGAATGCAGTTCATGGTTCTTCCTTTGTCATTTGACCCCATTCAAGTGTTAGATAGAATAAATTATCATAGATGACAATATGGACTTTGGGGAGGGAGGTTAAACTGGAAGTAATAATCAAATGAACATCTGTTTCTTTATTCTAAGTTCTAGGGTACATGTGCAGAATGCGCAGGTTTGTTAAGTAAACATGTGCTGCACCTATCAACCCATCGCCTAGGTATTAAGCCTGGCATGCATTAGCTCTTTTTCCTAATGCTCTCCCTGCTGCCCTCACCCGACAGGCCCCAGTGCGTGTTCCCCACCCTGTGTCCGTATGTTCTCATTGAAGTGAACATCTGTTTCAAAGTCACATATACACCTTTAACTTCAATAAAATTCATTGGTAGGATAGCAGCCAAGTTGTCAGTCCTGTAAGGTTATTCTTGTAAACAAGTTATAGAAGAAATTTATATGAAACAGGTGTGTTTCACAGGGAAATTGTTTGTTTTTCTGTCCCCAAAAGTTAAAAAAGTAGCAAATAGTACATTAAATTTAATTTGACAGCCATGCATTTTTTACTGGTTGGTTCTCTTTAGTTTACATTTTTAAAAATAACTCATGCCCCATTCACCCAGAGCTCAAAGTGGTCTGCAGGAGAAGCCAGTACAAAGAATCAGGATGGCATTTCTTGAAGTGGGTAAGGATCGTTATATTGCATGTCAGTACAAATCCCAGTAAAGATTTTAAGCTGGTTAGACCTTGCTGAGAGGTAATGGGGAGGGTCTACAATTTTGTATTCACCTTTCCCCAAGTGGGGCCCTGTTTCCAGCTTTCTTCTTTTACCTGAACTTGCTTCTTTGGCTACAGGGAGAACTTCGGGTGAAATGCATCCCTCCTGTGACTGGATTGGAGACACAAGAACAGAAACATCCTGATCTCTCTACTCTACTGTGCAGGCTTATGTACTCATAAAATGGCAGTTATGGACCTATCCTCCCCATGGGCTTTAACTAAACAGGACTCTGCCTGTTTCCATCTGAGAAATGCTGAAGAGGAAAGGATGATTGCTGTATTTCTGACAACCTGGTTACAGGAACCAATGACTTTCAAAGATGTAGCTGTGGAGTTCACTCAGGAGGAGTGGATGATGCTGGATTCTGCTCAAAGAAGTCTGTACAGAGATGTGATGTTGGAAAACTATAGAAATCTCACCTCCGTGGAATATCAGTTGTACAGGCTTACTGTGATCTCCCCATTGGATCAAGAAGAGATAAGGAATATGAAAAAGAGAATTCCCCAAGCCATCTGTCCAGACCAGAAGATTCAACCTAAAACCAAAGAATCAACTGTGCAGAAAATTTTGTGGGAGGAACCATCCAATGCAGTGAAAATGATAAAACTCACAATGCATAATTGGTCCTCCACATTAAGAGAAGACTGGGAATGCCATAAGATCAGAAAACAGCATAAGATTCCAGGGGGACATTGGAGGCAAATGATATATGCCCCAAAGAAAACAGTACCTCAGGAGCTATTCCGTGACTATCATGAATTAGAGGAAAACTCTAAACTTGGATCAAAACTTATTTTTTCACAGAGCATTTTCACCAGTAAACATTGCCAAAAATGTTACTCAGAGATTGGATGTTTGAAACACAATTCAATCATAAACAATTATGTGAAAAACTCTATAAGTGAGAAGCTCTATGAAAGTCATGAATGTGATACAACTCTATGGCATTTTCAGAGAAATCAAACAGTACAAAAAGAGTACACATATTCTAAACATGGAATGCACTTCACACATAATATGTTTCCTGTACCTAACAATTTGCATATGGCACAGAATGCCTGTGAATGTAATAAAGATGAAACGCTGTGTCATCAATCATCCCTTAAGAAACAAGGACAAACTCATACTGAAAAGAAACATGAATGCAATCAATGTGGAAAAGCCTTCAAAAGGATTTCTAATCTTACTTTATACAAGAAAAGTCACATGGGTGAGAAACAATATGAATGTAAAGAATGTGGTAAAGTGTTCAATGATTCCTCAACCTTAAGGAGACATGTAAGAACTCACACTGGAGAGAAACCCTATGAATGTAATCAATGTGGAAAAGCTTTCAGTCAAAAAACATCCCTTAAGGCTCACATGAGAACTCACACTGGAGAGAAACCTTATGAATGTAATCAGTGTGGAAAATCCTTTGGCACAAGCTCTTACCTTATAGTGCACAAGAGAATACACACTGGAGAAAAACTCTATGAATGCAGTGAGTGTGGAAAAGCCTTCAACACGAGCTCTCACCTTAAAGTTCATAAGAAAATTCATACCGGAGAGAATGTTTATGAATGCAGTGACTGTGGGAAAGTTTTCAGTGGGGTCTCATCCCTTAGAATGCATATAAGAACTCACACTGGAGAGAAACCCTATGAATGTAAGGAATGTAGGAAAGCCTTCAGTGTTTCCTCTTCCCTTAGGAGGCATGTGAGAATTCACACTGGAGAGAAACCCTATGAATGTATTCAATGTGGAAAAGCCTTCAGTCAGAGCTCTTCACTTATTATACACAAGAGAATTCATACTGAGAGAGAAACCCTGTAAGTGTTATGAATGTGGAATTGCTGTTTTCATTGTCTTAAGGTGGATTCCAAGCTCCTTGTCTCAGTCTTTGTTCTCTAAAAGAACGATTTAAGGTTACAAATGGCTCTTTTTTTAATATAACATTTTCTGTAAATACTAATTATGACTTTTTTTGATCCATGGCTGTTTAGAATTAGGTATTTTTAATATGTGAGGTAGGTATATTTTCAGTTATCTTTTTATTGTTGGTTTCTAGGTTAATTCCATTGTGTTCAGAGAATCTGGACTATATTTTACTGCTTTGTTGGTGTTTTTATAAAAGTTGTTTTCTGGCCCAGTGAGACTGGTATTGCTAGCAGCCAACCAAACATTTGAGCTCATCTTTCCTTACTAATGAATTCCATCTTAGCCAAGAACAATAAGGTCTCTGGTTATAGAACGCTTCTTTGACTTCTTGTAGCTAAGGGTAGCCATATCATTCATTCTTGCTGATTCAAAAATAGACATATCACTGGGATCAGAACTATCTATCTTGTCCTCTACTTTTTGCACTTCATCTTTGTCCCTATGAATTGGCCATTCCTGAAGCTGCTGAAAGAGCTATCTTGTGATCATGAAAATGACAGCTGTAGCCAAGGGATGAAGTAGAAGAAAGAGATCCCTGTTCCTCAAAGAAATCTTTAAATAGTTGTACCAGCCCTGCACTACTTGTATCTGGATATGTTCCTACATGAGAAAAATAAGGTTTTTTGTTTGTTTTTTGAGATGGAGTCTCGGTATGTTGCCCAGGCTGGAGTGCAGTGGCACAATCTCAGCTCACTGCAACCTCCACCTCCCAGGTTCAGGTGATTCTCCTGCCTCAGCCTCCTGAGTAGCTGGGATTACAGGCACCACCGCCATGCCTGGCTAATTTTAGTATTTTTAATAGAGACGGGGTTTCACCATGTTGGCCAGGTTGGTCTCAAACTCCTGACCTCAGGTGATCCACCCACCTAGGCGTCCCAAAGTGTTGGCATTACAGGCGTGAGCCACTGTGCCCGGCCAAGAAAAATATGTTAATTGATTTTTTCTTTTTTTTTTTCAATTTTTCAGACAGAGTCTCTGTCTCTCAGGCTAGAATGCAGTGGTGTGGTCATGGCTCATTGCAACCTCGACCTCCTGGGCTCAGGTGATCCACCACAGTCTCCTCAGTAGTTGGGATCACAAATGCATGCCACCATGCCTGGCTAATTTTAAAAATATATATTTTGTAGAGACAGGCTCTTCCTACATTGCTCAGACTGGTCTGAAACTCCTGGGCTCAAGCAGTCCTCCTGCCTTTGCCTCCCAAAGTGCTAGGATTCCAGGCATGAGTTACCATGCCTGGCTCTTACTGATTTTTTTTAAAGCACTACATAAATACAGTCAACGCAGTCACCATATTGTAGAAAAACAGAAGTATATACAGTTAAATGTTTTATGTTGGATGTACACATTTGAAGAGGAACATAGAAAAAAAGTATGGAAAAGGAATGTTGACCGAGCTTTTATGCTTAAGCAGCAGATGAAGATAGAACCAAGATCACTGAAAGCAAGTGTTTAGAACAGCAAAAAGAGTATCCCAACATTTCAGCATTGGAACTACAGAAAGTTTTCAGACAGAGGGGAAGTTACCAATTTTAAATGCTAAGTAAAGCATGAGATTTTGCTGCTTGATCTTGCAGATACTGACCAGATTAGTTCTAACAAAATATGGAAGGAGTGGCATACGGTGGAAGAAAGAAGGCAGTAGCTGCTGTTGTAGTTATTCATGTTAGCCTCAGAGGATGGTGAGACATCCAGATGAAGAGGTTGGTACGCAATTCTAGAATTGAGGAGGTGTCTAGATAGAGATATAAATTGTAGTGACATCAGTAAAGAGACAATAACAGGCTTTGGAAGGTGAGTAAGAATGAAAAGGGAAGGTCTGCCACCTACCCTGAAGACATACATTTAAAGGAACTATAGTAGAGAGATAAGAGGAAAACAAGAAGAGTGGAGTTTCACTGAACCAAGACAAACAAGTTTCAAAAAGGAAGGTGAAGTTGGCCAGGTGTGGTGGTTCACGCCTGTAATCCTGGCACTTTGAGAGGCTGAGGCAGGCGGATCACAAGGTCAGATCGAGACCATCCTGGCCAACATGGTGAAACCCTGGTTCTACTAAAATACAAAAATTAGCCGGGTGTGGTGGCACATGCCTGTAGTCCCAGCTACTCAGGAGCTGAGGCAGAAGAATCACTTGAACCTGGGAGGCAGAGGTTGCAGTGAGATGAGATCTCACCACTGCACTCCAGCCTGGTGACAGAGCAGGACTTCATCTCAAAAAAAAAAAAAAAAAAAGGAAGGTGAAGGTAAATGTTTTTAGTGTTACTTAGGGATCCAATTAGATGAAGTCTAAAAAGGTAAACATATACAGCCAAGTGAAGATCATTTGTGATTGTAGTTGGAAATAACATAGTGGTACATAATGAAGATGGTTGCTAGATTGGGCTGACTTTAGGAATCAATAAAGGGCAAAGAAGTAAAGACTGGATGTAGACAAGTTTGAATAATAGGAGAAAGGGTAGTAGCTGGAGAGATTTGGAGTAAAGAGATAATATGTTTAAAATATGAAAAACTAGAACATGTTTGAATTCTAATGTGATGAATGTAGTATGGTGAGGTTTAATATGCAGCATAATAAAGTTTAATATAAGCTTCTGAGAATGGGGTGTAGATGTTTAGAGCACAAACAAAAGTATTGGTGTTTGCCATGAGGCGGAGGGATACTCCCACCATTCTTTCAGGAGTAGAAAAATGGGTGGGTTGGTTTAAATTACTTGTTTATTTATTTACACCTAACTGTACTAAGCAGTGATCAGAATATGTGAACTATATAATGTTTTGTGTTTCCTAAGAACTGTGTGGCAGCCACTGCTAATTACTAACCAAATATATATATTTTTTATTCTTTATGAATAGATCTTCAGTTTTGCTAACAGTAGTATTGTATTTAGCTACAAAACTACTTATCCCAACCTCTTTGTAGCCTTGATGCCATTTCTACTGTTCCTGGCCAGTAAAATATAGATATATGATTATAGGTTTCATGGTAAGATTATCTGCTAAGAGGAAGGTGGATGAAATTCTGCAAGGAGGTTTTAGTGAAGAAGATCTCTATGTATTTGAAAGTCCTTCCAAGTTATCAATAGAGCCATCAGTGGAGAAGACAGCAAAGCAAGTAGCAAAGTCTATGTGATTGAGGAGAGGTCATTTAAATAAAAGATAGCAAGGAAGAGAGGGAGAAAGTGGTATAACTAGATGGTATGAACTTCAAAGGAAGGAGTGGTTTTCTCCAGGCTGCAATGGTTAGAAGCAGTGTTAGGGAGTAAGGAAGATACTGATCCCACTTCCAACCTGTGGATATGTGGAATACATGAGAATAAGCCCCCTTGTGATGTGATTGTTGTCAGGTAGGTGTTTTTTCCTTCCCAGGGAACAGCCAAGTTTAAATTAATGAAAGGAAATGTTCAGGGAAATAGTTGAGGATATTAAGGGAGTTTATTAAGGGAATCTCAGAGGGCACCATGAAAGAGTCTCCAGAAGGGCAGGGGTTTAGGGTTTCTGGCTTTGGCCTGAGGAATACAGAAGATTGTAATGACATTATTGATAGAGGAAAAAAGACCAGATCAGGGGCTATGACCAGTGAAAACAAAATTTAGAGGGAGTATAGGTTAAATCCCAGCAGTCTGTAAGAAGATGATGGGTATTTAGGTCTACTGGGATTCATTTGTAGCTTGGAAAGGAGAGCCTGCAGTCATGCTGTGAAACCAAGTGGTTTCAGGTGTTAGCAGCCCTGGTGGGTATAGCACTAGCCATCAGTAGTTAGAAAATGGTCCCAACTGGCCGGGTGCAGTGGCTCACGCTTCTAATCCCAGCACTTTGGGAGGCCGAGGCAGGCGGATCACGAGGTCAGGAGATTGAGACCATCCTGGCTAACATGATGAAACCTCGTCTCTACTAAAAATACAAAAAATTAGCCAAGTGTGGTGGTGGGCGCCTGTAGTACCAGCTACTCGGGAGGCTGAGGCAGGAGAATGCTGTGAACCCGGGAGGCAGAGGTTGTGGTAAGCCGAGATCGCACCACTGCATTCCGGCCTAGGTGACAGAGCAAGACTCCGTCTCAAGAAAATCGTCCCAACTGCATGTGGTCCTTGGGTGAGATCATCTTAAGGAGTACTCAGCAAGGGATTGTACTTTGCTTGGTTAGGACTGGAATTTACACTCTAATTTTGGCCCAGTGATCTTGGAACAGATTGAGCATCTCAAATCTGAAAATCTGAAATTCAGAATGCTCCAAAACCTGAAACCTTGTGCGCCGATGTGACTTTCAAAAGAAATGCTCATTGGAGCATTTAAAATTTTGGATTTTCAGATTTGTGATGCTCAACTAGTAGGTATAATGCAAATATTCCAAAATCCAAAACAGTTCTGGTCCCAAGTGTTTTGAATAAGGAATACTCATCCTGTACACCAGGAGGTAGACTCAGGCACAGTCTCGCCCAGCATCTCACCTGGATTTTATTGCAATAGCCTCCTAACTGGTTTCTCTGACTTGAATCATACTTTCCTTTAGTATGTTTTCTATGCAGCTGCCATGGTATCCTATTAAAAAACAAAACAAAACAAAACAAAAACTTTGTGGTTTTTAATAATAAAACTAATACATGCATAGGAGAAAACAATGTAAATAACTTCTGCCCTACACAGAAGGAAACCCTGGATTCTACTGCCTTAAAAAATTAATATCGTAGGTGAATGTGCATTCTGTCAGACTTTATGTACATACAAACATTTTATAAAAATTGAGTTATACCTTTTATCCCACATCTTTTTTTTTTTTTTTTTTTTTTTTTTGAGAAGGAGTTTTGCTTTTTCCCAGGCTGGAGTGCAGTGGCACGTTCTCGGCTCACAGCAACCTCTGCCTCCTGGGTTCAAGCAATTCTCCTGCCTCAGCCTCCCAAGTAGCTGGGATTACAGGCATGTGCCACCACTCCTGGCTAATTTTGTATTTTTAGTAGAGACAGGGTTTCTCCATGTTGGTCAGGCTGGTCTCAAACTCCTAACCTCAGGTGATCCGCCTGCCTCAGCCTCCCAAATTGTTGGGATTGTGAGGCCATCGCCCCCAGCCTATCCAACATCTTTTTAAACATCTTTCCATGTCAGTGCATGTAGTTCTATTTCATTTGTAATAGCTGCTTAGTATTTGATTATATGCTTGTACCATAATGTATTTGATCCATTTGCCTCCAGAGTTTTTATAACAATACTGCAATCAATAATATTGTTTATATATTGTGCTTTCCTATCAACTGTTCTCTACACTTCCCAGGGTGATCCATCTAAAGTACTAACCTGATCACATAACATTTCACGTTTAATCTTCTTCTGGCCTTTTTCTCCAGTTAAGATAAAATCTTTTTACAAGACCTTGCTCAAACTCTTGCCTTTTCAGGCCTTATCTCTGGTTATTCCCTTTATCTTCACTGTCTCCCTAATTTAACCTGTCCTATTTATCCTTTAGGTATTGTGTCCTTCATCTGCTTTAACAATACTTGTCACACTTTCACACTGTATTGCCTGTTTGTGTATTGTGCCCTCTACACTGTAAGTTTTGGTAAGGTGGGAACTTTGTCTAAATTTTTCATTGTTTTATTACTTGGCCCAGTGTAGGTGTTCAGTTAAATATTTACGGTTCTTCAGCAAATTTTGTGCCTTTTCTTTTACTTACCATTCTAGTGGAAGTTTAACTTAAAAGCTATTTAAGTGATTGTAAGGTAAAAGTTGCAAGGAGGTGGGTGCAATGGCCTGTGCCTGTAGTCCTATCTGCTCTGGAGGCTGACGTGGGAGGATTGCTTGAGCCCAGGAGTTTGAGACCAGCCTGAGTAACATGAGACTCCATTATAGTAAAAATGCATGGAATTAATTTTTCTTCTAGGTATAGGAAAATGTTGCACCATAACAGGTGTGCAGAAACTAAGACTGTTAGGACAACAGCAGTTTAATGTTATTTATATTATGTCCCTCTCCTAGTCCTTCTCCTCTCTTCCCTCATCCCACTCACCACCACCCCATTCACTACACAGACTTATTTTTTGTAGAGCAAGTGTTCATATTCTGTTCCATTATGTATTATAATATGAAAAGGGATGAGTTGACCAAGTATTGGTGGGTGTGTCGTATACTTGCTTTAGACTACCAATGGAAGCGTAAATTAGTACAAACTTACTGGGTGGGTGTGGTGGCTCACATCTGTAATCCCAGCACTTTGAGAGGCTGAGGTGAGTAGATTGCTTGAGCCCAGGAGTTTGAAACCAGCCTAGGCAACATGGCAAAACCCCATCTCTACCAAAAAAAAAAAATTACCCATGGTGTCATGAATCTGTGGTCCCAGCCACTAGGGATGCTGGGGTAGGAGGATCACTTGAGCTGCAGTGGGGTTGAGTCTGCAGTGAGCTGTGTGCACCACTGCACTCCAGCCTGGGTGACAGAGTAAGACCCTGTCTAAAAACAAAAACAAACCAAAAAAAACTTGGGACAGTAAAGCAATAAATGTCCAAAGCTGGAATATTTATAACCTTTAAATATTTAAAACCCAGCAATTTTAAACTGAGATTTTATAAAAGGATTTTTCATGTATAAGTAACAATATTCACCTGTTTCATGCCCTAGTGAAAAACTGGAAAATTCCTAAATTCCCAGTAACAGTCAATAAAATGGAATATAATGCAGTCATTAAAATGTATTTGTGTGGATTGACATGTGGAGATATATTTGATACATTATGAATTTTAAACAGTCACAAAATATGGTATGACTTTTTAATGCATGTTATAAATATGTGTGTGTGCATTGAAAATATGGAAAGACATAACACCAAAGTTTTATCAATGGTTATGTCATAATTTTTTTCTTTTGTCTTTTTTTAAGATGTCTAGTTTAGTGAACAGAGCTGTGGTCTATTTCTTAAAAATAATTCTATCATTAACTTTTTAATAAATACTTTTTAAAGCATGATTTTAATATCTTCAAAGTTGTAAAGTAAATAATTTGCTTAGGCTGTTGTTGGACACATAGATTCTTTTCATTTTTTTAAATACCAGATTAAAAAAATTGAAAAATATATTTTTTTATATTTTATAAATATATTTTTAATAAATAAATATAAATATATATATATATATTTTTTGAGACAGAGTCTTGCTCTGTCGCCCAGGCTGTAGTGCAGTGGCACGATCTCTGCTCACCGCAAGCTCCACCTCCTGGGTTCATGCCATTCTCCTGCCTCAGCCTCCCGAGTAGCTGGGACTACAGGCGCACGCCACCATGCCCAGCTAATTTTTTGTATTTTTAGTAGAGACAGGGTTTCACCGTATTAGCCAGGATGGTCTCGATCTCCTGACCTCGTGATCTGCCCGTCTCGGCCTCCCAAAGTGCTGGGGAAAATATATTTTTTAACTTACCATTTCTATCTCCTACTTTTTAAAGGCAAACTTTTTGAAAGTGTTGATAAAGGGTGTGGATACTTTTTAGACTTCCTCTTACTCTAGGCAGAATTCAAAATATGAAGGATACAAATAAGTTTCTCTGATAAGAACAGGGAATTGTGTTAGAAAAAGCAGTCAGGGCTAGGCGCAGTGGCGCACGCCTGTAATCCCAGTGTTTTCGGGAGGCAGAGGTGGGTGGATTGCCTGAGCTCAAGAGTTCAAGACCAGCCTGGGCAACATGGTGAAACCCCATGTCTACTAAAAATACAAAAACTAGCTGGGCGTGGTGGCACACACCTGTAGTCCCAGCTACTGGGAGGCTGAGGCAGGAGAATCACTTGAACCCAGGAGGCGGAGGTTGCAGTGAGCCAAGATAGTGCCACTGCACTCCAGCCTGGGTGACAGAGCAAGACTGTGTCTCAAAAAAAAAAAAGAAGGTCTCCATGAGAAAATAACATTTAACTTGAAATACGAAGTTAAAGAAGGAGTAGGGAGCTCCTTCTTCTGGCTCCATGGGCAGAGGGTGGAGGGACAGAGGAAGAGCTTTCTAAATAGAACAGCAAGAGCAAAAAGACTCATCAGGATTTGACATATTTGTGGAACAGAAAGTAAGTCCAGTAAATGGAAAACTGTTAGGCAAAGGGGTAAGGAGAAGAGTATGTGAAACCAGATTGAAAGGAGGCAGGGGCCAGATAAAGACCTTGCTAGCTATGACATGAGTTTATACTTTATTTGAAGAGTTATGAGGAACTATTTAAGTTTTTCAGAGATTGAAATTATTTGTTTTAAAAAGATCACATTTTTGTATAAAAAAATCTTGAGAGACTAGGAAGCTATTTGCAATAGTTCATGTATGAAATTTGAATGCCAAAAACTAATTTCCTTAGCATTCACTTTTTTATTTATTTTTCTTTATTTTTTAATTTTCTGTAAGTTACTGGGTTTCCTTTTTAATTTTTCCATAAGTTGCATTCACTTTTTAAAAGACAATGAGATTTGTTTTAGCATAAACAGGAAATTCATGGCTAATACATGTCATGACTTAAATTCACCTCTAACTTAAGAAATGCATGTCAAATACATAAAATTATATTTTCTACCTATGAGCACAGTTTCATGGGAGTTTTGATTTTTCTAAAATATTTTTTGATGCAATATCCATTTTTTTCCATGCAATTTTGTCCTTTGTGATATTGAGGGTGTTCATGATGCAGAATTTATTTTAAAAAATTATTTCTGTAATATTTATTTCTCCCTTTTTTTGAGACAGTGTCTCACTCTTGCCCAGACTGGAGTGTAGTGGCACAATCTCAGCTCACTGCCACCTCAACCTTCTGGGCTCATGTGATCCTCCTACCTCAGCCTCCTCAGTTGTGGGGACCACAGGCATGTGCTATTACACCTGGATAATTTTTTTATTTGTATTTTTTGTAGAAATGGGGTCTCACTGCATTGCCCAGGCTGGTATCAAACTCCTGGGCTCAAGCAATCTTTCTGCCTTGGCCTCCCAAAGTGCTGGGTTACATAATTTATTTTTTTTTGTTTTGTTTCCTTAAAAGAATTGTTAACATACCAGATAATTTTTTACACTTTTTGCCACTTTTTCTATGTCCTGCCTTTTAAAGGCAGACTTTTTGAATGAGTTGCTAAGGACTCAGACTCTTTCTTCCAAATCAATCATACCCAATAGGCAGGTTTTGCTACCTCTCTTTGCTCTGAAATTTCTTGGATCTCTTCAGAGGGATTTAACAAATTTCCTGTCCTTTTTCTCTTTTCTTTTTCTTTTGTTGGTTTTGTTTTGTTTTGTTGAGATGGAATCTTGCTTTGTCGCCCAGGCTGGAATACAGTAGCGTGATCTCGGCTCACTGCAACCTCCACCTCCTGGGTTCAAGTGATTCTCCATGCCTCAGCCTCCATGAGTAGCTTGGATTACAGGCATGCACCGCCACACCCAACTAATTTTTTGTATTTTTAGTAGCAATGGGGTTTCACCATGTTGGCCAGGCTGATTTTAAACTCTTGACCTCAAGTGATCTGCCTGCCTCAGCCTCCCATGCTGGGATCATGCTGGGATTACAGGCACAAGTCACTTAGCCCCCTGCCTTACATACATTGATGTATGATAGAAAATTCTTTTGGGCACATCACAGCAACAAAAGTTAACCCAGCTTTACCTATTTGTGAGTATCTTAAGTCTCCCAAAGCATTTGATTGTTGCTTTCCAAGAAAATACAGAATTGTGGTCATTCTCCCATGACTATTCTTTACTAATATTGATTGCATCTGTTGTTCTGTCGCCTTTCTGCATTCATAGTAACTTCTTTTTCCAATGCTGAAGATTAGTTTTAATAACCTTTTGGGAGACTTCTTTTAAAAAACTTTTTTTTCCTGAAGAATAATACATAAAGGCATGCAGCTTTATGAATTTCCCCAAATAGAACACACTTAACCAGTCCCCAGATCATGAGAGCCAAATTAATACTTTTACTACTTTTGCAATATTCCTAGACTCATCTTTTAAACGTCTCCCTCCTTTCTTGTGCTATTGTCGTGCTATTTACTTCGGTGTATTTTATAATCCACCAGATATTGTTATGAAAGTAAATATTTATATCAGAGTTGACAAACTTTGTCTGAAGGTCCTGAGAGTAAATAAATATTCTAGGTTTTCTTTTTTTTTGAGACGGAGTCTCGCTCTGTCACCCAGGCTGGAGTACAGTGGCGCAATCTCAGCTCACTGCAAGCTCCGCCTCCCAGGTTCACGCCATTCTTCTGCTTCAGCCTCTCAAGCAGCTGGGACTACAGGCGTCTGCCACCACGCCCGGCCAATATTCTAGGTTTTGCAGGCCATATATGGTAACTGTTGCATATTCTTATTTTTCTAAGCAGCTTTTTAAAGATGTTAAAATCATTCTTAGCTCAAAGGCCTTGATTTGGTCCATAGACCATAATTTCCCAACACCTGACTTGTATTTATCAACATATTTACCCCTCCAGTGTTATTTATTTCTGCATTTCCAAGTTTCTAAGATCATTTCATACTGCCTGAAAAATTATTTCTTTTAGCATAAGAATGCTACCGTAAATTTCCTCTATTTTTATTCTGAAACATCTTTATTTCTGAAGGATATTTTAGCTCAGTATGAAAAGAGGTTAGCAGTTTTTCACAGTGTACATATGAGCCCCCCGTCCCCCACTGCAATAGTTTTTCTTAAAGGGACCTGCCTCTCCCTTAGTTGAGAATATTTAAGTGAACTTGAGAATATTTAAGTGAACTGGCTTCAACCATATGTCAAGTAGTATGTTTGTGGGCTATCAATTTATTTCTAGGAACCCTATGATCATTTAGCCATTGCCACCTATATGGTTAAAATTCTCATTAACAGTGCATCCCTTGGACTCTTGTGCAGATTTTACCCAACCCCTCCCATGCCAAGATCCTATGATCTCTACTGAAATTGGGATCTTACTTTCATTATAGAAGTTCTGCATCATCTACAGTCTAGAGAGGGTGGGTACCACAGAGTTGTCCAAGGATGGTGGTAAACTCCTCACCAATGTATTTCTTAATACCCTGACGGGAATGTCTTTTGGCCTTTCTCTGGCTAAGGGAAAAAATGAACATAATAATTCATTGATAGTTACATCTCCCTCTAAAGCAGAGGTGTCCAATCTTTTGGCTTCCCTGGGCTACACCAGAAGAAGAATTTTCTTGAGCCACAATAACTGATAGCTATCATTAGTGTTCACGTATTTTATATGTGGCCCAAGACAATTCTTCCAATGTGGCCCAGGGATGCCAAAAGATTGGACACTGGATTCCATCCAGTATGACTTTTCAGATATCTAAGAAGATTTTGCTACACTTATTACAATGGTAGTTTTCCCACAGTGTAATTCTCTGATATAGGTTTGAAATATTGCAGAAATTCACTCTACATTCATTTATACAGTTGCTTTTTCTCCTACAAGAGTATTAAAATTTAAGTATTGCATTGTAATTGAAGGCATTCCCAAATCACTGTGTTTGTATCACTTTGGTTAATTGGAGATTGCTCCAAAGTAAACGTTCTCAATGTTGGCTGCACTCAACAAAAACTAGAGGGCAAAGATTTGATGTAGTCAGGGGTTGGCCAAGTTTTTCTGTAAAGGGCTAGATAGTAAATGTTTAACCTTTATGGCTGTATATTAAACTCTTCAGTTATAGAGGTAAGGAGCCATAGACTATGTAAATGAATACCTGGCCCATGGGCTGTAGCTTGATGACCTCTGATATAGTTCATGAGGTGCATCCCCACAGAGTAAACAGTAGGAAGGAAAGTGGATGTGGAGCAGATAATGGGAGAAATTGAGTATACTCTTAAATAAATAAATAATGAATTTTTCATATCCTAATTTTGCTGACAGGGTAACTTGATTTTTACCCTGATACAAACCATTCCTGCCTGAGAAAACCAAATCAGATACTAGATACCCATATGTAATAAGGCATGCTGCTTGAGGACACCAAATCAGATATTAAATACCCATATGTAATAAGGCATGCTGCTTGAGAAAATCAAATCAGATATTAGATACCCATACGTAGTAAGGCATGCTGCTTGTATTCGAGTCAGACTGTACACTATTGTAAGATAAATCAGCCTCTCTGAAACAACTCTTATGGAAACTTGAGAAGCTTCTAAATGTATGTACCAATATGGCATGCCAATGGCAGGTTTGAGGAAATACACTTCTGATAATGTATTTAGAACTCTAGTACATGTAAATAAGGTGTTTTTGGGCTAAAACTTTTATAAATTTCACCTCTTACAAAATTACTTATATTTATCTAATAACACCTCCTACAAATGTGCCCTCAATGCAGCCATTACATTAATGCTCACTAAATTCATTCCTATTCATATTCTCTACCTCTCTTTCTACAAAATAAAATTGCTTACCTTCCTGATTAAGGCAAACTAACCCTGATGGTGTGACCTTTGTCAGCTGGGCAGGTGGTAATGCCAGAACAGTTTTAAATACCTGCTTACAAAAGAACGGTTTTCACCGTACATGGAACAAAACAGGAAGAATACCTTGGTAATTTTCTGTGATGTATCTTATATTTGTTTCACACTGAATAACAAATGTCTATAGTCAGATTCAAGGATAACTGTCAGCATTACCTTAAATCCAAACTCTGTCTGAAAGTTAAAATCATAAAACACCTAAAAACACTTTGTTATGTTTGTATGTTTCAACAAGAAAAACTACTGTTTATTTTTTATGTCAATATTGTAGTTACATTTTCAGAATCACATGCTGTGGGAAAAAATCAGCAAGCAGAAGGTTTATAATAAACCAAAAGATTTATTTATAACATTTTCTGAATTCACTTAAAAAACAAAAAGGAATCCCCCTTCCCTCAAAATAGAACCGTTTCCTACAGATTCCATCCAGTATGACTTTTCAGATATCTAAGGAGATTTTGCTACACTTATTACAATGGTAGTTTTCCCACAGTGTAATTCTCTGATATAGGTTTGAAATATTGCAGAAAGTCACTCTACATTCATTTATACAGTTGCTTTTTCTCCTACAAGAGTATTAAAATGTAAGTATTGCATTGTAAATGAAGGCATTCCCAAATCACTGTGTTTGTATCACTTTGCTTAAATATGAATTTTCTGATCTCCAAAGTGCATCATCTTTGTAAAGCTCATCCCTTGTCCATGCTTTCTGTCCTGGTTGACAGATGCGGAATGAGGGCTAATCTCTGGCTTTCTCCAATCTATTGGATATGTATTCTTTCCTGGTAGGAATTTACACACGTAAAGTAAGGGACTCCTACCAAATGAAGTCTTCTCAACATTACCAGATGGAAGAATCTTCTCAACAATATTGATTTCACCTTGTTATTGCAAAAAAATAAAAGAGTGGTTATTAATGGCTTTTCCACATATTCCTGGGTTTTTTTTTCTCCAGGGTGGTGAATAAAGTGTGGGCCATATTACTTCACAGTCATCACTTTCACATAAGGCTTCTTTCCAAGAGTTCTCTGAAGTAAGGCATTATACTTCTTTTTAAAAAATTCCATACATTCATAGTTTTTCTTTGCAGTGTAAATTCACTGGTGTTCAGTAAGGAATGAGTGGTAATTAAATGAATTTTCATATTCATAGGGGTTGTCAAGAGTGTGTGTCCTCTGATGTTTAGCAAGGTTTGAGCTCCAGCTGAAGGATTTGTTGCATACCTTACATACATAGGGTTTCTCTCCAGTATGAGTTCTCTGATGTAGAATGAGGGAAAAGCTCCGGCTGAAGGCTTTATCACATTCAGCACACGCATAGGGTTTCTCTCCAGTGTGACTCTTCGTATGTTGAATAAGGGATGCATGCCAAGTGAAAACTTTACCACATTCATCACATTCATAGAGCTTTTCTCCAGCATGAATTCTCTGATGTTTAATAAGGAATGAGTGACAACGGAAAGCTTTCCTACATTCATTACATTCATACGGGGTTTTGGTTGTATGGATGCTCTGATGTCGAGTAAGGTGTGAGAAACGGCGAAATGCCTTCCCACATTCAATGCATTCATAAGGTTTCTCTCCAGTATGTGTAATCTGGTGGCGAATGAGTTCTGAGCCACTGCTAAATGCTTTACCACATTTCCTACATATATATTGTTTCTTTCCTATGTGAATTCTTTGATGTCGAGTGAGGTTGGAGGCACGGCTAAAGGCCTTTCCACACTCAGTACATTCATAAGGTTTCTCCCCAGTGTGCGTTCTCTGGTGTTCAATAAGAAATGAAAGGTAACTGAATGTTTTATTACAGTCCTTACACTCATGGGGTTTCTTTCCAGTATGTATCATTTGGTGTTTCACAAGGTTTGAAATCTGGCTAAAGGTTTTGCCACATTCCTTACATGCATATGGTTTCTCTCCAGTATGAGTCCTCTGGTGTAACACCAGGGAAAAGCGTCGACCAAAAGTTTTTCCACATTCATGGCATCCATAGGGCCTCTCCACAGTACTGATATTCATATGTTGAGCCAGGGCTTCTTGATGAGAGACTGTTACTTTCCTAATACATCCCTGATTTTCTTGCAGCATCTCAGTATGATCCTTGCATTTCCAGCCTCCTTTAAAACTGGAATACACAGGGCCTTGACTTAGAATTCTTTCCATGATCAAATACTGGGATGAGTCATCATAAATGACATTTTTTGGTGAAAAGTCTTTGATCTCACCACTTGACTCTGAAACTGAAAGATACCAAAAAAAAAGTGAATGTTTCTTTTTCCTGTATTGAATAAAATAAGGCCATTTCTCCCTTCTTTAGCAACAGAATGAAGTTTCAAAAAATCTTATCAATAGCAGCTTTCACAGCTGTGACTGAAATCTGAGTAGTATGCCCAGAACTTCAGAAAAGATCAAACAGAGATAGACATATAGGTAAATAAAGAGAAAGTGTAAACGTAAGTAATTGAAAGAGCAGGGAAAATAGAGCTATCAGGAAATATTTGTGAAGGATAGGTTGCTAGTCTTCTTCACCACCATTTAAACGGTATTTACTGCCAGAATTATCTAAAAATGGCAATTTCATAATGCTGCTACTAAACACTAAGTGTTCGTCAGATTGCACAAAGACATTAGATTCTGTTCACTTAGTGCCTCTGGAACATCTTATAATAATCTAAATGAAAAAAAAAGCGGTTTCTCTGAAAACTTGCCTATGATCCTCCAACTCTACCTTCTGAACTAGTATGAAGCTCATATTTGGTATAATTATGTCTTTTCTGGGACCTATTTGAGGGTGGAATGTGGGAGGAGGGTAAGGATTAAAAACCTGACTATTGGGCATTATGCTGATTACCTGGGTGACAAAATTATCTGCACACCAAACCCCCATGACACACAATTTGCTCATGTAACATGAGTAACCTTTAACCTAAAATGAAAGTTGGACAGAAAAATAAAGTGTCTTAATATCAAATGTGTTTGACAAATATAAGCCCTAATTTTCTCCATGCTGAATTTTAACGAGGGACTTCATCATTTTTAAATTGGAACAGAATTTTGAAATAATATGAAGTGTCTCCTTAAAAATACATTCATACTCTTGGCCGGGCGCAGTGGCTCACGCCTGTAATCTCAGCACTTTGGGAGGCCAAGGCGGGCAGATCATGAGGTCAGGAGATCGAGACCAGCCTGGCTAACACAGTGAAACCCCGTCTCTACTAAGAATACAAAAAATTAGCCAGGCGTGATGGCATGCACCTGTAGTCCCAGGTACTCAGGAGGCTGAGGCAGGAGAATCATTTGAACCTGGGAGGCAGAGGTTGCGGTGAACCGAGATTGCGCCACTGCACTCCAACCTGGGTGACAGAGCGAGAGTCTGTCTCAAAAAAAAAAAAAAATTGTATCTTTAGGAAATTCTTATTAGGAAATCTACACTTAAGTGTATAGAGGTAAAAGGCCATAATATATAGAACTTATTCTCAAATGTTTCAGAAGAAAAATCATATGCCAAATGATAAGGCAAATGTGTACAAGCAAAGGTGAATGTGAACATTCTTTGTACTATTCTTATAACTTTTACATAAGCTTAAAATTCCCAATAACATCTAAAAACGCATTTGTCATTTCAGTCAAACATACGTTGGCACTTTGGGAAAAATGTTATCTGTTATTGCTCTCACAGTAAGCTTTTAAGGAAAGGTAAATAGACTGTTTCTTTGATGAAATATTTAATTCATATCTCAATAATGGATCAAGATCTGTACCTATATGGTAGGTATACAAAATACATGAAAGATCAAGATGGGGAGGCAGTGAAACAGCTTTTAAAATAATTGTGTCAATGCAGATAAAACATTAAATTCCTTTCTTGCCTCTTCTTTAAACCAATTCTGTATCTACTGAGTACCTAAATAAGAACTCTGTAGATGTGAACTGAGTAATTCTTTTCAGGAACTGAGAATATAAATAGGGAAAGAGAACACAGAAGAAAATATTGATATAAGACACAAGAGCAAGTTCATTATACTTAGGGTAAAAATTGTATAAAAGACCAGAGATAAGATTTAAAAATCCACTCCAATAAATAAAGGCTTCATCTAGAAATGCTTCAAGGAAACTTACTGGGAACTGAAATATACCAAGTGAACCTGGACATTAAAAAAAAATAGAAAGCTGTTGGGGCCGGGTGTGGTGGCTCATGCCTGTAATCCAACTTTGGGAGGCTGAGGCTGGAGGATCACTTGAGTCCTAGAGTTTGAGACCAGCCTAAACAACATAGTGACAAAGTGAGACCCCTGTCTTTACCCAAAAAAAAAAAAAAAAATTAAAACTTAGGCACGGTACTGTGCATCTGTACTTCTAGCTACTTGACAGAGTGACCTGGAAGGACTGCTTGAACCCAGGAATTCAGGCAACAGAATGTCACCCTGTCTTAAAACAAAGGGGGTGTTGGACAGGTAAGATGTTATTGTTAGATATGAAGAATAAGCTCAGGTGTTCTCTTGCATGGTAAGGTGATTATAGCTAATAATAATGTATCTTTCAAAATAGAAGAGAGAAGTTTTGAATGCTCTTATCACATAGAAATGATACACATTTGAAATGATACACATTTGAGATAATGGATTTGCTAATTAATTTTATATGATCATTATACAATGTATACATGTATTGAAACATCACATTGTACTTCATAAACGTACAGTCATTGTGTCAATTAAAAAGAAGAAAAAATGGGGTTAATTGCACAGATTTAGTGTATTTGCCATATTTCTCACAACAATGAGAGTAAAAAACACAATCAAAACAATGTTCGAGATATAAAAATAGAATGCTAATTACATAGCCCTTCACACACTTCCCTTCCTCAATCACCTCACCTCTTCCCATCTCCTACTATACCTCCATACTCTTTTTAGTAGATGCCAAATGGATTTGAGGAAACTCAGTACTTATTAAAAGCCTATAGATAGAAGGTTTCTTTTTTCTTTTTTTTTTTTTTAAGAAACGGAGTCTCGCTCTGTCACCCAGGCTGGGGTCCAGTGGCACGATCTTGGCTCACTGCAACCGCCGCCTCCCAGGTTTGAGCAATTCTCCTGCCTCAGCCTCCCGAGTAGCTGGGACTACAGGCACACGCTGCCACGCCTGGCTAATGGTTTATTTTATTTATTTATTTACTTATGTATCTTAGTAGAGATGGGGTTTCACTGTGTTGCCCAGGATGGTCTCAAACTCCTGAGCTCAGGCAATCTGCCCACCTCGGCCTCCCAAAGTGCTAGGATTACAGACATGAGCCACCAAGGTTTCATTCTTGATGTAATAAAGGATTCCTTTGATAAACCAGCAACTAATATACTCCAAGGAAATTTTTTAGATGTATTCACTCTTTTCTTGGGAAAACAGCCTAATACCTTCTATCACCAATGTTATTTAAGATCAATACAGGAAGAAGGAAATTATGGAAAATTATGACAGGGAGACTTGCAGTTTCCAGTCTGACTTACAAGGATCTTAGAAGTCACTACTCTGTCCTAAAAACAAGTGAAAAGTTGAACAAACTAAACTCCAGCCCCTTCTAGCCATCCTATCCCACATAAGGTGGAAAAAAAATTAAGAACTAATTAAGTTCTTAGTCCAGAAGCACAGGCTTACCATGATTTTAAGATTACAAAATGCTTCTCTTCCCTCAACACCTTACCACTACATTACAAAAGGCAGTTCCTTTTACTCAGTACATCATGTCCACCCTTCAATGTAAAATTATGAGGTATACTAAATGGCAAAAAAAAAAAAGTTTGAACAGACTGAACAAGCATCAGAATCTGAGACAGATACGGTAGGAATGTTGGAATTATCAGTCCAGGAACTTAAGAAACTATGATTAATATGCTAACAGTTTTACTGGGAAAAAGTATACAAGATGCAAGATGAGATGGATAATGTAAGGAGATAAATGAAAATTTTAAGAAAGAATCAAAAGGAAATACTAGAAATAAAAATTCCTGTAATGGGCCAGGTGCAGTGGCTCACGCCTGTAATCCCAGCACTTTGGGAGGTGGAGGCTGGCAGATCACAAGGTCAGGAGATCAAGACCATCCTGGCTAACACAGTGAAACCCGTCTCTACTAAAAATACAAAAAATTAGCCGGGCGTGGTAGCGACTGCCTGTAGTCCCAGCTACTCGGGAGGCTGAGGCAGGAGAATGGCGTGAACCCGGGAGGTGGAGCTTGCAGTAAGCTGAGATCGCGCCACTGCACTCCAGCCTGGGTGACAGAGCGAGACTCCATCTCAAAAGAATTCCTGTAATGAAAATAAAGAATGCCTTCAATGGGCTCATAAGTATTCTGTGTAGATATCTCAATAGAAACGTCCAAAACTGAAAAACAGATAAAATATTGAGGGAAAAAAAAGGAACAGATTATCCAAGAACTGTAGGACAACTACAAATGATGTAATATACGCATAACAGAAATACTAAAAAAGAAGGAAGAACAGAAGCAGTCTTTGAGGAAATAATGACGGAGAATTTCCCCAAATTAATGTCATAAACCAAACCACAGATGGAGGAAACACAGAGAACACCAAGCAAGGTAAGTGCCCTCTCGCCCCTCACAAAAACCCCTACAATTAGGTATATTATATTCCAATTTCAGAAAATCAAATACAAAGAAAAAAGAAGTCAAAGGAAAAAAACCTTACCTATAAAGGAACAAGGCTGGGAATTACAGTAGTCCTCTCCTCTGTAGTTTTTCACCACTTCAGTTACCTTTGTTCAATATTTAAAAGTATTAAATAGAAAATTCCAGAAATAATTCATGTTTAAACTGTACACCATTCTGAGTAGTGTGACGTCTCGCACCATCCTGCTCCACCCCACCCCGAATGTGAATTGTCCTGGCATATCTATGCTGCGAATGCTACCCACCTGTTAGTCACTTAGGAGCTGTCAGATCACCTGATGCAGTATCGTAGTGCTTGTGTTCAACTGACCCTTATTTTACTTAATCATGGCCCCAAAGCACAAGAATAGTGATGCTGACAATTCAGATATGCCAAAAAGAAGCTACAAAGTGCTTCCTTAATGGGAAAATGTGAAATTTCTTCTCCACTCAATAAGGAAAAACTCTCTCATATGCTGAGGTTGCTAAGATTACAGCAGAATGAGTCTTCTATTCATATGAAGAAGAAAAAAAGCAACTCAGCTAGTTTCGCTGTTGCACCTCAAACTGCTAAAGTTGCAACCACAAGTGCATAAGTGCTTAGTTAAGGTGTAAAAGGGCCAGGCAAGGTGGCTCATGCCTGTCATCCCAGAATTTTGGGAGGCCAAGACAAGGGGATTGCCTAAGTGCTTGAGGCCAGAAGTTTGCAACCAGCTGGGCAAGATATGGAGCACCCATCTCTAAAAAAATTTTTTTAAATTAGCCAAGTGTGGTGGTATGCACCTGTGGTCCCAGCTACTCAGGAGGTTGAGGTGAAAGGATCGCTTAAGCCCAGGAGCTCGAGGCTGCAGTGAGCTATGATAACACCACTGCACTCCAGCCTGGGTGACAAAGTAAGACCCTGCCAAAAAAAAAAAAAAAAAAAAAAAAAAACGGAAAAGGCATTAAATTTTTGGATGGAAGACATGAACAGAAACATACTCTAACCAATGGCAATGAGGTTCAATACTATCTGCATTTTCAGGCATCCATCGGAGGTTGTGGAAAATATCCCCTGAAGATAGGGGAGGATTACCGTACATCAGATCTTCTCAGAAACCAAGAAAAAGAACAAGGAGAGTGGAGTGAAATATTTGAAGTGCTGAGAGAAAAAAAAAAAACTCTCAAGCCCACAATTCTGTAGCCTGTGAGATTATCCTTCAAAAGTGAAGGAGAAATTACTCTCTTAGAAAAATAAAAGTTTTTTTAAGGAATTTGTTGCCAGTACACCTGCCCTGCAAGAAATGTTGAAAGAAGTTCTTCAGAGAGGTGGAAAATGATACAGGTCAGAAACTCAGACCTACATGAAGAAAGGAATAGCATTTAAGAAGAAATAAGTAAAAGTAAAATAAATATTTTATTTTTTTAAAAGACAGGGTCTTGCTTTATTGCCCAGGTTACAGAAGAGTGTTGGGATTATATTTCACTAGAGCCTCAAATTCCTGGGCTCAAGCACCTCCCACCCAAGCCTCCCAAAGTACTGAGATTCCAAGTGTGAGCCACTGCACCCAGCCTTAGTTTTCTTATTCTTAATTAACCTCACAGATAACAGCTTGTTCAAAATAATAACAATGTATTGGCCGGGCACAGTGGCTCATGCCTGTAATCCCAGCACTTTGGAAGGCTAAGGCCGGCAGATCACCTGAGGTCAGGAGTTTGAGACCAGCCTGGCCAACACGGTGAAACCCCGTCTCTACTAAAAATACAAAAATTAGCCGGACGTGGTGGTGTGCACCTGTAATCCCAGTTACCCAGGAAGGAAGCTGAGGCAGGACAATGTCTGGAACCCGGGAGGCAGAGGCTGCAGTGAGCCAAGATCATGCCATGGCACTCCAGCCTGGGTGACAGAGCAAGACTCCATCTCAAAAAATAAAATACAAGGCTGGGCACGTTGGCTCACGCCTGTAATCCCAGCACTTTGGGAGGCCGAGGCGGGCAGATCACAAGGTCTAGGAGTTGGAGACCAGCCTGGCCAATATGGTGACACCCCGTCTCTACTAAATATACAAAAATTAGCTGAGCGTGGTGGCTCGCGCCTGTAGTCCCAGCTACTTAGGAGGCTGAGGCAGAAGAATCGCTTAAACCCAGGAGGCGGATGAGCCAAGATAGTGCCACTGCACTCCAGCCTGGGTGACAGAGCAAGACTCTGTCTCAAAAATAAATAAATAAAATAAAATACAAAAAATTAGCCAGGCATGGTGGCACACACCTATAGTCCCAGCTACTCAGGAGGCTGATAGGAGAATCGCTTGGACCCGGGAGGCAGAGGTTGCAGTGAGCCAAGATCGTGCCACTGCACTCCAGCCTGGGCAACAGAGCGAGACTCTGTCTCAAAAAAATAATGATAATAACAATGTATTTTATGATTATAGCTTACATATAAGTGAAATGAATGACAACAGTGATACTAAGGACTGGAGGAAAAAATGAGAAATATTTTATTATAAGGTACTTGCACTACACATGAAGTGGCACAGTATTATTTGAAAGTAGGGTTGGATTATTTATAAATGTAGGCTGGGCATAGTGGCTCATGCCTGTAATCCTAGCACTTTGGGAGGCCAAGGCAGGTGGATTACTTAAGGTCAGGAGTTTGAGACCAGCCTGGCCAACATGGCAAAACCCTATCTCTACTAAAAATGCAGACCATTAGCCAGGCATGGTAGCACGCATGCCTGTAATCCCAGCTACTATGGAGGTTGAGGCAGGAGGATCTGTTGAACTCGGGAGGTGGAGGCTGCAGTGAGGAGAGATCATGCCACTGCATTCCAGCCTGGGTGACAGAACAAGACTCCATCTCAAAAAAAAGAATGTATATTGCAAACTTTAGGACAACCATGAGAAAAAGAAGTATAATCAATATGCTAAGAAAGAAGAGAAAATGAAATCATATAAAATGCTCAATAAAAAACACAAAAGGGGGCTGGGTGCGTAGGCTCACGCCTGTAATCCCAGCACTTTGGGAGGTCGAGGTGGGCAGATCACCTGAGGTCAGGAGTTAGAGACCAGCCTGGCCAACATGGTGAAATCCCGTCTCTACTAAAAATACAAAAATTAGCCAGGTGTGGTGGTGGGCACCTGTAATCTCAGCTACATAGGAGGCTGAGGCAGAATTGCTTGAACCCAGGAGGGGGAGGTCGCAGTGAGCCAAGATTGCGCCACTGCACTCCAGTCTGGGCTACAGAGTAAGACTTCATCTCAAAAACACACACACACACACACACACACACACACATGGTTAGATGTGGTGCCTCATGCATATAATCCCAGCACATTGGGAGACTGAGGCAAAAGGATCTCTTGAGCCCAAGAATTTGAGACAGCAGTGAGCTATGATTGTATCATTGCACTCTATCCTGGGAAATGGGGAGATCCTGTCTCTAAAGAAATAAGTAATTTTTTTTTTTTTTTTGAGACAGAGTCTCGCTCTGTTGCCCAGGCTGGAGTGCAGTGGTGTGATCTCGGCTCACTGCAACCTCCGCCTCCCGGGTTCACGCCATTCTCGTGCCTCAGCCTCCCGAGTAGCTGGGACTATAGGTGCCCACCACCACACCTGGCTAATATTTTGTACTTTTAGTAGAGACGAGGTTTCATCATGTTAGCCAGGATGGTCTCAATCTCCTGAACTCATGATCTGCCCACCTTGGCCTCCCATAGTGCCAGGATTACAGGCGTGAGCCACCACACCCAGCCAAAAATTAAATAAATTTTAAAAATGAAGGTCAACAGTCTAAATACACTAACTTAAGACATTGTCAGAGTGCATCACAAAACAAGACCCAACTATATGTTGTGTACAAGAAACCTAGTTTAAATATGAAGATGCATATAGATTTAGAATAAGTGAGTACAGAAAGGTATACCATACTAACACTTATCAAAAGAAAGAGACGTAGCTAAATTAATTTCAGACACAGCAGACTTCAGAGCAAGGTTAAAGAAGAGCATTGCATAATGATAAAGGAGTCAATACTCCAAGAAAGAAATCATAAAAATCCTTAGTGTGCATGTGCCTAACAACAAACCATCAAAATACATTAGGCAGAGCCTGATAAAACAGCAAGGAGAAACAGATGAATGCACTATTACACTTGGGGACTTCAACACCCCTCTTTCAGAACTGGACAGATCCAGCAGGCAGAAAATCGTTAAGAACACAGCTGAACTTAACAGCACCATCAATCAACTGATATCAGTAGACTACTTCATTCAACAGATTACACATTCATCTCCAATTCCCAAGACATTCACGAAGATAGACGCAATTCTTAGTCATAACACACATCTTAACAAATTTCAAAGAATAGAAATCATATAATATGTGCTGTCAGACCACAATGGAATGAAACCAGAAATCAGTAACAGAAAGATTAAAAGGAAAATCTCAAAACACATGGATATTGAACAACACACTTCTAAGTAACACAAACAAGAAATCTGAAACTTAAAAATATGTTGAACTAAATGAAAATGAAAATACAACTTATTTCAGTGGGATAATCAGTGGGATGCAGTGAAAGCAGTGCTTAAAGGAAAATTTATAGCATTGAATTAATATATTAGAAAAAATGTAAATTGTACGGAAAAGAGAGGGAGATCAGACTGTCACTGTACCTATGTAGAAAGGGAAGACATAAGAGACTCCATTTTGAAAAAGACCTGTACTTTAAACAATTGCTTTGCTGAGATGTTGTTAATTTGTAGCTTTCCCCAGCCACTTTGACCCAACCTGGAGCTCACAAAAACGTGTTGTATAAAATCAATGTTTAAGGGATCTAGGGCTGTGCAGGACGTGCCTTGTTAACAAAATGTTTACAAGCAGTATACTTGGTAAAAGTCATCGCCATTCTCTAGTCTCAATAAACCAGGGGCACATGCACTGCAGAAAGCCACAGGGACCTCTGCCCTTGGAAGCGGGGTATTGTCCAAGGTTTCTCCCCATGTGATAGTCTGAAATATGGCCTCGTGGGATGAGAAAGACCTGACCATCCCCCAGCCCGACACCCATAAAGGGTCTGTGCTGAGGTGGATTGGTAAAAGAGGAAAGCCTCTTGCAGTTGAGATAGAGGAAGGCCACTGTCTCCTGCCTGCCCCTGGGAACTGAATGTCTCGGTATAAAACCCGATTGTACATTTGTTCAATTCTGAGATAGTAGCAAAACCGCCCTATGGTGGGAGGCGAGATATGTTTGCAGTAATGCTGCCTTGTTATTCTTTACTCCGCTGAGATGTTTGGGTGGAGAGAAACATAAATCTGGATTACGTGCACATCCAGGCATAGTACCTTCCCTTAAACCTAATTATGACATAGATTCTTTTGCTCACATGTTTTTTGCTGACCTTCTCCTTATTATCACCCTGCTCTCCTACTACATTCCTTTTTGCTGAAATAATGAAAATAATAATAAAAACTGAGGGAACTCAGAGGCCGGTGCTGGTGCAGGTCCTTGGTATGCTGATGCCGGTCCCCTGGGCCCACTGTTGTTTCTCTATACTTTGTCTCTGTGTCTTCTTTCTTTTCTCAGTCTCTCATCCCACCCGACTAGAAATACCCACAGGTGTGGAGGGGCAGGCCACCCCTTCATCTGGCGCCCGATGTGGGGGCCTTTCTCTAGGGTGAAGGTATGCTAAGAACGTGAGCATTGAGGACAGCCGACGAGAGATTCCCAAGTACATCCACAGTCAGCCTTGCGGTAAGCTTGTGCGCTCGGAGGAATCCAGGGTAACAATGGGGCAAACTGCAAGTAAATATGCCTCTTATCTCAGCTTCATTAAAATTCTCTTAAGAAGAGGGGGAGTTAAAGCTTCTACAGAAAATCTAATTACGCTATTTCAAACAATAGAACAATTCTGCCCATGGTTTCCAGAACAGGGAACTTTAGATTTAAAAGATTGGGAAAAAATTGGCAAAGAATTAAAACAAGCAACTAGGGAAGGTAAAATCATCCCACGTGCAGTATGGAATGATTGGGCTATTATTAAAGCAACTTTAGAACCATTTCAAACAGAAGAAGTTAGAGTTTCAGTTTCTGATGCCCCTGAAAGCTGTGTAATAGATTGTGAAGAGGCAGAAACAGAGTTCAAGAAAGGAACAGAAAGTTCACATGGTAAAAATGTAGCAGAGCCAGTAATGGCTCGGTCAACGCAAAATGTTGACTACAATCAATTACAGGAGGTAATATATCCTGAAACATTAAAATTAAAAGGAAAAAGTCCAGAACCATCAGGGCTGTTGGGGTTAAAAGCACGATGGCCACCTCCTCCTCAGCCGAGTGAGTGCTGGGGGAGGGAGCCTGAAACTACGCTTGCTGCGACTTGGCTCGTGGCACTCATTATTGCCCAACCTGCAGTTCACTACGGTGAAGGAGCAATTCAGACTTGCCCTGCAGCTTCCTGTATGGGTCAAAGAGTGGCCGCTCTCTAAGGAAAAGTTGGGGGTGTTACATAAAATAGTTAAAAAACTATTTTAAATAGGATGTGTTCCACCCACTTTCTCTCTTTAGAATTCTCCTGTGTTTGTAATTCAGAAAAAATCAGGCAGATGGTGCATGCTAACTGATTTGAGAGCCATTAATGCAGCAATTCAACCCATGGGGCCTCTCCAACCTGGGCTGCCCTCTCCGGCCATGACCCCCAAAGATTGGCTTTTAATTATAATTGATTCAAAGGATTGCTTTTTTACCATTCCTGTGGCAAAACAGGATTTTGAAAAATTTGCTTTTACTATACCAGCCGTAAATAATAAAGAACCAGCCACCAGATTTCAGTGGAAAGTGTTGCCTCAGGGAATGCTTAATAGTCCAACTATTTGTCAGACTTTTGTAGCTCAAGTTCTTCAACCAATGAGAGACAAGTTTTCAGACTGTTGTATTATTCATTATGTTGATAATATTTTGTGTGCTCCAGAAACCAGAGACAAATTAATTGACTGTTACACATTTCTGCAGACAGAGGTTGCAAACGCAGGCCTGACAATATCATCTGATAAAATTCAGACCTCCACTCCTTTTCATTATTTGGGAAAGACCAACAGAGAGAAAAGTAAAACTGGGGAGAAAAAGAGAAAGAAAAAGAGACTAAGTGTGAAGGAGAGAGGACACAGGGGATAACAGACAGAGAGACTGGAAAAGACAGAGATCAGAGAAAGACACAGAAAGTGAGACTGGCGAGAGAGATCGTGTAAAAGGAAGAGACAGAGATTAGAGAGAGACACAGAAAGTGAAACTGGAGATAAAGTGTGTGAGAGAGAGAGAGAGGAAGAGAGAGACTGTAAGAGAAGGGAGACAAAAAGTAAGGAATATAACACTCCCCAGATACAACTTAATCTAGCACTCTATACTTTGAATTTTCTAAACATATATAGAAATCAGACCACTACTTCTGCAGAACAACATTTTACTGGTAAAAAGAACAGCCCACATGAGGGAAAACTAATTTGGTGGAAAGACAACAAAAATAAAACATGGGAAATAGGGAAGGTGATAACATGGGGGAGAGATTTTGCTTGTGTTTAACCAGAAAATAAATCAGCTTCCAGTTTGGATACTTACAACTTACAAAAGAAGTTTCCATCTACCAAGAAAGCGGAGCCGTCGACATGGGCCCAGCTAAAGAAGCTGACACAGTTAGCTGAAAAAAAGCCTGGAAAACACAAGAGTAACACAAACTCCAGAGAATATGCTGCTTGCAGCTTTAATGATTGTATCAACGGTGGTAAGTCTCCCTATGTCTGCAGGAGCCGCTACAACTAACTATACTTACTGGGCCTATGTGCCTTTCCCACCCTTAATTCAGACAATTACTTGGATAGATAATCCTATTGAAGTATACGTTAATAACAGTGCATGGGTACCAGGCCCCATGGATGACCGTGGCCCTGCCCAACCTGAAGAAGGAATGATGATAAACATTTCCATTGGGTATCATTATCCTCCTATTTGCCTGGAAAAAGCACCAGGATGCTTAATGCCTACAATCCAAAATTGGTTGGTATAAGTACCTACTGTCAATGCCACCAGTAAATTTACTTATCACATGGTAAGTGGAATGTCAATCGGGTCACAAATGAATAATTTACAGGATTCTTCCTATCAAAGATCATTAAAATTTAGGCCTAAGGGAAAACCATGCCCCAAGGAAATTCCAAAAGAATCAAAAGACCCAGAAGTCTTAGTTTGGGAACAATGTGCGGCTGATACTGCAGTGGTACTACAAAACAATAAATTTGGAACTATTATAGACTGGGCCCCTCGAGGCCAATTATATTATGATTGTACGGGCCAGGCCCACTCATGTTCACAGGCTCCATCTCTCTGGCCCACTAATCCGGCCTATGATGGTGATTTAACTAAAAGGCTAGACCAGGTTTACAGAAGGCTAGAATCACCCTATCCATGGAAATGGGGTGAAAAGGGAATTTCATCACCCCGACCAAAGTTAGTTAGTCCTGTTGTTGGTCCTGAACACCCAAAATTATGGAAGCTCACTGTGGTCTCCTACCACATTAAAATTTGGTATGGAAATCAAGTTATGGAAACAAGAAATCACAAGCCATATTACACTATTAACCTAAATTCCAATCTGACAATTCCTTTGCAAAGTTGTGTAAAACCCCCTTATATGCTAGTTGTAGGAAACATAGTTATTAAACCAGATGTCCAAACTATAACCTGTGAAAATTGTAGATTGTTTACTTGCATTGATTCAACTTTTGATTGGCAGCATCGTATTCTGTTAGTGAGGGCAAGAGAGGGTGCGAGGATCCCTGTGTCCATGGACCGACCGTGGGAGGCTTCTCCATCCGTACATATCTTAACAGAAGTATTAAAAGGAGTTCTAACTAAATCTAAAAGATTCATTTTTACTTTGATTGCAGTGATTATGGGTCTTATTGCAGTCACAGCTACTGCTGTGGCTGCTGGAATTGCTTTACACTGCTCTGTTCAAACTACAAAATATGTGAATAATTGGCAAAAGAATTCCTCAAGACTGTGGAATTCTCAGACTCAAATAGATCAAAAATTAGCAAATCAAATTAATGATCTTAGACAAACTGTCATTTGGATGGGAGATAGGCTCATGAGCCTGGAATATCTTTTTCAGTTAGTGTGACTGGACTACGTCAGATTTTTGTATTACACCTCGAGCCTATAATGAATCTGAACATCACTGGGACATGGTTAAACGCCGTCTACAAGGAAGAGAAGACAATCTTACTTTAGATATTTCCAAATTGAAAGAACATTATTTTTGAAACATCAAAACCCAGTTAAATCTGGTGCCAGAAACTGAGACAATGGTAAAAGCTGTTGATAGCCTCACAAATCTTAACCCTGTCACTTGGGTTAAAACCACTGGAAATTCCACTATTACAAATTTTGTATTAATCCTTGTATGTCTGTCCTTTCTATTATTAGTCTACAGGTGTATACAACAGCTCCGGAGAGACAGCGACCAGCGAGAACGGGTCATGATGACGATGGCGGTTTTGTCAAAAAGAAAAGGGGGAAATGTAGGGAAAAGAAAGAGAGATCAGACTGTCACTGTGCCTATGTAGAAAGGGAAGACATAAGAGACTCCATTTTGAAAAAGACCTGTACTTTAAACAATTGCTTTGCTGAGATGTTGTTAATTTGTAGCTTTCCCCAGCCACTTTGACCCAACCTGGAGCTCACAAAAACATGTGTTGTATAAAATCAATGTTTAAGGGATCTAGGGCTGTGCAGGACGTGCCTTGTTAACAAAATGTTTACAAGCAGTATACTTGGTAAAAGTCATCGCCATTCTCTAGTCTCAATAAACCAGGGCACAGTGCACTGCAGAAAGCCGCAGAGACCTCTGCCCTTGAAAGCAGGGTATTGTCCAAGGTTTCTCCCAATGTGAGAGTCTGAAATATGGCCTCGTGGGATGAGAAAGACCTGACCGTCCCCCAGCCCGACACCTGTAAAAGGTCTGTGCTGAGATGGATGAGTAAAAGAGGAAAGCCTCTTGCAGTTGAGATAGAGGAAGGCCACTGTCTCCTGTCTGCCCCTGGGAACTGAATGTCTCGGTATAAAACCCGATTGTACATTTGTTCAATTCTGAGATAGTAGCAAAACCGCCCTATGGTGGGAGGCGAGATATGTTTGCAGTAATGCTGCCTTGTTATTCTTTACTCCGCTGAGATGTTTGGGTGGAGAGAAACATAAATCTGGATTACATGCACATCTAGGCATAGTACCTTCCCTTAAACCTAATTATGATATAGATTCTTTTGCTCACATGTTTTTTGCTGACCTTCTCCTTATTATCACCCTGCTCTCCTACTACATTCCTTTTTGCTGAAATAATGAAAATAATAATAAAAACTGAGGGAACTCAGAGGCCGGTGCTGGTGCAGGTCCTTGGTATGCTGAGTGCTGGTCCCCTGGGCCCACTGTTGTTTCTCTATACTTTGTCTCTGTGTCTTCTTTCTTTTCTCAGTCTCTTGTCCCACCCGACTAGAAATACCCACAGGTGTGGAGGGGCAGGCCACCCCTTCATAAATCAATCATCTACGTTCTATGTCAGGAAATTTTAAAAAGAGCAAATTAAATTCAAAGGAAGAAGAAAAGAAATAAAAATCAGAGCAAAGGACCCAGGTGCAGTGGCTCACACCTGTAATCCCAGCACTTTGGGAGGCCAAGGTGGGTAGATCATTTGAGGACAGGAGTTCAAGACCAGACTGGACAACATAGCAAGACTCTGTCTTTACAAATAAAAAATAAAATATTTAGTCAGGAGTGTTGGCATGTGTCGGTACTTATAGCTACTTGGAAGCTAAGGCAGGAGGAAGGCTTGAGCCCAGGAAATTTACGTTGCAGTGAGCTACGATTGTGGCACTGCATTCCAGCCTAGGTGACAGAGCAAGATCCTGTCTCAAAAAAATAGGCTGGGTGTGGTGGCTCACATCTATAATCCCGGCACTTTGGGAGGCTGAAGTGCGTGGATTACTGGAGGTCAGGAGTTCAAGACCAGCCTGGCCAACATGATGAGACCCCATCTCTACTAAAAATACAAAATTAGCTGGGCGTGGTGGCGTGCACCTGTAATCCCAGCTACTCAGGAGGCTGAGGCAGAAGAATCGCTTGAACCCGGGAGGCAGAGGCTGCAGTAAGTGAGATAGTGCCATTGCACTCCAGCCTGGGCAAAAGGATAGAAACTCTGTCTCAAAAAAAAAAAAAAGCACAAATATTGATGAAATTTACAATAGGCTATTAATAGAGAAAAGCAACCAAATCAACCTAGTTCTCTGAAAAGATAATTAAAATCAATAAGCCTCTAGCCAGGCTAATTAAGAAAAAAAGATGTCATACATTATTAATATCAGCAATGAAAGGGGGCCTCAGTACAAATTTCATGGGCATAAAAAGGATAATAAAGGAATACCATGAATAACTCTGCCCACAAATTTGATAACATAGCTAAAATGGTCCAATTCCTTGAAAGACATACATTGCTAAAGCTCACACAATAAGGAGGAAACTATCTGAATAGGCCTGTATCTAGCAAAGAAATCAAATGAGGCTGCGTGTGGTGGCTCACACTTACAATCCTAGCACTTTGGGAGGCCAAGGTGGGCAGATTGCTTGAACCTAGGAATTCAAGACTAGCCTGGGCAACATGGTGAAACCTCGTCTCTGCAAAAAATACAAAAATGAGCTGGGCATGGTGGAGCGCACCTGTAGTCCCAGCTACTTGGGAGGCTGAGACGGGAGGATCACCTGGGCCGGGGGAAGTTGAGGCTGCAGTGAGCCATGATTGCACCACTGCACTCCAGCCTTGACAACAGAGTGAGACCCTGCCTCGAAAAAAAAAAAAATCAAATGAATAATTAATAACTTTCAAAAATGAAAGCATCAGGATTCACTGGTAAATTCTACCAAACATTTAAGGAAGAAATTATACCAATCCCCTCAATCTCTTCCAGACGACAGAAACGGAGGGAAAACTTCCCCACTCATTCTATGAGGCCAGCACTGACCTAGTATCAAAACCAAAGGAATTATAAGAAAAGAAAATGACAGGCCAGTATCTCTCATGAACATAAATGTAAAAATTCTCAACAAAATACTAGTAAATTTAATCCAACAATGTATAAAGGGAATTATACTCCATGCCCAAGTGGAATTTATCCCAGGTATACAGGGCTGGTTCAACATTTGAAAATCAATTAATGTAAAATATAATCCATCACATCAACAGGCTAAAGAAGTAAAATCACATAATATCAATAGAAGCAATAAAAGCATTAGCAAAATCCAACAACCAATCGTGATAAAAAAATAAAATCACATGATAATATCAATCATTCATTGCTGACGGGAATGCAAAATGGTACAATCACTTTGGAAGACATTTTGGCAGTTACTTACAAAACTAAATATATTCTTACCATATGACCCAGCAGTCACACTCCTTGGTATTTACCCAAATGAAATGAAAACTTATGCCCATACAAAAACCTGCACACAGATGTGCTTTATTCAAAATTGTCAAAACTTTGGAAGCAACCACAATGTCCTTAAGTAGGTGAACATATAAGTAAACTGCAGTACATGCAGACAATGGAATATTATTCAGTGCTAAAAAGAAAGAGCTATCAAGCCATGAAAAGACATGTAACTAAAATGCATATTACTATGTATTAGTATGTGAAAGAAGCCATTTTGAAAAGGTTAATTCCAACTCTCTGACATTCTGGAACAGGCAAAACTATGGAGACAGTAACAAAAATCAGCGGATGCCAAGGGTTGGGAATGGGTGATTAGGCAGAACACAGAGAATTTTTAGTGCAGTGAAATTATTCTATAAACAATAATGGTATTTGCAGGAAAAAATCTAGAAAGATTTAGAGCCTTCCTTCCTTCCTCCCTTCTTTCTTCCTTCCTTTTTCTTTCTTTTTTTTTTTTAGACAGAGTCTTGCTGTCGCCCAGGCCGGAGTGCAATGGCATGATCTCAACTTACTGCACCCTCTGCCTCCTGGGCTCCAGCGATTCTTCCACCTCAGCCTCCCGAGTAGCTGGGATTACAGGCGCACACCACCACACCCGGCTAATTTTTGTATTTTTAGTAGAGACGGGTTTCACCATGTTGGCCAAGCTGGTCTTGAACTCCTGACCTCAGGTGATCTGCCCACCTCGGCCTCCCAAAGTGCTGGGATTACAGGTGTGAGCCACCACACTCAGCCGTATTATTTGTATAATAAAGATAAAGAGATATAAATATACAAATTGACTAGCATTCCTATAGAGAAGCAATATAGAAAAGAAACTGGGGAAAGTTGCTTAAGAAGAAATAACAGGTATGCAACAATTCTACAAAGAAAATTCAAAATTTTAAGAAGCTGTGCAGGTAACTCCTAAATGTCTACTTTAGTTCAGCATCAGCATCATCTGGTCATTTGTTAGAAATGCAAATTCTGGCTGGTCTGAATGCAGTGGAGTTTATAAGTCATTGATAACAACTAGTTATAGATTTCTTTGTTTCTCCTCCACTCCCGCTTTTTTTTTTTGACTAGCCAAAAAAAGAAAGAAATGCAAATTATTTGGTTCCACCCCAAACCTACCAATTTAGAATTTCCAGGGTGGGGCCTAGGAATATGCATTTGAAGCCTCTTGACTATGATACTCAATTGCCTACTGGATTTATATATTCGTATCCCACAGAGACCCAAACTCAACAAGTCTCAATATAATCTTCCCTCCCCTACAAACTTGCTGATCCTTTTTTTTTTAACTAAGGAAACAATCATACCACCAAAAAGACTAATGTCAACCACGACTTCTCAGTCTTCTTCATGTCTGTCATCTAGCCAATCGCCAGGTCCTTTTGAGTCTACTTCTTCACTTTATTTCCAATCTGTCTACCTCCCTTAGCTCCCTGGATGCCTACATAGTTCAGGTAATGATTAGATCTACACTAGGTTGCAGCAACAACTCTTAAATGGTAGCCCTGTTTACTTAAAATAATTCAGAGAAAAAAAGGGGCAGGGGTAAGACAAATACAATAAAATGTTAATCATTAAATCTGTAACTAAGGCTGTATAGATTTGAGCAAAGAGAAAAATGAAAGAGAATTGAGAACCTAGAAACATACAAACACAAAAATTGACATTTAACTAATTTCAAAACAGTGAGGAAAATGGTTGATCTATCAATAAATGGTACTATGATAACTGGATCTCCATACAGAAGATAGCAAAGTTGACTACTAACTCACATGACAAAATAAAGTGAACGATGGATCGAAATGTGAATGGCAAAATAAGTAGGCTTTTTTAAAAGAAAATATAGGAAGATGTCTTCATCATAATCTCTTAGGAGGGAAAGATTTCTTAAACAGGCTAAAAAAATACTAAACATAAAAGAAAAGATTGATACATCTGACTACACTAAAATTAAGAATTTCTGTTCATCAAAAGAAGCTATGAAGGTTAAAAAAAAGCCACATGTGAAAGATTTTGAAGTACATACAATTAGCAAAGGATTTCTATCTAAAATATATAACTTCTACAAATCAATAAAAGAATCCAATAGATACAAGAGAAAAATCTTCAAGATTCACTTCGCAGATGGGGATACCTAGATGTTCAATAAACATACGAAAAGGTGCTCAACTTTATTAATGGCCTGACAAATGCAAGTTTAAACCACAAGCTACCACTGCACACCCTTCTGATAGATGAAAATTACGATGCCCAACAGGCATTCACTTATTGGGTTTGCGGGAGTATAAGTCAGTCAAGGGTCTTTGGAAAACATTTTGGCATTATCTAATAACATAAAGAGGTGCATTATCCTCCAACTTGGCAATTCCAGTCCTAGATATAAACCACAGAGAAACTTGTGCCAATATGTATCAGGATACATGCACAGTAACAGCATTGCTTGCAGTATCTCTAAATGTGCAAAAAACTTAAGAAGCCCTCAATAGTAGAACGAATAAATTGTGGTATACTTATCGTACAATGAAAAAAACTATTAGAGCAATTACGTTAAAAATTCTTTTAACTTTTAAAAAAATAGGGTCTTGCTGTATTGCCCAGGCTGGAGTGCAGTGGCACAATCATAGTTCACTGCAGCCTGAAACTCCTAGGCTCAAGTGGTTCTCTTACCTCAACCTCTCAAGTAGCTAGGACTATGGGCACATGCCACCATGCCTAGCTAGCTTTTAAAATTTTTTTGTGGAGACAGGGTCTCTCTATGTTGCCCAGGCTTGTCTTCAACTCCTGGCCTCAAGTGATTCTCCCAACTCAGCCTCCCAAAGTATTGGAATTATAGGCATGAGCCACCATGCACAGCCAAAAACATTTTAAAAATAATTTTGAGAAGCAAATCAATAAATACATTATAAATCTTTCTATATAAAGTTAACAAACACATGAACCTCAACTATAGTGAACACAAATGCAAAGAGCTGATGGAACAATAAAGAAAACCAAGGAAGCTACTTTACCATAAAAGCAAAGAGATGATTAGCTTTATTGGAGGGTTAGGATGAGCACACAGAAGGCTCTCAAGGAACCTAGCAGTATTGTGTTTATTGACCTTGGTCACGTGACTGTTTGCCTTATAATAATTTATTAAGCTGTACATGTATGTTCATGCATTACTTCTGTCTGTGTGTGATATTTCACAATGAAAAAAATTTTCAAAATAAGATCCTGGAAGGAATACATAAAAACTTCAAGAACTGTGTTAAAGTAGTAGAATTAGGCCAGGCACAGTGGCTCACACCTGTAATCCCAGCACTTTGGGAGGCCTAGGCGGGCAGATCACTAGGTTAGGAGTTTGAGACCAGCCTGGCCAACATGGTGAAACCCCATCTCTACTAAAAATACAAAACTTAGCCAGGCATGGTGGCAGGTGCCTGTAGTCCCAGTTACTCAGGGGGCTGAAGCAGCAGAATCACTTGAACCCAGACAGCGGAGGTTGCAGTAAGCTGAGATCGCGCCATCGCACTCCAGCCTAGGGGGCAAGAGCGAGACTTCGTCTCAAAAAAAAAAAAAAAGTAGTAGAATTAGAGGCAACTTCCATGTTTTCCTTTTTCCTCACTTCCTTTGTACATGCTTTTATCAGTTTTGTTATTTTTTAATTCAAAAAGGACATTTTTCCTCATTTGCTCCCACTAAACAAAGTTTCCCTGCACCTGTTCCATCTCACTGCTTCAGCCCACATTAGTACCTCCTTTGCAAATCCTTCTGGACATTCTCCTAAGGGACTCCGCAGCATTTCATATGAACCACTACTCTTCCTTAAAGCTACAGCTCAGTTTTCATGACATCTGTTTCATCAGTCCTAAGCTGCTGCCTCCTAAAAAGTACGCATTCCTCCTTTTCTCTCTAAAAATCAGTGTACCTCCATTAAACATGTGCTATAGAAGCAACTATAGAATTTACAGAACTTACAGAATTCATCACCTTTTCTCCAAAACTGACCCTTTTTCTGTCTTTTGTTTCTCTAGTACTATCTGCATCCAAATTACCCAAGCCTAAAACGACAACTGGAAATTCCTTTTTTCACTGCTGTACTGCTAATTTGAGGATATCTAATGCAAGCTATTTAGACACATCACTAGGCCATGAATTCCTTGATAGTTATTACACTTTTGCACACTCTCTAGTCTCTGTAGCACTTAATAGAAAGTCTTGAGAAAGATTTGACAAGATTAAAATTTCTGTAAATATTAAGAGTGTATGTGAAGGAATAAATAAATATCAATTAATCAAAGAGTAATGAATTAATCTTTTCAAGGTGATTAAATAGAACAGCAAAATATGTACTTTTAATTTTTTTTTTCTTTCTCAGGTTGAATTCAGGCAATAGAAATGTATGTCCATTTGAAGAAAGAAAGGAAAGAAAAAACAAAAAGAAATGAAATTCAGAGACCAGACAGAACTAACAATGGGAACAAAAAAGACACCTGTGAGAAAGAAAAGAAAGTATAAGGTGAGAACTGGTCGACTATGTCAGCTGTTAGGTAATATAGAAAAAACAGAATTGGGTATGAAGTAGTGTTTTATGGAGTTGTAAGTGAAACTTCAGTCTTTATACCTCTGGTATCTTTTTTTTTTTTTTGAGATGGAGTCTTGCTCTGTCTCCCAGGCTGCAGTGCAGTGGCGCAATCTCGACTCACTGCAAGCTCTGCCTCCCGGGTTCACGCCATGCTCCTGCCTCAGCCTCCCAAGTAGCTGGGACTACAGGCACCCGCCACCAAGCCCGGCAAATTTTTTTGTATTTTTAGCAGAGATGGGGTGTCACCGTGTTAGCCAGGATGGTCTCGATCTCCTGACGTCGTGATCCACCCACCTCGGCCTCCCAAAGTGCTGGGATTACCGGCATGAGCCACCGTGCCTAGCGTATCTCTAGTATCTTTAAGGGAAAATTTTCCAATCAACATATTAAAAAGTATTCCTTTTTCATTGACTAATTGAGTGGTTTTAAAAAATTTCCCCATCAGCTTCCAACTCACTCACCTGAAAACAGATCTCTTTTCACTTCCCTTTTCCCCAGCCAGGGTTCTTTCCCTTGCTCCAATAAGGAAACCACATCTGGCTTAGAAATGGAAAGACCTGCTTGCAGAAAATGAAATAAATTCAAGATCAGTCATTGAATCCTAAGAGGGGCCACAAAGGAAATGTCAGATGTAAGTTTTTAAAATGTCTAAAAATAAGGTGCAGTTACGTCCCCATCTTAAAACTAATTTTAAGAAACCCCATACCTCTCTTGGGAATATTCAGCCAGATAATTATAACAGCCACCCTAACGGTCAAATTTTGCCTTGAGGGAGATGAAGAAGAATACTTACCCAGTGAGACCAGATGGCCATAGTTCTCCAACATTACACATCTGTACAAATCTCTTTGAGCAGGCTGAAGCCATTTCCACTCCTCCTGGGAGAAGTCTATGGCCACATCTCTGAATGTCACTGACCCCTGAAATGACGGACAGATATTTGCATGACCAGCACGCATGCCCCCAAACTCCCTCATCAAGGAATAAAATGAGTCTCACTGTGGAGGTTAGGCAATGTGTCTAAGTAGTAACAGTGAGAGTTTTCAGAATTCTGAGTAATTATATAATGAAGAGCCTAGCTCTTGTGTTTTGTTGTATAACTGGAGAAAAGGAGAAAAACATAAATTATCTGTCCTGAGATAATTTACAATTTTATTCAAAATAAAGGATTATACACATGAACAATATGGATTTTTGGCATTGGTTGTAAAAATTCTTAAGATTTTACAGTATTCCTTTATGTTAATAAACAATGTATATTTTCCTTAATACCAGCCTATTTTAATATAATTCAGCCAGAATTTCTTCAGGGTAATAATTCGCTACAGCAGATAACAGCACCACCCTTCAAATGGGGCATACAGTCTCAAGTTTGTCACAGTTATCCCTAATCCTAAAGAAATACCTGTGAAACTTAGTGGTAATTTTAGCAATGTCACAGAACAAGGAGGATAAGCAATAAAGAATCTTGATTCCGCAAGAAGAGAATGTAATACCTCCCAGGACAGAACCTAAAGCACTTTCCCTCAGAGTTAGGGGGAATAATATATAAGCCCTTGCTTTGCAGCCTGGTTTTGCACCACTTGAGTGATCCACATTGATCTATAAGGCATGAATGGGAATTTAAAATGTCTCAAACTAGTAGCAGTCCCAGATGGATGGCAGTTATAATTTACAGTTTTGAAGTTTAATAAAAAAGTGATTAAAGACTGTTGACTAATAAAGCAGCTGTTTCCTACACAGCAAGATCTGCAGCAGAGGTGGAAATTGGATTCCCCAGCAAAACTCAGAGAACCTCTGAATTTGGAGAGAAGTATGACAAAAAGTAGGATAAAGAAGTGGAACTGAAATGAGGGACTCATTTTGAATAGTTGACCCTGTTATCCCCACTGCTGTGAAGCACAATTACCAGCCAAGCCCTTAGGCCAAATCAAAATAAAAATGTGTTCCTTATGTCATGTCTGAAAAATGAGCTCTGAGGATTCGGAGATTTTGTTTTGGTCACTTCTGCATCCTCAAGACTTAGAATGAGTTGCACATTAGAATCACTTGGAAGGACTGTTAGACTGCTGGGCCAAATTCTCAGTTTCTGATTCAGAAGGTCTGGGGTAGGACTCAAGAATATTCATTTCTAATACGTTCTCAGATGATGCTGATACTGCTGGTCCAAGGATCACACTGTGGGAACCACTGAAAGTAGAGGTTCAGTAAAAACATATTGAATAAATGAATAAAGGGGCGCTGGAGTAACGTAAAGCACTCCTCATTCTAACACTGTGGGAAAGAGGAGGCGATGTAACAGCTGGCACCCTACCCTCTCACCCTAAAACATGCCAGCCAGGTCAGAAACCCCGCCCACATCTGGATAGCTTCCTGTCACTCTCTTCATGTATACTTAAGTATAAGCACCTGAAAAGGAGGAACAAGGGACAGGGTCCTGGGGTTCTGCCAGGCAGGTGGTTGTAGGAGAAAGAAAGCCACGTCCCAAGTCCTGAAAAACACGGCTGCACTTCACAAAGAAAAGCGGAAACAGGCCAAGTGGGTTGGCTCACTTGAGGCCAAGAGTTTGAGGTTACAGGATGCTATGATCGCTCCACTGCCTGGGCGACAGGAGGAGACCCTGTCTCTCTCTTAAAAAAAAAATAAAAATTTATATATATATATATATATATATTTATCAATCATTAGCTTACCTGAGACATAGCTCACAGAAGGGAAGGAGGAGATCAGAAAAGTGTAAAATGGCAGACCTGGCAGAGAGAGAAAGGAGCCCTGAGCGAACAGGCCAGCTAGGCCGCGCCCAAGTCACTAGATTCCCGCACTGGGGATTCCCGTGGCCCCCGCTCCGCGCCTCCCACGTAGAGAGCAGGGCGCCCTGAGAGATCGCGCTTGGACCACTGGCGCCGGCTTTCTCTTCCTGCCACGGCGCGCCTCCCCAGAACCCCCTCACCTAACAGTGGCCACAGAAGGATGCGTTTCCGTGGTGCTTTCCGCCAGGTGGGCGTAGCGTTCCAGGGCTCCGGACCGAGTCACCGCCCGGGGCCATCCGGCGCAGACCGGGAGGGCTCCTTTCGTTGCCTACAGCCAACACAGGCCAGACGCTCGGCGCCGCCCCCCAGGGCCCCTCCGCGGGCGTCGCAGGAATTGCGTCTTCAGAAGCCTCGCCGACGTCACCCCAACCAGGCCGCCGGCCTCAAGAAACTACAATTCCCAGAAACCAATGCGGCCCTGCGCGCAAGGGCTTTTCGTTCCTACTGGAACTCCCAGAGCGCCTCGCTGCCGTGCCCAGAACGCCAGGAGACAAAGAACGAGGGCCTGCGACAACTACAATTCCCAGAGCCATCGCGGCCCGGTGCGCCAGAGCATAGGGGCTATCCTCCCACGCCCAGAGCCGAGAAACAAAGAACCCGGGTCCTAGGCAACTACATTTCCCAGAAATAACCGCGGCCCCCCGCGGAAGAGTACACAGACCTTTGTGTTCCTATAACTGCCAGAGTGTCTCGCGGCCAAGCGCACAACTAGCGGAGAAACGAAGAACGTGGAACTCAGGCCACCACACTTCCCAGAAACAACCGCGACCCCGCGCGAGAGAGCATATGGCTTTCCCCGCCCCACTGCAACTCCCAGGGTGCTTTGAGGCCAAGCGCACATCATCGAAAGACAAAGAACACGAGCTTCAGGCAACTACACTTCCCAGAACCTCTAGCGACCGTGCGCAAAAGAGCGGAGGACGTTCTTCCCCTACTACGACTCCCAGAGTGCATCGTGGCCACGCCCAAAGCCGGAAGACAACGCAGAGCTCTGGCGACTACATTCCCCCAAACTCCTGCGCCGCACGCCAGAGGGTATAGGGTTTTCCTCCCCTACTACGACTCCCACAGTGCTTCGCTGGCGTGCACACACGGCCCAGAGACAAGGAACTGGAGACTCAGGTGACTACACTTCCCAGAACACACCGCGGCCCAGCAAGAGCCCAAGACCGCCTCTATTAAACAACTAGGATTCTTAACAACGACTGTGGAGTCAGTACTTCAGTCTAAGACCTTTTGCTACTGGAAAGGGGTCCGGATCTCAGACTCTAAGAGAGGGTTCTTGGATCTTGCACAAGAAAGAATTTGAGGCGAATCCATAAGGTGAAAGCAAGTTTATTAGGAAAGTAAAGGAATAAAGAATGGCTAATCCATAGGCAGGGCAGCCCCGAGGGCTGCTGGTTGCGCATTTTTGTGGTTATTTCTTGATGATATGCTAAACAAGGGGTGGATTATTCATGCATCCTCTTTTTAGACCATATAGGGTAACTTCCTGACGTTGCCATAGCCACTGGTGGGCAGTGAGGACAATCAGGTCGTTCTCATCGCTATCTCGGTTTTAGTCGGCTTCTTTACTGCAACCTGTTTTATCAGCAAGGTCTTTATGACCTGTATCTTGTGCCAGCCTCATGTCTCATCCTGTGACTACGAATGCCTTAACCTCCAGGGAATGCTGCCCAGCAGGTCTCAGCCTTATTTTAACCAGCCCCTACTCAAGATAGAGTTGCCCTGGTTCAACCGCCTCTGACAGTGGAAGACGTAGCAATGAGGACAGCCAGAAGTCACTCTCATTGCCATCTTGGTTTTGGTGGGTTTTAGCCGGCTTCTTTACTGTAAACTTTTATCAGCAAGGTCTTTATGACCTGTGTCTCATGCTGACCTGCTGTCTCATACTGTGAGTTAGAATGCCTAACGGTCTTGGAACGCAGCCCAGTATGCCTCAGCCTTATTTTACCCAGTTCTTATTTAAGATGGAGTTGCCGGGTGCTGTGGCTCATGCCTGTAATCCCAGCACTTTGGGAGGCTAAGGCGGGCAGATCACCTGAGGTCAGGAGTTTGCAATCAGCCTGGCCAACAGGCCAGAGTGTAACCTCGTCTCTACTAAAAATACAAAAATTACCTGGGCATGGTGGTGGGTGCCTGTATTCCCAGCTACTTGGGAAGCTGAGGCAGGAGAATCACTTGAACCTGGGAGGTGGAGCTTGCAGTGAGCCAAGTTGGCGCTACTGCACTCCAGCCTGGGCGACAGAGTGAGGCTCCATCTCAAAAAATAAAAATAAAAAAAAAATACAGGCCGGGCGTGGTGGCTCACGCATGTAATCCCAGCACTTTGGGAGACTGTGGCCAGCGAATCACAAGGTCAGAAGTTTGAGACCAGCCTGACAAACATGGTGAAACCCCATCTCTACTAAAAATACAAAAACTAGCTGGGCGTGGTGGTGCACGCCTATAATCCCAGCTACTCCGGAGGCTGAGACAGGAGAATTGCTTGAACCTGGGAGGCGAAGGTTGTAGTGAGCTGAGATCGCGCTATTGCACTCCAGCCTGGGCGAAAGAGCGAGACTGTGTCAAAAAAAAAAAAAGAGCAAAACAACAACAACAAATAAAATAAAAAACAAGATGGAGTTGCTCTGATTCAAGCACCCCTGATGCTTTGGCTTCGTATAACTGTAATAACCAGAATCCTTGCAACGCTCCCAGGTCACCTTGAAACAGTGGTCTCAGAGGATGTGACTCCGAGTCCCTCGTGGCCTTATGGAGCGGCCCAGTCTCTACTTGGTACCGGCACAGCCATGGCTTCTCCCTCTGGGATTCCCCCAGCCTCGAGCAGTCTCTGAGCAGTCTCATGTTACCTGAGAAGGAACGCTGGAGCGGCCCTGGTTTTTCATGTGCTCCAGCTCGAGCCCTCCCCCAGAAGCCTTCTGGAAAGAGGCGCTGGATTGCACCTACAGGGGCTGGACGCCCAGTGACCTGGGGGCGCCTCTACTCCCAGCATTGTGTGGGGCACTGTCCTGGGCACGTAGGAGAGGTTTTGGGGAAGCAAGCCAGTCACATCCCTGTGCTTGAAGAGCACCAACTGTATGCTGAAATACGAGGTTAGGGAAGAGTCAACCCACTGAATCAAAGGAGTATTGTTCCAGATCGAGAGAACAGTTTATGAAAAAGAGAGACAAAAAAGAAAAAGCCCATTATACAAAATGGAAGAGGGCAAAAAAAGAGGAAATTCACTGGCCTGGTGAAAAGACATGAGACTGAAAAAAAAGTCCTTGTGAAGGAGCTTGGATGTCGCTCAGTAAGCTAGGAAGACACATTAAAATTCGAAGGAGGATGTGCGTAATCATATTTGCATTCCACAGCCTGTGTTCATGGTGAACTGAAGGGAAGAAGGCCACTAGGGGCAATAGTTAAATGTTCTGGAAACTAATCTGAACTGTTGCAGAGAATGGATTGAGGGGAATGAGTTAAGAAACAATTTAAGGCCAGGCGTGGTGGCTCACGCTTGTAATCCCAGCACTTTGGGAGGCTGAGGTGGGCGGATCACGAGGTCAGGAGTTCGAGACCAGCTTGGCCAACACAGTGAAACCCAATCTCTACTAAAAATACAAAAATCAGCTGGGCGTGGTGGCGCGCGCCTGTAATCCCAGCTACTCAGGAGGCTGAGGCAGGAGAATCGCTTGAACTCAGGAGGCGGAGGTTGCAGTGAGCCGAGATCATACCATTGCACTCCAGCCTGGGTGACAGAGCTAGACTCTGTCTCAAAAAAAAAAAAAACCATTTAAAGGGAGAATCTAAAGGACTGGGTGATGAATTGGATATCATCCAATTAGATGGAAGGGAAGGAAGAGCTAAGTTTCTTGTTTGGGTGATATGTTCACAGAATTTCCTTCTTTAAAGACTCTTATACCACAGCCTGTCCACTCTTCCGGTTTCAGCTTCCAGTTAGGCTACAGATGACTCACCCAGATCTCATAGCTATTTTGTTTCACTGAGATGATGAACCCAGGAAAAGAAACAAGTTCGGAAGAGAAGAAAATTAATTGGGGGACATGTAGAGAATGATGTGTGTGTGTTTAACTTTATTAATATTGTCCAAATTATCCTTTCTAACCTGGAATCTTGCCAAAGATTTCACTTCATTTCCCCACATCTTTTCTTCACACCGAAGTCAGCCTGATTTTTATAAAGCAATTCTGCTCATATTCTTCTGCTTAACATAACTTGATGACTTTTAATTGTTCTTAAGTAAAGGCAAAAGTCCTTACCATGGTCCACTGGCTGCAGGATCTTACTCCCATCTTTTCAAGCTTTTCTTACATGACTTTCCTCCTCTCTAACTGCACTTTGTTTCCTCAAATGTCACGTGTCTAAGGATCTTTGAGCACGTTAATTCCGTCTGAAAAAAAGGTGACTATCCCTTCACACCATAACCTCATTAGTTCATTTCAGGTCATCCTTTAGATTTCAGCCCAAGCAAGTCTTGCTCAAAGAAATGTTCTTTGATCCCATTATAATCAGTAAGGTCCCAGTGATTACACCCTAGACTTACTCTCTTTAGCATTTACTTAATTTGCAATTATGTTTGTAATTATGTACTTACATTCGTGTGATTATTATGTTAGTGATTACATCACTAGACTGTAAGCACTATGAGTCTAGACACCATTTTGTTCATCACTGTACCCATAATGACTACTATGCTACTTGGTGCTCAGTGAATATTTATTGACTGAAGGAATGACACATATTATCAAATTTTAACTTTATCATATTGTAAGGTAAAGTGATATCGTGTTTTAATTTACTTTTTATGATAATATGAAACTGATCATTGACTAGTGTCTATCTTCTTTCATAGCAAAGGCTATGAAACATTATTTTGCTATGAATCACTTTTCTATTAGGAGTCCTATGTTTTTATTATTAATTTGTAGAAGCTCTTTGCATAGTGGGATTTTATGCCTTTTGTATATATGTTGCAAGTACAGTATATTCTCACAAGTCATTACTTATATTTTCCCTTGTATATAGTGAGGCTGTGTGCTATAAGCTTTTTTAAAAAATTTTGTTTCTCTAGACAGAGTCTCATTCCATCACTCAGGCTGGAGTGCAGTGGTGCGATCTCAGTTCACTGCACCTTCCACCTTCCTAGGTCCAAGTGATTTGCATGCCTCCGATTCCCAAGTAGCTGAGACTACCGGCACACGCCACCACACCTGACTAATTTTTTTTCTTTTTTTAAGTGGAGTTTCACTCTTGTTGCCCAGGCTGGAGTGCAATGGTGCGATCTCAGCTCACTGCAACCTCCTCCTCCTGGGTTTCAGCGATTCTCCTGCCTCAGCCTCCCAAGTAGCTAAAATTACAGGCACCTGCCACCAGGCCCAGCTAATTTTTTGTATTTACAGTAGAGAAGGGGTTTCACCATGTTGGCCAGGCTGGTCTTGAACTCCTGACCTAAGCTGATCTGCCCACCTTGACCTCCCAATGTGCTGGGATTACAGGTGTGAGCCACTGCGCCCAGCCTGTGCTATAAGTTTTTACGTAGTCAAATCTAAAAGTCTTTTCCTTTCTGGCTTTTGAATTTCTCTTGTTTAAAAAGGGTATTCATATACCAATTTTTAAAATATTTCCTACACTCTTAATTTTCCTTGTATTTGGGTCTCTTTCTGGATCTTCTATTTTGTTACATGGATCTTGTTGCCTATTTCTGTGCCAATATTATATGGTCTTAATTACTGTAGCTTTCTGGTAAGGCACATCCTCTCTTACTCTTTCTTTTCTAATTTTCTAGACTATCTATCTTATGTGTTTTCCCCTGTAGATAAATTTTATTTTTTATTATTTATTTACTGAGACGGAGTCTCACTCTGTCACCAGGCTGGAGTGCAGTGGCGCGATCTTGGCTCACTGCAATCTCTGCCTCCTGGGTTCAAGCGATTCTCCTGCCTCAGCCTCCTGAGTAGCTGGGACTACAAGCGCCCACCACCACACCCAGCTAATGTTTGTATTTTTAGTAGAGACAGGGTTTCACCATGTTGGCCAGGATGGTCTCAAACTCCTGAAATTTTATTTATTTATTTATTTATTTCGAGACCAGGCCTCACTCCATCACCTAGGCTGGAGTACAGTGGTGCAATCATGGCTCACTGCAAACTCTACCTCCTGGGCTCAAGCAATCCTCCAGCCTCGGCTTCCCAACGTGCTGGGATTACTGGCATGAGCTATCACACCTGGCTGTAGATAAATTTTAAAATAATCTTGCCAAACTCCTTTAGCAAAATTTATTTGAAATTCCATTGTGATTATATTCAGTGTTAAGAGAGAAACAATATATTCCCTATGTGGTAACAACAATTTGAATGACGGTAGCTTTGTCATCTGAAACCACGGAGGCCAGAGGGAGGTGGCACATTTTCCAAGTGCTTGAAAGATTTGTCAACCTCTAATTCTATATCTACCAAAAATACCTTTCAGGAATTAAGAAGAAATAAAAGCATTTCAGATGAAGCAAAATAATAATTGGTTGACTGCCCTTCAAGACTGACTCACAGAGCATCTCTGACTGAAAAGGTAATAGGCTGGAACTTCGAAAAGACAGAAAAAACTGTGGAGTGGGTTAAAATTGGGGTAAATGTAACAGACTACCTTTCTCGTGAGTTTTTAAAATCATGCTCAATGGTTGAAGCAAAAATTTTAACATCATCTGATGTGAGACTTAAATGTATATAGAGGAAAGACTTAAGACAATTATAGTAAAGAGTGAAAGGGCCAGGTGCAGTGGCTCACACCTGCAATCCCAGCACTTTGGGAGGCTGAGGTGGGAGGCTTGCTTGGGGCCAGGAGTTTGAGACCAGCCTGGGCAACATAGTGAGACCCTGTCTCTAACAGCAAGAAGAAGAGTAAAGGGACCTAAATGGAAGAGAGGTTTTTACACTTTAGTCAAAGTTGTAACATATCAATACCTGTAGATTGTGACATTAGGCATATATATCATACTACCTATTGAAACCACAAAGCTATATTCAAAAATACTTTCAATAGCTAAAAACTGGAATTCTAAAATAAGTTCAAGTAGCCCACAGGAAAGCAAGAAAATGGAAAAACAGTAATAAGCAGAAGGAAGAAACAGAAAATAAAAAATAGAAGTCCCACATAATGCTTATGTATAAAAAATAAAAGTCCCACATAACGCTTATGTATAAAAAATAAAAGTCCCACATAATGCTTATGTATAAAAATAGGAAACACACAGACACACAAGTATATATCACTGTGAGTATACTGTAAATTCTTGTTTTTTCTTCTTTCTGTTTCTTAAATATACTAAGATAATTCTCACGAGTTACTCCTCTCTGCTAGAACACTAGTATTTCCACTCAAATTCACCTTCTTAAAAAGACCTATTAAACTACCAATTATATGTTCACCATTTCGGTAATGGCTATGCTAGAAGCCCAATCTCCACCAGAATGCAATATACCCAGGTAACAAACATGCACCAAGTACTCCCTGAATCTAAAATAAAATTAAATTTAAAATTTAAAAATTAAGGCCGGGCATGGTGGCTCACGCCTGTAATCCTGGCACTTTGGGAGGCTGAGATGGGTGGATCACTTGAACTCAGGAGTTGTAGAGCAGTCTGGCCAATGTGATGAAACCCCGTCTCTACTAAAAATACAAAAATTAGCCGGGTGTGGTGGTGCACACCTGTAGTCCCAGCTACTCGGGAGGCCGAGGTGGGAGAACTGCTTGAACCTGGGAGGCGGAGGTTGCTGTGAGCTAAGATCGTGCCATTGCACTCCAGCCTGGGTGACAGAGCAAGACTCCGTCTCAAAAAAAAAATTAAAAATTAAATAAGCTTGAATAAGATTTTTAAAAAACTACCAGTTGCAGTTTTCCTCACATTTAAATCAATCTGTATCATATTACCCTGTTTTGTTTTATCATAGCATTTATTCAAATATTTAAAAGTATGTATATATAATTAAAAAGTGTATGTATATATACATACACTTTTATATACATATATGTACATATTTACATATATATATATATGTCTCTTGTTAAAATATAAACTCTGTGACAGAAGAAATCTTTTCTTACTGACTTTCACCCTATTGCGTGGAACATTATAGGTAGTACATGGTAGGTAAAGGTTCATAAAATATGTTTTGAATTAGTATATTCAATTTTTTTTGTAAACGTCTGTGCACAGTTTCATTGTATACATTTTTCATAAATTAGCCAATAAAGACTTACAGGAGACAGTTTTACTTTCTATAACCTTAAGTTTTATGCAAGTGAAATCTATGTTTTATAGTTATTCTCCTTAGTGTATGTTTTAACATTTTTTTCACCCACATTATAGATATTAATATAACTATATATAATGTTTTTACTTTTTTTGAGACAGGGTCTCACTCTGTCACCTAGGTTGGAGTGCAGTGGTGCAATCATGGCTAACTGCTGCCTCAACCTCCCAGACTCAAGTGATCCTCCTACCTCAGCCTCCCAAGTAGCTGGAACTACAGGCCTATGCCACCTTGCCCAGCTAATTTTTATTTTTTGTAGGGACAGGGTCTCCCTATGTTGCCCAGGCTGATATCAATTCCTGGGCTCAAGCAATCCTCCCACCTTGGCCTCCTAAAGTGCTGGGACTACAGGTGTGAGCTACTGTACTGTTTCTTATGTGCCAATTGTAGAATTATCCTTTCTGGCATTTGTCTTTTTTAGTGTGATATAGGGATGCAACATTATTATTTTGTACAAACTGCTTGGTTGTAGGTCCAAACAACATGTATTGGATAAAACGTGCTTTGAGCTGGACATAGTGGCTCATTCCTGTAATCCCAGCAGTTTGAGAGGCCAAGGCAGGAGAATCACTTGAGGCCAGGAGTTCAAGACCAACCTGGGCAACATAGCGAGATCCCCATCTCTACAAAAAATAATTAGCCAGACATGGTAGTGTGCATCTGTAGTTCTAACTACTTGGGAGGCTGAGCCAGCAGGATCACTTCAACACAGGAGTTGAAGGCTGCAGTGAGCTATGATCGTACCACTGCATTCTAGCCTGGGTGACAGAGTGAGACCCTATCTCTAATAATTAAATTGGCTGGGTGCGGTGGCTCACGCCTGTAATCCCAGCACTTTGGGAGGTTGAGGCGGGCGGATCACCAGAGGTTGGGAGTTTGAGACCAGCCTGGCTAACATGAAGAAACCCTGTCTCTACTAAAAATACAAAATTAGCCGGGCATGGTAGTGCATGCCTGTACTCCCAGCTACTCAGGAGGCTGAGGCAGGAGAATCACTTGAAACCAGGAGGCGGAGGTTGCGGTGAGCCGAGATCGTGCCATTGCACTCCAGCCTGGGCAACAAGAGCGAAACTCCATGCCCCCCCCAAAAAAATTAAATTAAACTGAATTTTAAAATCAAATTGTTTTCAGTAGCCTAGAGAACACATAGAGGATGCTTCTCTTCAATAGGGCTCTGCCACATGAAGTCATCTCTGGATGTATTTTTAAGAATAAGGATATATATATATGATCTCTCTATATTATATATATAAGATCTGTATATAGAGAGATATAGATATAAGAATAAGTATATATATATCCCCCTCAAGGTTCTTTTAATGACTCATTTTCTCCTTTTCTCTGATCCTCAGTTTATAGCTTCAGCAGCAGAGATCAGAAGAGATCAGCCTAAACATTTCTTAAAATGATATTGTGAACACTAGTGTATAAGTCTTTGGAGACACATGTTTTCATTTTCCTTGGTAAATACAGAAGAGTAGAATTGCTGAATCATATGGCCAGCATATATTTAACTTTTAAGAAACTGCCAAACTGTTTTCCAAAGTGTTTTTTTTTTTTTAATTCCCACTAGCAACGTCTGAGAGTTCTGGTTCCTCCACATTATTGCCAGCACTTGGTATTGGCAGTGTTTTGTTTAGCCATTATGATGGGTGTAATGTGGTATCTCAGCTTTATTCTTCATAGCCGAAAATCTGAAACAACCCAAATGTCCACCAACAGGTGCACAGACAGACAACTGGGTATATTCATACAAAGGAATAATCAGCAATAAAAAGAAACAAACCGCTGATGCCCACACAACACGCACAAATCCCAAAAACACCAGAGTGGAAGTAACCACACAAAAACAAATACTTTTTGCATAATTTCCATTTATATAAAATTATAGAAAAGATAAAAATAATCTATAGTATTAGAAGGGAGATTGGTGGTTACCTGGGGTCAGTGATGGGAGTGAGATTTGACCGGGAAGAGAAACAAGGGAATATTTTGGAGTAAAGGAAATGTTCTACATCTTGACAGGAGCTGTGGTTGCACAGCCAAAGACATTTTTCAAAGCTCATAGAACTTGAACTATACATTAGAAATATGTACACTTAGCCAGATGTGGTGGGGTGTGCACCTTAGTTCCAACTACTAGGCAGGCTGAGGCAGGACAATCACTTCAGCATAGGAGTTCAAGTCCAACCTAGGAAACATAGCGAGACCCAATCTCTAAAGAAAAAAAAGAAAAGTAAGTATACTTATTTGTATGCAATTTTTTTTGAGACAGAGTCTCGCTCTGTCACCCAGGCTGGAGTGCCGTGGCACAATCTCGGCTCACTGCAACCTCCACTTCCTGGGTTCAAGTGATTCTCCTGCCTCAGCCTCCTGAGTAGCTGGGATTACAGGCACCTGCCACATGGCCAGCTAATTTTTTGTATTTATAGTAGAGACGTGGTTTCACCATGTTGGCCAGGCTGGTCTTGAATTCCTGGCCTCAAGTGATCCATCTGCCTCAGCCTTGCAAAGTGCTGGGATTACAGGCATGAGCCACCATGCCTGGCTCTATGCAAATTATATCAATAAAAATTCTAAATGTTTTGAAGAAATAACAAGAATTGATAGCAGTGGCTCAAGCCTGTAATCCCAGCACTTTGGGAAGCCAAGGCAGGCAGATTGCTTGCACCCAAGACTTAGAGACCAGCCTGGGAAACATGGTGAAACTCATCTCTACTAAAAGTTATTCGGGCATGGTGGTGTGCACCTGTAACCCAGCTATTCGGGAGGCTGAGGTGGGAGGATCACCTGAGCCTGGGATGTCGAGGCTGCAGTGAACCAGAGCTCCACTGCACTCCAGCCTGGATGACAGAGTGAGACCCTATCTGAGAAGAAAAAAAAAGCAAAGCAAATAAACAGACTAAAATTTGTTAAAGGAATATTTAAAACACAGCGTGTCTGACCCCACAGAAAGCAACAGTTGAACCAGAGATGGTGCGTGGGCCCTGTGGAGAACAGATCTGAAATTTTTTTTTTTGAGGCAGAGTCTTGCTCTGTCGCCCAGGCTGGAGTGCAGTGGCGTGATCTCAGCTCACTGCAAGCTCTGCCTCCCAGGTTCACGCCATTCTCCTGCCTCAGCCTCCCGAGTAGCTGGGACTACAGGTGCCCACCACCATGCCCGGCAAATTTTTTGTATTTTTTTTTTTAGTAGAGACGGGATTTCACCGTGTTAGCCAGGATGGTCTCGATCTCCTGACCTCATGATCCGCCCGCCTCAGCCTCCAAAAGTGCTGGGATTACAGGCATGAGCCACCGCGCCCGGCCCAGATCTGTAATTTTTATGTAAGAAGTAGCAAGTACCGAAAGTGGCCTAATAATACATATATGTGCTCGAAGATTTAAGGGCCTGACATTTATGAAGTTTTTAGTTCAGTGAATGGAGGAATGCTAAGACATCCCTTTAAGGGAAAAGGCAAGTTATTGCTATTTGTACCCCACACATGCAGAGATAAAATGCTTGGTAGACCTCGTTGGATTTGGAAAGCAGCATAGAACACACTTGGAAATTCTATTCTAACAAATAGGCCTCTTGATGGATCCCAAGTTGTACAGTGTGTGCTTGTGATGCAACTGCAAGGTCCATTTTCAAAGATACCTTGTTTCTTCTATATTTTGGGTTCTCAAAATAAGGTAAGACATTCACAAGCTGTTCATCTATTTTGGCCTTTAAGATCCCTGATCAGTTAACCACTTCCAAAGGTTTATGTAGGTTTAACAATTCTCATCACCATTATGACCATGAACCTCCTGCACTAACCATGCCTGTCTTGCTCCTTGTGAGTAAATTCTGCTGAGAACTGTTCCATTGCAGAACCTATCATCCCCTTTGACATCAGGAATCTCATTTTAATGACAGTATCTATAACACATAACTATACCCACATTTTTACATGAGGCTGGTTCTCCCTTCACCAAGTAATTTCTCATGGTGAAAGAACTGTCCTCTGGCCCCTGTTGGGGGTCAAAATCGGAGGAATGAGTGAGTGGGTTACTTATGACAAATCTATATTAACAATATTTCCTTAAATCCTTAGATTTATGCGAAGAAATTTTTGACATCTCTATTTTACCTTAATATTGGCCTCTGTCAAGTCCAGCTTTCAGCTAATCAGCTAAGTAGAAACAAAGATACAAATAGATCAATAAAACCAAAGTCTTGTTTATTGTAAAAGCTAATAAATAAACAAATTTTGCCAAGATATAACAAGAATAAAAGTAAAAAATAAATATTATTAATGAAAAAAAGCAATATAACTACAAATACAGAAGAGATTCCAAATTTGGGGTTTTTTTTGAGATGGGGTCTCACTCTGTCACCCAACTAAGGTTCAGTGGTGTGTTCATGGCTCACTGCAACCTCAAACTCTCAGGCTAAAGCAATCCTCCCGCCTCAGCCTCCCAGGTAGCTGGGACTACAGGCAAGCACAACCACACCCGGCTAATTTTTTTAATTTTTTGTAGAGATGGAGTCTCACTTGTTTTTTTGCCCAGGCTGGTCTCGAACTCCTGGACTCAAGCGATCCTCCCACCTTGACCTCCCAAAGTGCTAGAATTACAGGCATGAGCCAGCATGCCCAGCTGAGATTTTAAAATCAGTAGGAACATATCTGTAATTTCATGTCAATAAATAGATATAATTAGTAGGAAAAAATCTACAAAAACGTCCTCAAGAATTGATAAAGCAGTGTGGAAAAACTGTGACTTACATGCTATCTTTTGTGGTAACTTGCTGGATTTTTATACGGTTTGTCTCCAGTCCTCTAGAATGCATGTGGTGTCTCCAACCTGCTGGCCACTTCCTACCTATCCTGCCTGACTGACATGACTTTGCTGCCATGTGTATTACTGTGATGTTCTATAAAATGTTCAGTCTATTCAGATTATATTATGATGGCTGACAGCCCTGGGTAAAACTGTGAATGCACAGTATTGTCTGTCTCATGTTAATGCTACATTTTCTGATCCTTTTTCCTGAATTGAATAAAAAGAATTGGTTTTCCAAATCAAAGGCCACTGCCACATACCCAAGGCCACTTAAATCTGCCTTAGAAACAATGTCATGTCTGCAAGTGGGACATGGACTTGGCTGAGCTCACCTGTAGTCATTCCCTAGGATTTGTTAATATCCCAGGGGCACTACTACCACATTCTTTAGGTCTTTACGAGTCGCACTCATCTCTGTCACCCCCTCCAACTCTTCTCCCCAAAATGCAATATTGTTTTTAATTTATGATCTTACCTTCTGGGTGGGATTCAGAGGTTTTCACCTGGCCTTCCCCACTATAGTGGCTTTTAACCAAAGACCAATAGTCCAATGTAGAAAGTACTCCAACTGCCAAGGATGTCAATCCCAATTATACATTCGAAGACCAAGCAAATGAGTAATGCATGGGTCAGGGTCACTGGGACCATTGGCCCCACAGTAAGCCTAAATGTATGACCAGGCCTAAATACGCTCTCATGCTGGCGGAGGCATGATAATGCTATGAAAGTCTGGTATCAGTATCAACTCAGACTTTGCGTATAATAGTCTTTAAAATCTCTGGATATTACCCTTTACCCAGTGTATAATGAACCAAGTAAGTGCCCATCAGTCTTTGACGAAGGGCTGGAGGTGTCGTCACAGTATATATTTGCCGTGGTGTCATAGGGTCTTTCCCCTTGGGGACCCACCTACCTCTTTAGTGTCTTTCTGATCTGAATATTAGCTCAAGTTCAAGGATCATGGCATTTTACTGAGGCAACTGCCCTTAGCCTCTTGCTCACCCATTCTCATCTTCTTGGACTATGTTTACTAACAAATTTCCTGGTTGCCTGTCTTATCTAGTTTATCCTTGGGGAAGTTATGTTTTACTAACCATCTTCACAAGTTCCTGTGAATCAAACCCTCTTGGCTGTCACACTGACCTTACTATTTATTATAATAAATGTGAATCCCTGGCTTCTGCCAATTAAGACTCACCACCCGGCCTTTCTTCCTTCAATTGTGGGATCCTTACAGGTGCATTACTCCAAATACCTTTCAAGAAAATACTTCCCATTCTCCTGGAGGGATTCATTGCTTTTGGGAGTTAGCACAGTATTTGAGACTGTGACCTTTTCAGGCAGCTGCCAGCCAGTGCGTGAGCACCATGGGGGATAGGATGGCCTGGCATCATTTCTGCTCAGTGTGGAACTCCTCTGTGGTAAATATTTGTGCTTGCATTTTACTTTGAGCTGACAAGAAATATCCCATTCCAGAGAGACTCTGGCAAACGTGGCAGCCCAGCTGCTACATATTTCACTGGCAGTTACCTGGGAAAATGTCCAAATGGAGAAAAACACCTGGTTGGTGTGATGACCCAGGCACTTAAAAGGTACGGAAGGGGGCGGGTGCGGTGGCTCACGCCTGTAATCCCAGCACTTTGGGAGGCCGAGGCGGGCGGATCACAAGGTCAGGAGATTGAGACCATCCTGGCTTGTAGTACAGGTGTGGGGAGTTAGCAGACAGCCCTCGCCTGTCAAGCCCTTCATGGTCAGCCTTTGCTGCAGAAGAGCTTCATCCAAAGTCACCTCCCTTCCAGGTCAGGCTGTATTCAGTGACTGAAAGAGGTGTGAACATAGACTAGACCATGCTTGCCTGACACATGAGCCCTGTCAGGCAACACTCACTACAGAGATCCATTCTAAGTTGGGAGCAGTTTTGTAGGATCTGCATTGCAGTTTAACCTTTTCTTTTGCTTAATCCTACTTCCTTCTCTTTCCTTTCACAGATACTGATCTACAGTGAATACCTCCAAAGTATATCTCAGAGTCAACTTTCAGAAAACCCAACAGATTGCAGCTTGTACCATTATTGAGGTGCTCCAAAATAGCAAAGGATGGGCCAAAGTTTTGGAACTGGATTACTCATTATCCAGCTGACATACAAACCCCACCACTGTGGCAGGTGGAGCACAAAGAGGCCCCGGCATAAGGAGGTGGTTCAATCATTAAATAGTTCACCAATAGTAAATTAAGAGGAAGCACCTGTGTTATGTAACAGATGTTTGAACTTAGGAGATAGATTATTATTAAATAACAGGTTTGGGTGCTGATATGTTTTGGCTGTGTCCCCAGCCAAACCTTATCTTGAGTTGTAGCTCCCATCATCCCCCCGTGTCGTGGGAGGGACCTGGGGGAAGGTAATTGTATCATGGAGGTGGGTTTTTCCCATGCTGTTCTTGTGGTAGTGAATAAATCTCATGAGATCTGATGGTTTTATACGGGCAGTTCCTCTGTACACGCTCTCCTGCCTGTCACCATGTAAGACGTGTCTTTGCTCCTCCTTCATTGTGAGGACTTCCCAGCCATGTGAAACTGTGAGTTCATTAAACCTCTTTTTCTTTATAAATTACCCAGTCTGTGGTATTTCTTTATAGCAGTATGAGAACGGACTAATACAGTGGCTACTGCTGAAAGCCACTGATGCTCTACATAAAGATAACAAACAGTTGAGGACAAGTAATAGACAATTGATTGCAGTTGTGAAAGTTAGAGGGCCTTTGGCTGCACAAAAAGCAGCTCACATCTGCTGTATCACAAGTGGTTATTAGGTCCTTGCTTGCAGGAAAAAAAAACTATTGCATGAGGAAAGGCCACGTGGAAGCCTCAAACTACAATCCACCCAAGATAGTAAATAAGAACAATCTCTGGGGGGATAGTAGAGATTAGAGACACCCTTCAGGATATAAAAGATTTAGGAGTGATGGTTCCCATCATATCTCTAGTAAAAACTACTCATAACTGCAATTCAACTTCAAGCTCAACTAAGTAGTAGTCCTGATCACAGCCATTAGGCCAGATGTGATATTTCCACTAGAAGAGATTAATACAGCCTCAGATACATGGTATATGGCCACTGATCCAGTAAATGCATTTTAATATCCCGATTCAGAAAAAAGCATAAATGTTTGCATTCATATCAAGTGAAATGATGTGGGCAATGAAATGAACAACATACACGGCCGGGCACAGTGGCTCATGCCTGTAATCCCAGCACTTTGGGAGGCTGAGGCAGGCAGATCACGAGGTCAGGAGATCGAGACCATCCTGGCTAACATGGTGAAACCCCATCTGTACTAAAAATACAAAAAATTAGCTGGGCATGGTGGCAGGTGCCTGTAGTCCCAGCTACTCGGGAGGCTGAGGCAGGAGAATGGCGTGAACCTGGGAGGCGGAGCTTGCAGTGAGCCGAGATCGTGCCACCACACTCCCGCCTGGGCGACAGAGTGAGACTCTGCCTCAAAAAAAAAAAAAAAAAGAAAAGAAAGAAAAACAATGTACACAAAATGGACAATGATATAACTAGTTTTGCTCCCAGAGCAATATTAACTCTCTCAACCTCAGAGCTGTGGTTATGGGAAGCACAAGGTCCCCCTAGAGGATCATCTGTGATCTTCCTGCTTCCACACTGCAGTACCCAAACCCATGTGTTCTTTCTCTTTGAAAACACAGCACCGTATAAAGGTCAAACATCAAGGATTAGCCCCAGAGGGGGCACTTTCCACCTGAGGACAGAGTGTTCTAAATTATAAACTACAGATACAGCATGGAACTTTGTACCCTTGTGTCCAAGGACCAGCATGCCAGAAAAGCCACTCTTTGCTGGGGCATTGACACTGATCATCAGCAGGTATGGCTGCTGTTACACAACAGGGCAGGAGAAAAAAGGAGTGGAACTCAGGTGGCCCTCCTAGGTGCCTCTTTGAACTTCCTTGCCCCATTGTGATGTAAGTGGACAAATACAGCAACTTGGATCTGAAAAGGACATGGTGGCCAGGGCTCTGACCCCCTCAGGAATAAGGGTCTGGGACAAGCTACCACATAAGCCACTTATGTCCACAGAGGTGCTAACAGGGTGTGATGAGAATCTACAGTGACTAATACAGAAAGCAACTGCAACATTAGGGGCTGTGGTTTGTCCTATGAATCTTCCTTTTCTTAGTGTCTCTTCAGAGAGAGCCCCACCAGAATCCTAGAGCAGCAGCTTCCCAAATGTAACATAGACAAGGGGATCTAAGTGGTGGGAAGGATGGACTGTGTGATCAGAAACATGCATTATGACTCAGATCTCTCTTCAAGGAGGGACTTACCCAGGGCAGGGAGAGTCATCAGCAGAGAACCTCCACTTTTGAAGCTGGCCTCAGCTGAAATGAGCTGCTTCACCTAAGAAATCAGCAGCATCACTGAAGAAAAGAGCTGCTTCACCTAAGGCTGCTTCCTTCCCAGGGCAGCCTGAGTCTGGGTGATGGGGTGAGCAATGCAGGGTTGTAAGGGCCTGGCCGTCTTGGTTCAACACGAGGCACTCCAATGGGCAGTACATGTTCCAGAGTTCCCTGCTGGCTCCAATGCAGTGCAAATTGACTTCTTCCTCAGCTCAATGTTTTCTTTCTTCTTCTTCAATCATTTCACAGCTGTTGATCCTCAGTAGACATCTTGCACCCAAACTTCTCAGTAACCACTTCCAGAGAACAAGTTACGACATAGCCTGATTTCCTCTGTTAGAAATATTTGGGTTGTAACAAACACAACTTGAGCCAGATGAAGCAAACATGAGAATTTATTAGGATATTTGGAGTATCTCACAGAAGAATTCAACAATCAAGACATGAAAAGGGCAGAGGTGGACCTGAACATGAAGACCAGAAGAACCAGGTACTGGAACACAATCGGGACTCTTTCTTGATTTTGCTTTCATCATGGCTTCATTCTTCTCTCTCACTGCAGACCATGTTTCTCCATGTGGCAGAAAACAGCCACTCACTGCACCCACATTTAAATATAGCTTGTGATGCAAAAATTACACAGACAAAAAAGATAGTACTAGCTTTCTAGAAGCTTTCTAGTGGGAAAGATAAAACATGCAATGATTATATTATCACAGTGAGAAACACACGTACAGGTTCATATAGATTCAATAGGCATTAACAAGGAACAAGGGCATTTCAATTGCAGATTTGCAAAAACATAAGTGATAATAGAAATCTCAAGGAACTACAAGTTGTTCACAGAGGCCAGAAAATATTGCATAGGAGGAAAAAGTTTTCAGAAATGATAGATAGATAGGCATTGGTTTATACAAAAGTCCTTACATACCATAAGGAGAATGTTACACTTTAAGTCCACAATAAGCCACACGATATTTCAACATGAGGCATGTGAAATCAGGGTTGCATTTAAAAATAATCACTATGTATACATGTGAAAAATGGACTGAAAAATGATAGCAAGGTGCAGAAAACATGCATGCATCTGCAAGGGTTATGGTTGGTTATCAGCAGTTAGGCCAGGGGTAGGTGTTGAACATCTGAAAGCTCATTGGTACCTGTATAGACTAATAAGACCTCTGAAATTGACAACCTGGACATAGATTGCTGGAATGACCAAATGACTGCAGAGGTCTCAAATGCAGATTCCAAATGCCTACTGCTGTAGATTTTGCTAGAAAGTTACTTTTGATAAATACGGCATTCTGTGGGTGCATTTTATGTCAACATTCTAAAAGTGATGTTCCCGAAACCAAAGTATCACAAATATATGGACCCATAGGTAATGATGTCAGATCCTGCAAGAAAAAGTCACACAGAAGGCAATCCTGATACAGGTCTCAAAATTCAGTCTGGACCTTAAGGAAAACCCACTACTTAGTAAAAGGAAAACAATGTCAATTGTCCTTTGTAGAACTGTGCACAATTCCAGGTCAGTGGGAAAATCCAGGCAGTAAGAGAATAAGAAAAGATGATGCTTCCTGTATTTGGCCTCCTTTAGTATGCTATCTCAATGTACCTTATTGTGCTCCATAAAATCACAAATAAATCCAGTCTAACTTTAAAACTTTCTTCTTGATGTAGAATTTGTGGTAGGAAACAATAAGGGGCAATGCAGAGACACAGATTTGTGGTTTACAAGGTAATTTCAAAAACACATTAAAAAATCTCTAATTGCAGAATCAGAGCTCTCATGACACTTTAGAAGGTGAGTTCTAGTGATTACTGCACAACGTATTTGAACCTCTGCATCAGTTTTTAACTAGACCTCTGCTGTCAGCATCAATCCTCCCCATAACACCTGACATTTAGAAAAAAATGTTTGTTCTTGGGCAATCAATAGGCTAATGTTGAAGTTCCATTATCTAGTGTAGGAAGTATCAGGTTTAACTGCTTAATAGTTAATGGAATAATCTAGAATTTCCAAGACCTAATAAATCAATCTCTGGGATTGGAAAGAGAATGGTGATAGATGGAAAGAAAAAATAGGGCAAAAATCACAAAGTACAACATCACCCTGTAACTGTTCATTTGCATTAGTTGGTCTCCCACGTCTAGTAAAATGAATTTGAGATATTAAAAAGTAGGAAGTTCTTTTTCTTTTCTTTTTTTGACAGAGGCTCGCTCTGTCGCCCAGGCTGCACAATCTTGGCTCACTGCAACCTCTGCCTCTCAGGTTCAAGTGATTCTCCTGCCTCAGCCTCCTGAGTAACTGGGATTACAGGCACGCACAACCATGCCCGGCTAATTTAAGACAGGGTTTTGCCATGTTGGCCATGAACATGCTGGTCTTCAACTCCTGACCTCAAGTGATCCACTTGAGGTCTCCACTTGAGGTCCTCAGCCTCCCAAAGTGCTGGGATTACAGGCATGAGCCACTGTGCCCAGCCAGGAAGTTCATACACTTGAGTATGAACAAAAAGTTGGAAAATTAAATGCTTTAAAATTACAGCATGGAAAGACAGAATTATTTGGCTGTTGAACTGGTATTCTGGTTTAGAAAATTATTCATTTATTTAAAATTCCAACTTTCCCAAAATGTTGCAAAATCAATAATTAAAGGAGAAAATATTGTTTAAGGTAAAGGTGCAAAATACCATACTGATACAACAATTTGAACATAAAAGGAGAAGTCTTGAGTTTTTCTAAGTTTGCAATCAAGCTCAATATTGGACTTTTCTAAATTTCATCAGCATACAAAAAATATTAACTTTGCCAAGCAACATTATTGAGAGAACATTACAAAATCCTTACTTAGCTAAGGGATGGTTCATGCATTTTTATGGAAATATATAATGGTAAGTTCTCAATGTGAAGTTTTCCATGGGGATAATGCAACTAGTGAAACAAAGTCAAATACATTTCAAATGATAAAATGGAAATCTTGTTTCCTTATACAGATAGTTCCTGACTTAAGAGGATGTGACTTACAGTTTCTCAACATTACAATGGTATCCATACACTACTATTTTTCACCTTCAGTATTCAATAATTACATCAGATATTCAACACCTTTTTATAAAATAGATGATGCATTAGAATGTGTTCTGAGAATGTTTAAGGTAGGCTACGCTAAGCTATGATGTTTGGTAAGTTGGGTGTATTAAATGCATTTTTGACTTACAATGTTTTCAACTTACAATGGGTTTATTGGGAGGTAACCCCACTGTAAGTCCAGGATCATCTGTACTTTTCCAGGGACCACAGAAATTTGCTAGAAGATAAAATAGGCATCCTTGAATGTCAAAAATGTTTTTCCAGCACAAAATTCCCTAATACTTTACATCTTCAGAAATGTGATTTTTTAATAATTCATTTATCCATCTAATTTTTACAAGATATTTTATGCAACACAAAAAGCATAACAGCAGCACAAAATATCCATGATACTTTATCACAGTAAATTAAAATAGTGACATTTGGGTTACATATCACTTAAGATACATATATATATACTATATGGAGGCACCTCACTAAATGAGAAAAAGATTTAATACAGCACTACTTTATTTCATTTAGTTTGGGTGTTGTAATGTAGTTCACACACCTTTATTTTGCTCATTCAGTTATATATTACTATGGTTATTCTGTGGTTCCTGCCTTTGCATATTTATTTTATATAAACTGTTACTCAGACTCTGAGGATGCAGAAGACTTACACAATGTTGGCTTCAGTTACTGAATAGAAAGGTCCATAAAAACAAAAGACCCCTTATGTATGTCTATAAGTTAAAAGAAACGGGTTATCACTTAAGGTACTTATTCATGTAGTCATGTTACATGAGTTTCCATTTTTTATATTATTGTTAAAAAATAAAAACCAGTGGTGTGTAGTGTTGTCTTCACAGACATCAGAGGCACTAAAAGGCATATGCATTTCATACTCCCAATTACATTAAATTATAGGTAAGTCCAAAACACAAAACATACGTGACACTAGAAGATAAGCCACAAATACCACTAAGAAATGTCTTAGATGTTTCAATAACCAATTTATTCACGTATTTTTAAAACTTCACACTTCAAAGTGAACATCTGTCAACCACTTAGAATTGGGTATTTTTGGTACCCATGTCTACAAAAAGTGTATGGCTTCCCTTGACAGTACTATACTGAGGGGCAAGTGTTCCCAGTGTCTTTAAATTGTTAGGTTCTCCATAATATGAATTCTCCAAAATACAAAATAGTCTCGTTACTTGTTGCACTGTCCCATATTTAGTACTTTCATAGAACTTCATTCCTAAGAGCATTTTCTTATGTACAATGAACTGTCATTTCTTAAAAATATTGCCTCATTTCCCGCATTCATGGGGTTTTCCCTCATCCCCAGTGGGAATATTTCTAATAGCTTAAGAGACTTGACTTCTGGAAGGCTTTTGGACATTCACAGGATTCTTCTTTGCTGTGAATGTTCTACTCTATAAGGCTTGTCTATGGTTTTAAAAGTTTTTGAGATCCACTGCAGTCATAGGTTCACTCTACTCTATGAATTATGATCGGCTTTCCATACACCACCTCATTTAGAGTTCTCATCCTCATGGAGTACAAACACCTAACATGACGTGACTGTCTACAAACGTTATCATAATTGCATTTCCTGAAGTCCAAGATGATCTGTCAAAGACTACTATTAACTGTATTCCTAGGATTTTTTTACTGTATGAGTTCTCTGATGATTGATGAGCTGTGACTTCTGTGAGAAAGCTTTCCCACATTCAATGCATCGATAAGGCTTCTCTCCTGTATGAATTCTCTGATGATTAACCAGCTGTGACTTCTGAGAGAAGGCCTTCCTACATTCACTGCATCCATAGGGTTTCTCACCCGTATGTGTCCTTTGATGTGGTATAAGGTGTGACTTCCGAGAGAAAGCTTTGCCACACTCACTGCATTCAAAAGGCTTCTCTCCTGTATGTATTCTCTGATGATTGATGAGACTTGACTTCTCCCTGAAGGCTTTTCTACATTCATTGCATTCATAAGGTTTTTCTCCTGTATGAGTTCTCAGATGTCTAATTAGCTCCGACTTCTCAAAAAAAGCTTTCCTACAAAGACTGCATTCATAGGGTTTCTCTCCAGTGTGAATTCTCTGATGGGTATTTAGCTGTGATTTCTGGGAGAAAGCTTTTTCACAGTCCCTGCATTCATACGGTTTTTCTCCAGTATGAGTTCTCTGATGAGTTGCAAGACTTGACTTCTCACCAAAGGCCTTCCCACATTCACTGCATTCATAGGGTTTCTCCCCTGTATGTGTCCTCTGATGTGATATGAGATGTGACTTCTGACAAAAGGCTTTCCCACATTCACTGCATACATATGGTTTTTCTCCTGTATGAATTCTTTGATGATTAGTGAGACTTAATTTTTCACTGAAAGCTTTCCCACACTCACTGCATTCATACGGTTTTTCTCCCGTATGAGTTCTCTGATGTCTAACGAGCTGTGATTTCCTGCTGAAGGCTTTCCCACATTTACTGCATATAAAGGGTTTTTCTCCTGTGTGTGTCATCTGATGTGATATGAGATGTGACTTCTGGGAGAAGGCCTTCCCACACTGAATGCATCCATGAGGTTTCTCTCCTGTATGTGTTCTCTGATGATTAATGAGACTCGACCTCTCTCTAAATGCTTTCCTACACTCGCTGCATTCATAGGGTTTCTCTCCAGTATGAATTGTCTGATGTCTAATAAGCTCTGACTTCTCAAAGAATGCTTTTCTACAATCACTACATCCAAAGGGTTTTGTTCCTGTGTGAGTTCTGTGATGTGTAACGAGTTGTGACTTCCTGCTGAAGGCTTTCCCACATTCCCTGCATTCAAAAGGCTTCTCACCGGTATGAATTCTCTGATGGTTAATGAGATTGGACTTTTCACTAAAGGCCCTCCCACATTCATTGCATCCATAGGGTTTCTCTCCTGTGTGTGTTCTCCAATGCGATATGAGATGTGACTTCCGGGAGAAGGCTTTCCCACATTCACCACACTCATAAGGTTTCTCTCCTGTATGTGTCCGCTGATGGGATGTGAGCTGTGACTTTTGGGAGAAGGCTTTCCCACACTGGCTACAATTATAAGGTTTTTCTCCTGTATGAGTTCTGTGATGTGTAATAAACTGAGACTTCTGGGGAAAGGTTTTGCCACAATTACCACAGCCAAAGGCTATGTCTCTTATATGTCTGCTCTGATGTTTAATGAGACTTGGTTTCTTACTGAAGCGCTTCCTACATTCACTGCATTCATAGAGTTTCTCCCCTAAACGATTTCTATGATATATGATAATCTGTGACTTTTTATAGCTCTCTTTATATTTATCACAGTCATAGTATTTTAACCAGGTATCAGTATCCTCAGGCTTGGAATGGAGAAAAAAATTATCAAACACATTAAAGTCATCTGATTCTGCTTTTCCATAATCTCCTTTTGGAATAAGCAAATCTAAATGATGTTTTAAAATCAATCCATCTAAGTCACCTTCACTGTTTGATTTCCTTAAAGGAACAAAGTTCATGTTCAGATTGAAATTTTTTCCAAATGCATCACATTCATGACCTCTTTTTATAATTTTAAGCTTGTCTTGGTTATCCTGGTGCCACATCATGTTACCATCTACTTTCCAGACTTCTATAAAGGAAACAAAAACAATCTGTTTGGTTGTGCTTTCTAAAAACAAAACAAAACAAAACAAAACTAGAAATGCTATGTTGAGGGGTTGGCTGCTTTTAAGGCTTAGTTTCCGAGTCTGAAATAAGTCCCAAGTATAATAACTATCTTCTAGGTATTGCAAGGAAATGCTAAAAACAGAAACAGGAAACTGACTGGAGATTAAGTCATCTTTGGTTGTTGACAAATATGTTTATTAAATGGGGAATATGAAAAACACATGAAAAGCAAAGAAAAAAGGTTAGAAGAAGCTTTGACCCAATGTTTTGAGTAATTAATTCACTCAATACTTTCTGAGTATACACTATGCCCAGGTAGTGTGTAAGGTACTAGAGACACAAGAGAAAAAATAAGTTCCTGTAGGCCAGGAGCGGTGGCTCACACCTGTAATCCCAGCACTTTGGGAGGCCGAGGCAGGCAGATCATGAGGTTGGGAGATCGAGACCATCCTGTCTAACATGGTGAAACCCCGTCTCTACTAAAAATACAAAAAATTAGCCGGGTGTGGTGGTGGGCGCCTGTAGTCCCAGCTACTCAGGAGGCTGAGGCAGGAGAACGGTGTGAACCCAGGAGGCGGAGATTGCAGTGAGCCGAGATCACGCCACTGCACTCCAGCCTGGGTAACAGAGCAAGACTCCATCTCAAAAAAATAAAAATAAAAAATAAAAAAATAAGTTCCTGTCATTATAAAATTTATATTGTAATGGAAAAGATAATATTTTTAAAACAACAAACTATACACTGTAGTAAATACTAAGAAGAAAATGAAAATATTTGAAAGAATGATTAGTCATTTCAAGCTTAAACAATGAGAAATATTTTGTGTATTGTTTCTTATTCTAAAGTTTTATTTAAACTTGCCATATGCATCTTCACATTACTATTAAGAAAGCCACTTAGATCCTCCCACCTTAACTGCCTGAGTAGTTGGGACAACAGGCATGCACCACCATGCCCAGATAATTTTTTTTTAATATTTTGTAAAGATGGGGATTCCCTATATTGTCCAGAATGGTCTTGAACTCCTGGCTTTATGCAGTCTTTCCACCTCAGCCTCCCAAAGTTCTGGGTTACAGGTGTGAGCCACTGCGCCGGGCCAATTTTGGTTTTTCATGGAGGACTTTTAGCAGGTCTCAAAAGTTTTCTTCTAATAGTTTTCTTGGTGTTCTATCATTCATAGGTGTTGAATTTATCAAACTTTTTCTATTTCAATTATTACATTTTTACTTTGTTCAAGTAATATTGTATCATATTAAACAAACATTGCATTGTGAAAAATACCCTGCTTAGTCATGGTATGTAATCATTCTTATACCTTTTTGTATTCTTTTTTTAAATATTTCTGAGAATTTCTGTGTCTAAATTTAAATAGGATGTTGTTTCATAGTCATCTTGTGATTCTTTTGTCTCCTTTGGGTATTATGGTATTACTGGCTAACAGATGAATTAAGAAATATTACCTCTTCTACTGCTTGAAGTTTTTGTGAGAAATTGATGTTTTTCATTAAGTGTTGATGAAATGTACAACTTAAGCAGTTTATAACAACTATTCTATCTAAAAAGATTTAATTTTTTTGTTATGTGGATATAAGTATATTCTATTATATATATAATGAAACAATTCATAGGATGTTTTTTGAGTTTACTTTTGTAATCCATCTCTATCAGTATTTTCTATTTCACAGTATGTCATGAACAATTATTCTAGGCACTTGACATGGAATAATTTGAACAAATAGAGAATGAGTCCTATACTACAATCAATAAATAACTCAAAATTTTCTCCATTTTTAGGATGAAGAATATGAATATAGTTCTGTTACATAATATTTGTGTTTACTGTGTGAGACAAATGAGTTACTGAATGTAAAAATAATTAGTAAAACTGCCCTTTGATTTTGGAATTCATGAAGCAGGCAAATGCCCTACCTTCTATTTTTATCAATATTTAGATAAGGCAGAAAAATAAATTTTAATAAGATACACAGAATAATCTTGTATTTGAAGAATGCTATGAAAAAAGATAGTTTGGAGCAGTAGTTAGTATTTGGCTCATATAATGTGTTAGGTACTATTCTAAGCCATTAAACATTTGTATGCTTAATACCTAAGAGTTTAAAGTGAAGAAATCAAAGATTCATTGAAAAAGAAAAATTAAATTTAAAAAAAATTGTATTTTTAATTGAAAAATAATAGTTGTACATATCTGTCTACAGTGTAATATTTTGATATATGTTTATGTTGTAAAATGATTAAATCAAGTTAATGTTTATAACCTAAAAAAAAAAAAAAGGAAAGCCACTTAATGCAACACATTTTCAAAACCATATCATCTTTCATCTAAACTATTCAGGCACAGAACTTTAAAATCCATGTGTACTTTCACTAAAACTATCCCAAGACCCAAGTTCCCATTCTAAAAATAATCTAATCTGACAGTTTGACAGTCATTTGTTACATAGCTCTATTTCCATTATCCTCATGACATAACCATTTATACTATTATAAGTTAACTTCAAAATATGTATTTTTTGAGACAGGGTCTTGCTCTGTCGCCCATATTGAAGTGCAGTGTTGTGATGCAGCCTCAACCCCCCAGGCTCCCAGGCTCAAGAGATCCTCCTACATAAGCCTCCCAAGCAGCCAGAATACACAGGTGTGCAACCACATAGCTGGCTAATTTTGTTGTTGTTCTTGTTGAGATGGGGTCTCCCTATGTTGTCCAGGCTGCTCTTGAACTCCTGGGCTCAAGCAATTCTCCCACTTTACCCTCCCAAACCAGTAAGAGACTTGGTCTCTCCCAGAGTGTTGGGGTTTCAGGCATGAGCCAACATGCTGGGCCCATTTTTCAATAAAAATCTACATTTCAAATTTTTTGTGAGGTTGTACCTAGAGGTAAGAAAGATAATCAGTAATGTGAAAACATTCTACAAATTTAAATGTCAACTGAAGGTTATATATTTGTAGGATTATATGGTGGAGGTAGAATCAACAAGATTTGCTGATGTATTTGGTATGGAGAAAATAAAGGGAAAAAGAATCAAGAATTACCCTTAGGTTTGGAGTTTGAACAATTTGGTAGATTATGGTGTTTATGAATTGAGGAAGACTGAGGGAGAAATATGAGGGTTAAAATCAAGACCCCATTATAAACATATTAATTTTGTTTTTTGAGACAGGGTATTGCCCTGTCACTCAGGCTGGAGTTTAGTGGTGCAATTATAGCTCACTGCAGCCTTGAACTCCTGGGCTCAAGTGATCCTCCCAACTCAGCCTCCTGAGTAGCTGGGACTACAGGTGCGTGCCACCATGCTCAAGATAATTTTCAGAATTCTTTTGTAGAGATGGGGTCTCACCATGTTGCTCAGGCTGGTTTCAAAGTCCTAGGCTCAAGTAGTCCTTCCACTTCAGCTTCCCAAATTGCTGGGATTACAGGTGCAAGCCCCCACAATTGACACTGTTAGGCCTAATATATTAATTTTGAGATGTCTATGACGTTTCAATAAAACGGTATCAGAGAATACGGGTGCAGAAAATGAAACATCTATAAATTAAACTTACATTCATGTTATTTTAAATGTTATCAAATTATTGAACTATTAATACTTAAGTATGTGTTTTAAATTTACATCTGCCTTCCCCCATCTTTACTTTTTTTCCTATTAGAAAAATGAATTGCCTTATATTTGGTCATTTGTGGTGTATCCCAAATAGTCCCACTCTCTCCATCACTTTCTCTGCTGTAAACTATCACATTACCTCAATGAAATATCCTTCTAATTGGTTTCCCTGCTTCCAATTACATTTTCTATTTGGCAGTCAGATTAAACTTTCAAAATTCTAAATCAGATTTTACTTTTCAAAATTTCTTGACTCAATTATAAGTCCTTTGTATTGCCTACAAGTTGAGTATGGTCTAGTTCCCATGCTCTCTCCAACTTATCTGTATCTCTCAGGCATACCAACCTCAGCCACATGGGCTTCCATTCCGTTTCTAAAAGTAACTAAACCATTTTCTGACTTCACATATTGTTATTTATCATTCCTTTTGGAGACACTTTTCCCCATGCTCATTTCACATCTTTCATGTCTACAATTAGTTTTCCCATGTCATTCTCTGTTATGGACTAAATGTGTCTCCTCAAAACTTGTATATTGAAGCTTAACTCTCAGAATGGCTGTATTTGGAGATAGGACCTCTAAGGAAGTAAGATTAAATGAGGTCATAAGGGTAGGACCCTGATCAAATAGGGTTATTGTCTTTACAAAAATAGATATGAGGCCAGGCACACTGGCCCACGTCTGTAATCTCAGCACTTTGGGAGGCTGAGGCAGGCAGATTACTTGAACCCTGGAGTTTCAGAGGAGCCTGGACCACACAGTGAAACTGTGCCTGTACAAAAAAGAACCTGTTTTTAATTAGCCAGGTGTGGTGCTGCACACCTGTGGTCCCAGCTGCTTGGGGGGATCACTTGAGCCCAGGAGGTTAAGGATGCAGTGACCCATGATTGTGCCATTGCACTCCAGGTGGGGTGAGTGAGACCCTGTCTCAAAAAAAGAAAAAGAAAAAAGAAACCCCACAAGAGATCTCTTCTCTCTCTCTCTCTCCATGTACACACTGGGAAAAGGCCATGTGAACACATAGTGAGAGGGTGGCTGTCCACAAGGCAGGAAGACAGCCCTCCCCAGAAAAAGATCATGGTGGTACCTTGATCTTGGGACTTTCCATCTCCAAAACTGAGAAATAAATTTCTGTTGTTTAAGCTCCCCAGAATATGGTATTTTGTTATGGCAGACTGAGCAGACTAACCCATTCTCTCATCTAATTTTTCTGTAATAACACTTAGCAGGATCTGAATTTTTTCCTGCTTACTTACTACCCTGTTCTTTTTTTGTCCTCCAGCAAGTAAACACTGTGTTGGCAGGAAATATATATCGCTAATGCTCTAATATACCCATAGTACCTAGCACAGTAACTTAAAAGAAGTCAATAAATATTCTATTTTATCTGAAGTAGTCTAGATAGAAAAGAGCATCAGGACCAAAACTACCATCCATAGAAAGCCCTGCTTGCAAGACTGGCCCCTGGCTGGCATCTGAGAACATGGGTTTCAGGAACGTCCCTACTATTTCCTAACTGATAATTACTATGCCGAGACTGTATACAAACAATATGATCACCACATGTTAGGCAGAGAATACCTACATGACCAGCTCCCAGTAAAGACCTTGGGCACTTATCTCCAATGGTCCTTCCTGGGCAGAAACATCAAACACATGTGTTACTATATTTTTGCTGCAGAGGGATAGTAAACTTTGACCCTTACAGGAGGGAGGGAGCTTAGGAAGCCTGCACATGGGTTCTTCGAGACTCTGCCTGTGCCTTTTTCATTTGTGATCCAGCTGTGTCCTTACAGTGTCACTGTAGTAAATCTGTCATAAGTACAAATATGCTGAGTCCCGTGAGTCCTTCTAGTGACTCTGAACATAGGGGGATCTTGGGGACTCTGACACACAGCCCCCATTTGTGTAATCTTGATAATTAGGCTCTCCACTGCCTTGCAATAAAACAAATGCTCAGTGTTTTAAGTGCTCAATTTTTTAAAAAAGAACACAAATATCTCATCTTCTTAACTAAGTGTTATGCTTCTACAACTTATTTTCTGGTCTTACTTTGTAATCCTTTTCAGTAAAGGATTAAACCCACTAGGTGAGTGGATCTCAACTAAAAAGGGCACATAAAAACAACAAGAAGTTTCTCAAATTACAAATCTGCCTTACCACATAAAACAAAAAAAAAAACCAAAAAACAAAACAAAACAAACAAAACACAGGCATGGTGGCACACACCTGTAGTCCCATCTACTCAGGAGGCTGAAGCAAGAGGATCACTTCAGCCCAGGAATTTGAGGCTGCAGTGACCTATGATCACGCCAATGCAATGCAACCTGGGCAACAGACCAAGACCCTGTCTATAAAAACAAAGACAAGGCTTTTGGAAAGAAATTTATCGAACATTACATGTTCTATAACTAAAGTGAAGACATTTAATTATAAGCCCCTGCATTTATGTGTGCAAACAAAGCTCAGGGACCAACCTTCTAAAAAATATTATATATACTACGATCAGGTCACAGATGGGACTTCAGAAAAAGCTGAGAAAAATGTAGGATGGGGTAGTAAAGGAACATTTCATAAATATGAATGCAGTGAAAATCAAGTTCCTATGGAAAGGATTAAGAATTTCTAGGTAACTAGTATAATACCATCAAAAGTTCAAGATGTTACATATCTAAAAACACTTGAGAAATGTTTAAATGGAACTGACCATGAATGGGAGATAGGAAGAAATAACTGAACAGGCAGCAGTAGTGTCATACTATGGAGGTCCCTGAAAGCAGAGATTACAAGTCTATAGCAGATGCTGCCACTGCATCGCCAATACTCTGACATGATTCCTACCCGAGGCACTCACAACTCTCTACCCAAGAACTTTCTTGAGCTGAAAGCATAAGATTGGTCTGTATGCAGGGACCCTGGACATTCTGGATACTTACTATGGCAGAGCAAACCTCCGGACTGAGAGATGGGAGTTAGTACATAAATACCTGGGCTTCCTGGTACCTCAGAGTATCAAGACTGAGGAATATTCTCACAGTGCCTCAGAGGCACTCAGGAGAACTGAGCATCCACTACCCACAGCAGTAGTCGGAGCGTCAGCCCATCCTTCACTGGCATTAATGCCCCCAGCACTTCCATGGTCTGACTTGCCCATTCTCTCACTACATTTGTGGGGACCATGTCCCCAATAAGTTCTTACACTCACATAAGTATCTGAGGGTCTGCTTTTGAGGGAAACTGAAGTAAGTCAATGTCACAAAGCAGATAATGAGTAAAGAGGTTCAACTGATCAGAGTAGTGTGGGATGCTTTAGGAGATAAAATATGGTGGTATCATTAAGACAGCCTGTAAAATATTAGAATCTGGATCTATCCAGCAATTTGACAACTTCAGAAATGAGACATCATGGACCTAGTTTTAAGCGGAAGTTGAGGGAGGAAGGCTTTAAAAAGATACTTTCCCAATAGAAAAAAAATTTTTAAACAACATGAAAGGATGGTAGAAAGGGGTTATTCGGCCATATGCAGTGGTTCACACCTGTAATCCCAGCACTTTGGGAGACCAAAGCGGGAATCACAAGGTCAGGAGTTTGAGACCAGCCTGGCCAACATGGTGAAACCCTGTCTCCACTAAAAATACAAAAAAAATTAGCCGGGCATGGTGGCATGTGCCTGTAGTCCCAGCTGCTCAGAAAGCTGAGGCAGGAGAATCGCCTGAACCTAGGAGGTGGAGTAGTGAGCCAAGATCGCACCACTGCACTCCAGTCTGGGTGACAGAACAAGACTCTATCTCAAAACAAAAAAAACAAAAAAAACAAGAAAGGGATTATTCATATACTTCATGGTGTCTAATCTATAGAAAAAAACACAAAGGAACTTAATTTAAAAGGGAGGATAAGGATAAATTGGGAGAAATGACGGCTCCATTTTCTAATATAATGAGACTGAACAGATTGGGGCGTTTGGGCATCAGAGAACCCAAACTGAAGACAAAATCAAGATGCTTCAATGTACAAACGGAGGTGTCTTTGACCACAGGGGAAGGAGGGACTGAATGGGATCAAACATGTGAGAGGACAGAATACCAAACAAGAAGTCAAGGTCCCAGATGTTACAGAGAATAACGTCATGGCCAAGATAAGCAGGACACATTTCATTTTAAGCTACAAAGAAGCTACGTCTAAATGTGACTTACTTGAGTAGCTAATGTCAATTGTTCTGAGGCACCACCAAAGGTTTAGAGATTTTGAAAAGAGATCCTTAAAGCACATTTCAAAGATGCCAACCCATCACTGACCAGCCAACCCATCAATGACCAGCCCACCCGTCACTGACCAGCCAACCCATCACTGACCAGCCCACCCATCACTGACTAGCCCACCCGTCACTGACCAGATGACATGGGGCTTCTGCTCTCTCCCATCTGCCTGGTTCTCATACACTCACCTGGAGAATCTGAACTTGGAATTTCTCCATCTCCTACCCACGGCTCTTCTCCTTGCTCCAATTTGAAGATGACATCTGGTTTCATAACTTCATACCCTGTTAAGGGAAAAATCACAAAGGCCTTGGGCCCAACTGCTTGGGGTTTAGGGCCTCTAAAGTTGAGCAAGGTTTCACATCAAAGTTGGCCTGGTGAAGCTGTACCCCAACAGAGTAAGTAATTCTCAAAGTTACAGTAACGGTCTCCCTTGGTGGCTAATAGGGTCTAGTACAAAGCCACTGAACACTTCAGAGGCTCTGGAGCCAGTAAGCCTGGGTTTACATCCAGGCTCTTTAATTTACTAGCTGTTAGTTCTTGGGAAAGTTACTTAACCTCTCTTGGCCTCGATCTTCTCATCAGGAAAAATGGATAATGACTGTACTTGCCACATAGGATTGCTCTGATGACTAAATGAGTTGATATACGTAAAGCACTTGGTATAAGATGTGGCATATAGTAAGTTATATGCATTAGGTGCTATCACTACTGCTCAAACTATTACTACTTAAGTTTCAGAGGCTGCATGACAAACTTACAACTTCATTATTGAAAGGTGAGACCCAAATACTTTCTTGGTGTCATAGTCCAAGCAACTGTGATCTAAGTTTCAGGTCTAAAATCATTAAAAATTTCAGAAGCCTAGCTATAGGCTTCTGAAACTTCCCAGCAACTAAAAATAAAAGGCAATGCATTGGGCATAGTCCAAGGTCCTCAAGAAAGCTTTTATTACCCAGTGACACTAGGCTGCTATAGTTCTCCAACATCACATCCTTGTATAAATTCTTCTGAGAGGGATCCAGTAGCTGCCACTCCTTTTGGGTGAAGTCCACAGATAAATCGTCAAATGAGAATGACTCCTGTAAGAGCACAATCCTGGTAAATCTGAAGCAGTTAACACCGTATGATGTGAGAAAAAAATATTGGAGCTTTAGCACTTCATTCTCATAACAAGTTATACAAAATGCCTACTATGTCTCTACCTTTGCATATTTTGTGTGATAAAATGTCATTGTGCATTCTTCCATCCTTCCATTTATACAACTGTTAACCTAAAGATTAAAGAGAGCCTCTCCAGAAGAAAATGATGTTTGTTTGGGAACAGAGTACTGCCATGAGAAGACAGGTGCCATAGTAAACTACATGTGTATCCAGGGAGGTAAAGAAAGACGAAGGTGTCTACAGCCAGTACGGTCATACCACCCTCAACGCGCCCAGTCTCGTCCGTTCTCGGAAGCTAAGCAGGGTCGGGCCTGGTTAGTACTTAGATGGGAAGAAAGACAAAAGTTTTTAAAGGAAAAAAATGAGGTGCATCACATAATTGTTTTGAAACAGTTATCCTTGGCTACAAAGATCAATAACAAGGGTGACACCAGTCCAAAGCTGGACAGGCAGCTGCTGGGCAGATGTCCCAATAAAAGTATTTTTTGTGTAAGGCTTCAATGGCCTTTGTACGAGGCTGTGGCTTTTGCAGTCTTTTGTGATAATTTTTATCAGGCATGCAAGTGTGAGAACACTTTTTTCACAGGCTTCCCAAGCTCTACCTGTAGGGGTTAAAAAAATTAACACTAGTGACTCCATTTTGATTCTGACAACTTTCACAGAAGACACGCAAACTGGAATAGGTGACTTTAAACCCCCTGAACCACCAATAAAATCTTTACTGAACCTCAAATTTGGCACTGGAAGAGGTAGTAGCAAAAGAAAGAAAATAGGATAGGCAAGGTGGCTCACACCTATAATCCCAGCACTTTGGAGGCCAATGCGGGAGGATCACTTGTGCCCAAAAGTTTGAGACCAAACTAAGTAATACAGTGAGACCTGTATTATATATATATATAAATAATATAATACATAATATAATATATAATATAAATATTATATTAAAAATAATATAATATATAATATAAATATTATATTAAAAATAATATATAAATATATATAATATAAATATCATATATATATAATATAAAATATATATAAATATTAGCTGGGTATGGTGACATATGCCAGTAGTCCCAGTTACTTGGGAGGCTGAGATGGGAAGACTGTTTGACCCTGGGAGGTCGAGGCGTCAGTGAGCTGTGATTGCACCACTGCACTGCAGCTTGAGTGACAGAGTGAGACCCCATCTCAAAAACAAACCAATACACTAAAATACCAAGAAGGAAAATAATAAAATAATACTCTCAAAAGTCGCATTGTCTTACAGAGGGCTGCAAATATGCACTTACAAATAAAATAAACTTATAGTAACTAAGAAATAAAGGAGAGCACAGTGTGGATAAAAAGCAGGCAGCACTTCACTCTATTTGAGTGTAGAGTTAGGCTCTACGGAAAAGGTAAAATTGAAATGGGTTTTAGAAAATTAGTTGTTTTCCACAAAAAAAAGAGGATGCAAAGACATTCTGGGAGGCAGCAGCTCTGATTTAAAAAAAAAAAAAAAAAAAAAAAAAAAAAAAAAAAACTGTGAGGACTGAAGAGATACAAAAACATCAGTCTGACAGGATAATAGGGAATGGGATAGTGATGAGATTAAAGGCCACAGTGGGGCTGGGGCAGAATGTGGTTAGCTTAGCTAGGACACTTTCTTGTTGCCAAGTTAGCCATCAAAGACCTTACAAGAAAGGGAATGATAGAACCAAACAGATTTTAGAAAGGTGACTAGATTTTGGATCAAGATGGATTTCTGTCTCAAAGTCTCCTAAGATAAAAAGAAAACACAAGCACACATCTTTTAAAAATCTAGAATGCCACCAGAAAATCAAAAAATAAATTTGACCCTCACAGCACACAATATACTTTAAGAGAAGTCAGAGAATTTGAAGACAGATCAACAGAAACTGTTTTGAACAGACAGAAAATGACTTAAAAATGAACAGAGCTCATGACACTATCAAATAATACCAAAGACTCTAATGTGAGTGTCATAGGAGTCCCAGAAAGAGAAAAGAAAGAGCATGGTGAAAATAAAGTCTCAAGAAATGATAGCTGAATATTCTGTAAAACTGGCAAAATATATAAACCAAAAAATTCAAGAAGTTCAGTGAATGCCAGGCAATAAACATAAGGAAATCCATACCCAGACACATCATAAATGGCCAGAAAGAAAAAAAATCACATCACTTAAAGGGAACAGCAATTCAGATAACTGCAAATTTCTTTCTTTCTTTTTTGAGACAGAGTTTTGCTCTGTCACCCAGGCTGCAGTGCAGTGGCACAATTATAGCTCGCTGTAACCTCTGCCTCCTGGGCTCAGGTGATCCTCCCACTTCAGCTTTCTGAGAAATGGGGACTACAGGTGCATGCCACCACACCCACTTAATTTCTATTTGTTTGTTTTTGAGACACAGTCTTGTTCTGTCACCCAGGCTGAAGTGCAGTGGCCCAATCTCAGCTCACTGCAACCTCCGCCTCTCAGGTTCAAGCAATTCTCCTGCCTCAACCTCCTGAGTACCTGGGATTACAGGCACCTGCCACTACGCCCAGCTAATTTTTGTATTTTTAGTAGAGATGGGGTTTCACCATGTTGGCCAGGCTGCTCTCGAACTCCTGACGTCAGGTGATCCACCCACCTCGGCCTCCCAAAGTGCTGGGATTACAGGTGTGAGCCACCGTGCCCAGCTGAGAGTAAGCAAATTAATGATTGTCTTAGGCTGGGGTGGGAAGAGGAATTGACCAAAAATGTCACAAAGATTGTTTTGGGGTGAGGAAAATCTTCTAAAACTAGATTGTGATGATGGTTATACAGCATAAGTTTACTTAAAAATCAATGAATTATACATTAAAATGGTGGATCTTATTGAGGTCATACTTCAATAAAGCTGTTAAAAAGATATTACAAACTTATGCCAACATACTTGACAACTTAAGACGAGATAGCTATATTCTTTTTTTTTTTGAGATGGAGTCTTGCTCTGTTGCCCAGGCTGGAGTGCAGTGGCGCAATCTCGGCTCACTGCAACCTCCACCTCCCAGGTTCAAGCGATTCTCCTGCCTCAGCCTCCCAAGTAGCTAGGATAACAGGCGCCTGCCACCACGCCCGGCTAATTTTTTGTATTATTATAGAGATGGGCTTTCACCATGTTGGCCAGGATGGTCTCAATCTCTTAACCTCGTGATCTACCCTACTCGGCCTCCCAAAGTGCTGGGATTACAGGTGTGAGCCACCACACCTGGCCAAATAGCTATATTCTTTGAAAAACAATGAACCCAAAGTAACAAGAAGAAACAAAATCTGAATTAATCCTGTAACTGCTAAAGAAACTGATCCCACAATTTTAAAACTTTCCCTCAAAAAAAATGCAAGATCTATGTAGTTTTAGTGGTGATTCTTCCAAACATTTACTTAAAATGATCTGGCCAGGTGTGCTGGCTCATGCCTATAATTTCAACTATTTGATAGGGTGAGGCAGGAGAATTGTTTGAGGCCAGGAGTTCCAGACCAGCGTGGGCAATATAGTGAGAACCTGTCACTACCAAAAAAAAAAAAAAAAATTTAAACTAGCTGTACTTAGTAGTAGGTGCCTGTAGTCCCATCTACTTGGGAGGCTGAGGTGGGAGGCATGTTTGATTCCAGGAGTTCAAGGCTGCAGTGAGCTATGATTGTGCCACTGCACTCTAGCCTGGGTGACAGAGTGAGACCATGTCTCTTAAAACAAAAAGAAAAAAAAAGTTATTGCTGATGTTTTTGTTAACATGAAAAATCTAATCAAATCTAAAGAAAAATCATTAGAACTAATAAGTAAGCTTAAGAAATTCCTGGCCAGGCGTGGTGGCTCACACCTGTAATTGGGAGGCCGAGGCGGGTGGATCACAAGGTCAGGAGTTCAAGACAAGCCTAACCAATATGGTGAAACCCCATCTCTACTGGAAAAAAAAAAAAAAATACAAGAATTAGCTGGGTGTGGTGGCATACCTGTAATCCCAGGTACTTAGGAGGCTGAGGCAGGAGAACTGCTCGAACCCGGGAGGCAGAGGTTGCAGTGAGCCAACACTGTGCCACTGCACTCCAGCCTGGGCAACAGAGTGAGACTCTGCCTCAAAAAAAATAAAAAAATTAAAAAAATAAGTTCCCGTATACAAAGTCAATATGCCAAAATATTGCGTATTTCCATGTTTTGGCAAGAAAATTCTTTCAAATAACAAAATTTCAGATACCATTTACTGTAGAAATGGCTAACGGCAGGTCTGGGACAAAAAGATTAAACCTGTGCCTTGATAGATTCTGTCATGCTGGAAAGCAGTGTTCTAGCTGATCAAGAAGAAATGATCAAAGTAACCTGTCACCATTTTGCAACTCCCAATGAAATAATCCATCTATGCAATGATCATTTAAAAAATGTTGGCCAGGCGTAGTGGCTCACACCTGTAAGTGGCTCACACACTTTGGGGGGCTAAGGCAGGCGGATTGCCTGAGCTCAGGAGTTCGCGACCAGCCTGGGCAACACAGTGAAACCCCGTCTCTGCTAAAATACAAAAAATTAGCCAGGCGTGGGAGCGTGCGCCTGTAGTCCCAGCTACTCAGGAGAATCGCTTGAACCCTAGAGGCAGAGGTTGCAGTGAGCTGAGATTGTGCCATTGCACTCCAGCCTGGGTGACAGAGTGAGACTCCATCTCAAAAAAAAATAAAAAATAAAGAAGCCACCTCAACTGGGGGAAGGACTGCAGTTGCAATTGCAGTGAATGCCACAAAATGTGAAGTGAAAGAAGACAGAAGTGAGCATACACTACAACAGACAAAATAAATAAAATGAGCACACACTACAGCAGACAAAATCAAATATAGTGTTTAAGAACGCACAGATAGGAGCAGAACTATAAAGTCAGGAAATGGAGACCAAAAAAGGATCCTGGTTACCTCTGTCAGGAGGAAGAGGTTGTGACGACTGGGAGAGGGCACATGAAGGGACTCATCTGGGCTAAGAATATTCTATTTCCTGATCTGAGTGGTGATTTCATGCATATTCCACTGATAACAATTCATCAAACTGTATTTTTTAAAACATACTTTTCTGCATGTAAATTAGGCCTTACAGTTTAAAAAGGTAAAAAGTAAATAATTATGGTCATGAAGTCCTGCTCTGGCATTCTACCCTTGGGACATACTCTGAAGAACGCTATGAAAAATGCCGTAAGGTTCATGCGTTTATTAGCGTTTCTCTAGAGAACATTACCCACCACAGTAGCCCCCACCTATCCACAAAGGAGATGTTCCAAGACTCCGGTGGATGCCTGAAACCAGATAGAACCAAACCCTATAAAGCCTACGCTTTTTTCCTACACATACATACCTATGGTGAAGTTCAGTTTATGAATTAGGTACAGTAAAAAATAAACAACAATAATAAAATAGAACAATTATGACAACATAGTGTAATACAAGTTACCACACACTGAGACTATAACTTCTGCAGTTTGAGGTGTGACAGCAGAATTAGCATGTATTTATTTTTCCTTCTTCACAATTTCATGAATAGATTTGTTCTTACTGTAGATCTTAGCAACCTCAGCCTGTATTTTTCGTTATGTTGAGAACTTTCACCTGTTCACTTAAAGCTTCTCTTTGGTATATCCGAATTACTAGCATCACTACTTTTATGTCTAGGAGCCATTATTAAGTAAAATAAGGGCTACTAAAATACAAGCACTGCAATACCATGAGCTGATCTGACACCTCAGATGGCTACTAAGTGACTGACAGGTAAGCAGCATATACAGCATGGATCTGCTGGACCAAGGGATGAGGCAGGTCCTGGGTGGGATGGTGCAAGAGTTCATCATGCTACTCAGAACAGGAAGCAATTTAAAACTTACCAATTGCTTATTTCTGAAATTTTCTATTTAATATTTTCAAACCATGGGAAATTGGAAAATTGAAACTGCAAAAAGCAAAACTGCAGATAAGGAGGAACTACTGCATATCTCTCATTCATAAGACTTCATCAAGGAAAAAGAAATGGACACCCGATAACCAAGAAATATTTACTTCCTATGGGCAATCAGTTTGCTTTTACCTTTAAACGATGCAAAGCATATAAAAGCTCACATTTCTCTATTACGACTACCAAAAATTTGAAAACAAAGTTTGCAGCTCAAATGCAGTAATTATGTAAGATGTTATGGCTTTAAATATGCTATAAATACTCAATCCTAAGAACCTGTCATGGTCCAGTAGTTAATATATCACTGTGCCAATTTTGTTCCAATCCTGATCATCTGAGGCTATTTTCCTCTGATTTCTTAACTATTTAAACTTTTCTTTTTCACCGGAAGGCTTATACATTTCTTCTAATTCCCTGGGAAAAAATAAGAACTCAACAATCAACTCACCTGTAACATGGTCATTTTCTGCTGCTGTACGAGATGATCAGCAAGGCTGAGATCGGTTCTACTGTGCGTCTCTTCTGCTTCTGCCCCAAAACTGTGGAGTGAGGTCTCAGCTAGGTCTTCTACACTGAGAATGAATTCCTGGTTCCAGGAACTCCTTTCTTATCTCACATGAGCAGGCTTATTTGTAGGGACCAGGATCTGTGGACTTCGGGAGAAATGTACTTCAACTGGTATATTCACATTGCACATGAAATCTCTTTCTCTCTTGCTAGGAACTTGGAATTCACGATCATCTAAGGCCAGAGGTACGCTTGCTATATAACTGAAACAGCACTCTCAGGGAAACAGAATATAGTAAAATGGAACAGTGGAAGCCTAGGTCTCTGCAAACAGATAAGGAAATATCAGAAATAAAGTAATTGTGAGATTCACTCAATATTCACTGTGAATGCTGAAATGCAAATCAGTTTAACAGGTGCTGTTAGGAAAAACACAGTTTATATGATCTGTATTAAAACAGATTTGAGTTTCAATCAACTTTTTCCTTTACCAGCTAGATGACTTTTGGCAAAAACAAACAAATTTCACCATTCTGAGCCTAATTTCCTATTAAAATCTTCTATTAATATATCCTTAACTTTTGTCTGCCATTTTTGTCTACCCATTTCAGAAGGAAATGGGTTAAAATCTCACAATATGACTAGAGATTGGTCAGTTTTTCCTTATAATTCTGCTGATGTTTGGATTATATGCTTATGGCTATGTTGTTTGATGCGTCAAGGTTAAATAGGGGTTTTAAAAAATCATTGTGTAACAACGCTTCATACCCCCAATAATGCTTTTTGCCTTAAAATCTATTTTATCTTAGATGAAGTCTGCAACATCAGCATTCTTTTTTTTTTTTTTTTTTTTTGGTACGGTCTTGCTCCCTAACCCAGGCTGGCATGCAGTGGCACAATCAGAGCTCACTGCAACTTTGAACTCCAGGCTCAAGGGATCCTCCTGCCTCAGCCTCCCACGTAGCTGGAACTACAGGTTTGTGTGCCTCCATGCCCAGCTAACTGTTTTTGTATTTTTTTTCTTTGTAGAGACAGGATCTCGCTATGCTGCCCAGGATAGTCTCAAACTCCTGGGCTCAAGCAATTCTCCCACCTCAGCCTCCCAGAGTGCTAGGATTATAGGCATACAACACCACACCTGGCTTCAGCATTCTTTTGGTATTTACGTGGTATGTTATCATCTGGTCAACTACACTAAAAATCTTAGCATCATTATCTTTGTCCCTTATAAGCAGCTCAGAGCTCAAATTTATTGGTGTTTAAAAAAAAAAAAATCCAAATTGGCCAGGAGCGATGGCTTACGCCTGTAATTCCAGCACTTTGGGAGGCCAAGGCAGATGGATCACCTGAGGTCAGGAGTTCAACCAGCCTGACCAACATGATGAAACCCCATCTCTACTAAAAATACAAAAATAAACCAGGCGTGGTGGCATGCACCTGTAAGCTCAGCTACTTGGGAGGCTGAGGCAGAAGAGTTGCTTGAACCTGGGAGGTGGATGTTGCAGCCCGTGCCATTGTACTCCAGCCTGGTGCAACAAAAGGGAAACTCCATCTCAAAAAAAAAAAAAAAATCCAAACCAACAGTGTGTCTTTTAACTGACAAATTGAATACATTTAATGTTTATTGTGGTTACTGTTTTTCCCCCCTCCTTTCTTGCCTTCAAAGCCTCAATTTCTGTACTTGCTAAAATGGTGAAGATAAAGTGGACCTCACAATGGGAGTCTAAGAAACAAATGAGGTGTTAAAAGGAAAGCGACTGGGGCCTTGTAATAACAGTTACAGCTAACATTCCAGTGCTTTCTGTATGTGAGACAATATACTAAGCATTTTAAATTTAACTCATGCACAACCCTATAAGGCGTTTAACATAATCTCCATTTTACAGAGAGAAAACTGGGACAATGAGTGATTGTAAAATGTGCCTGTGATTGCACATTTAGTAAGTAGCAAAATTCAAATGTTAATTCTCTATCCTGCTATGTTCAAAGCATGAATACTAAAGTCATATTGTCATTTGTGCATATCTACATGCACAAACACACACAACATAAATCCTGGAGTCAGCTCCTATTCCCATGCACACATTCAGTCACTAATTCCCACAAAAATATAAATGAAGGACGCCCTGCCTCAACTGTATCACACTAACAAGCAGCACTTTCTTTTTCATGCCTTTTTGTGGTTCAAACTTCAGTGCCAACTCAGAAACACACAGCAGTTTCTCCCAGTTATACAAGAAATGACTCCTTTATACCTTAAATTGTGATAATACATAAATCTTAGAACAAAAGCTGGCACACAGTCATACGAAACATATACTAGCTATAATTATTATTATAAAAGTAATATATGATGGCAAAATATAAAAAACATACACAAGCTAAATAAGAACTATTATCTATGATCTCACCACAGGTAACCATTCTTAGGATGATGGAAACTATTGTGATATTTTTCATACAATGGAAGCATATGGTCATATTTAAAAGCTGTTTTTGTTTTTTTCCCATTATGTGAAGAACATCTTTCCAGGTCAATAACCTTATTTCTGTAAGATATAAACAACTCACATAAAATAACAAAAAAATAAAATCCGACTCATAATTGACAAAATACATAAAATATGTAGGAATATCAAGACCCATATGAAGCATACTAAAAACACCAATGAGAACTATAAAAATAGAATTAAAGAAATTTATAATTCGATTTTATTCTGGGATAGGAAGACTTCAGATTGTGAAGATAATTTGACCTCAAATGATTTATATAACTCATCGACTCCAATCAGAATCTCAAAATTCTAAAGTTTATGTGTAAGAAAAAAGGTTCAAGAACAATTCGGACACTTTTTTTTTTTTTTTGACAGGGTCTTACTGTGTTGTCCAGGCTGAAGTGCAATGGCATAACCATAGCTCACTGCAGCCCTGAACTCCTGGGCTCAAGTGATCCTCCTACCTCAACCTACAGAGTAGCTGGGGCTACAGGCATGCCCTACCACACCGGGCCTGGATGCTTTTGGAAATACAAAATAATGAGTGTGAACAGGCCCACTGTAATACATACAAATTATAATCATTATAACATTTGACACTGGCTCCAGAGAAGTTATACAGATGAAAAAAAGCAAACTGTCTAAATATGCAAGAGTCAGCATGCAATAAATGTAGCATTTCAAAGCCATCAGTAAAATTAAATTATTTAATGAATACAAGAATATTTGAAAGAAAATAAACGTAGCTATTTCATACAACTACTTTCAGTGGGTTAAATTTTAAAATAATGGAAACCCTAAGAATGTCTACAAAAAAAAACCACAGGTGAATGAATATATGTATAATTTGAGGGGAGATTTCGCTACACCATACCAAAAGCAAAAGTCACTTAAAAAATTTAAAACAGTCAATAAATATAACCATTAAAAAATACACGGCCAGGAATGGTGGCTCACACCTGTAACCCCAGCGCTTTAAAAGCCTCCTTCGATAGCGGCAGAGCCAGGCTGCTGGTGGATGCGGTCCAGCAGGGCAGCCGCTCCTTAGGGCCACGGCGCGGCAAGCGGGCTGGCCCGAGGTCGAGGCTAAACGCGCCCGAGGCTAAACGCGCCCGAGGCTGGCGCCTCCACGCCCGCCTGAAAGGACGCCCAGGAGCGGCGCCTCCGGAAAGGCCGTGCCCGCCCCACAGCCCAGAATCCGCGCAGCTCCGCGGCCCACGGCATCTTCACGACCCGGCCCAGCCCCAACCCGCCCCAGACCCGCATCCGCGCGCGGACGCCCAGGGCCTTGAAGCCGAAGCTCCCCGCGGCCACTCCCGCGCGCCTCCCCCGCCATTCCCGGAGCCCCCAGCGCCGGGCCCGCAATAAACTCACTGAACTCACAAAAGACGCCGCCGCCGAGTCGCGCCCGCGCGCCCGCGGCCTCGCGATCACGTGACACCGCCCGTCCCCCGTGTCCCGCGCACGCGCCCAAACCGTCGGCCTTTGTGCGCTCCCGGGCGGCTCCGAACGGGCCGGGACGAGTCGGGGACTGCACACGCGCACACTCGCACGCGCGCACACGCGTACACTCCCCTCTCACGTGGCAGCGAAGGACAAAGAGGAAGAACGGGCCACCTGCAAGCATTACCAAGAGTGCATGTGCGCATGCGCGAAGGAAGGAGCCCCGCGAACTCAACTTCCCACAGTGCCCCGCGTCCGGAAGTGCCTGTCGCTTGGAGACGGAGTGACTCCAAACGGGCTCACACGGTTTTCTGAGAAACATAAAGGGAAACCGAATCCACCAATATATATATATATTTTCTTGAGACGGCGTCTCGCTCTGTCACCCAGGCTGGAGTGCAGTGGCGTGATCTCGGCTCACTGCAAACTCCGCCTCCCGGGTTGACGCCATTCTTCTGCCTCAGCCTCCCGAGTAGCTGGGACTACAGGCGCCCGCCGCCACGCCCGGCTAATTTTTTTGTATTTTAGTAGAGACGGGGAGTCACCGTGTTGCCCAGGCTGGTCGCGAACTCCTGAGCTCAGGCAATCCGCCCGCCTTGGCCTCCCAAAGTGCTAGGATTACAGGCGTGAGCCACCGCGCCCGGCCCACCAATACTCAATTGGTTTGACTTCAGTTGAGGAAACCAGAAAAAATTTAAATATATTTATGGAAAGAAGGTAAGAATTAACAGAAAAAAGTAAAGTTGATCCATAACTGGAGTCGTAGGGAGAATTATAGGTAAGTCACGATGCTTATGACAGCAAGATGGGGCCGGGGAGATGGAGGAGAGAGATGAAAAAAGAGAAATAACCATAGACACATAGGAAATTGAATGAAAATCCGCTCTATACTAATAAATTTGATAATTTGTGACACAAATGATTCTCCAGGACAACATGGGCCAAATTTGACCCAATTTTATCCACAATTTGAAGACAAATTCAGAGATCCTTTGCCAGAAAGCATCATAATGAGTTGCTTAGTGAATTGCTTCAAACATCCAGTGATTAGAGAATTCTTATATTTATTCCCAGAGGTAGAACTCACCAGTGAAGTACTAGCATAAAAACAGACGCATGGACCAATGTGGAACAGCGTAGAAAAACCAGAAATAACCCCATGCATATACAGTCAACTAATCTTAGGCAAGTCAACTAATCTTGTGTCAAGAATACACGATGGGGAAAGGACAGTCGCTTCAATAAATAGCGTGAGGAAACCGGATATCCAAATACTGCTACGCAAAAGACCTCATTGCCCGATGTGCACAGAAGCCAATACTATGGCACCAGGCGTTTGAGAAAAGAAAAGCTTAATTGCGAGTTGACCAACAAAGTGACAGGAGTTTAGTTCAAATCTATCTCTCTGTGCTGCCCTTAAGGCAGCACTATTGTGAAAAAAGGTTTAGAGGGTGGATTCTGGGATTCACAGGTGAATGGTGAAGGAAAAAGGAAGTCTGGAAAGTCCCCGACCATGTGCAGTTGTCTCTTCAAGCCTCTTCTTGGGTCCCATGTGCAAATTAAGGTAGAGTTAGTGTGAAAAGTGCAGTGGAAATTCAGGCTGCGACATCAGCAAGCTCATTCTGCATGGACTCCGTTTGGTTATATTGGTTTCAACTGATTTCAGCCAGTTGTATTATATTACAAACGGAGTTTCAGCAAACTGTTTCTTATCTGCCATCCTGTAAGCTCAAGAATTTCTGTTAGCCGGACGCGGTGGCTCACGCCTATAATCCTAGCACTTTGGGAGGCCGAGGCGGGCAGATCACCTGAGGTCAGGAGTTCGAGACCAGCCTGGCCAACATGGTGAAACCCTGTCTCTACTAAAAATACAAAAATTAGCTGGGCGTGGTGGTGCACACCTGTAATCCCAGCTCCTCGGGAGGCTGAGGCAGGAGAATCGCTTGAACCTGGGAGGTGGAGATTGCAGCGAGCCGACATCGCGCCACTGCACTCCAGCCTGGGCGACAAGAGCGAGACTCCATCTCAAAAAAAAAAAATTCGTTAGTCACTGGTTTCTTTAACTATTTGGGGGCATGGTTTCACAACTTCTTCTTCTTCTTTTTTTTTTTTTTTGAGACAATCCCTCACCAGAATCTAGGCCTTTTCTAACCTGCTCCTCCAGACTCTTCCAAACTCTGCCCATTACCCAGTTCCAAAGCCACTTCCACATTTTCAGGATTTATTATTAGCAACAGCCCCACTCCTCAGTACCAATTTTCTGTCTTAGTTTATTTTCTATTGCTGTAACTGAATACCTGACACTGAATAATTTATAAAGAAAATGAATTTATTTCTTACAGTTCTGGAGACTGGGAAGTCCAAGGTTGAGGGACACTTCTGGTAAGGACTTCCTTGCTAGCAGGACTCTCTGCAGAGCCCCAGGTCAGTCCAGGGTGCACACTGTGAAGGGGGATCAAGCAGCCGAGCCCATTTCTCTCTTTCTCTTCCTATAAAGCCACTAATGCCCACCCTCATGAGCTCATCTAATCCTAGTTACCTCCCAAAGGTCCCACCTCTCAATTGCCATAGGCAGCTTTCCCACTCTCCTAACACTGTTACAATGGGGGTTAGTTGCAACGTAATTTTCAGAGGGCATAGACATTCAAATCATAGCAGTATATATCCAAAATAAATAAAATTAAAAGATATCTCAGCGATATCTGCACTCCCCTGTTCATTGCAGCATTATTCACAATAGTGAAGATGTAGAAACAACCTAAGCATCTATCAAAAGATAAAGAAAATGTAGTATACGTACACAATAGAATATTACTTGGCCTCAAAAAAGGAGAAAATTCTGTGATTTACTACAACATGGATGAGCCTGGAGGACATTATGCAAAGTGAAATACACATAGAAATACACGGATACAGAAAGAAGATACTACACGATCTCACGTAGATGTGGAATCTTAAAAAGTCGAACTCATAGAAACAGTGGAAGAGTGGTTACCAGAGGTCAGGTGGCAAGTAGGGGAAATGAGGAGATGTTGGTCAAATGTTTTAAAAAGAGAACAAACTTGCAGTTATAACATGAATAAATTCTGGAGACCTAATGGACAGCATGGTGACGACAGTTAATAATATGTTGTACGCTTGAAATTCACTTAGAGTAAGCCTGAAATACCCTAATCACACATACCTAAAGGGTAACTATGTGAGGTGATGGATACATTCACTGGCTTGATTGTGTCAGTCACTTCACAATGATATATATATATATATATATATATAAAGATCCCATTGTCATCTTGGATACAATTTTATCTCATTTTTTTCTTTTCTTAAACATTTTATTGATTTTATAGAGGGATTTCTTTTTTTGTTTGCATTTTTCCAGCTATTGGGAGAGTGGCTGAGTACTGAGTCTATCACTACTTGGATGATACAGGTAAGACTCCAGATTCACATTTCCAAGTACTAAGAGTTCCTCTAAAATGCCACAATCCAGCCGGTCTTCATTTACATTTCTGCTGAACACAGCAATGCCCACTGGTATCTCTGAAGTGTAATTGCACCTTAGGTCGGCATTTCTCCAAGTAAAGCAGCTGTTTGGAATTGAATGCTCCCCTTCTTTTTTGTCTTATAAACTGAACTGCATCTTCATACTTAATTCCATATTCAAAGCAAGCGCTGCCAGCACAGGTGCCCTTCCCAATCCCACAGCACAATGCACTGCAAGGCAGCAACCTGGCTTTTCACGCCCTTTAGTGATTAACAGGTTTAGCCAGTCATCTGCTATCTGATTAGGTGGTGGAGCTTCATCGTCAAAAGACCAATCTAAAATATGGATTCCTTCTTTTTCAACTGGAACTTTACCAAATGTAGCATCACAAACTCAAACCAAAGGTGTCACTCCACACGTCTCACATTCCTCTGTGAACTTGTTGCAGTGGCACTGGTAGACTTGTGGGTTATGAGAAAATGCATGTTCCTGTAAATCTCCACAGGGGCTGAACAGTCCATTATGGCAAAGAAAAAGTGTGAGCATGTGTGTGAGTGTAATGGGGAAAGTGAAAAAAAATCAATAAATCTTGAAATGTTTCACAGCAGAAAACTTTTTAATGTTTTATTTTTAGATCACTAAACTGCCTATTGATCAGTGTTTTTTCTATTTAACTTGTCTATTCCTTATGAAGCTTCTGTCTTCAAGATAAGCAGAATTGTTCAGAATCCACTGGAATCCAAATTCAACTTGGGCCTCAATTTCTGCAGATGGACACCTCTGGACTCCAAAAAATCCAAGGACATAAAAAACTTAAGCAGCCTTTATTACATTTAGTTCAACAAGTTTAAAGTGTAGGTCACTTTCCACTTTTGTTTACTTGATGCTTAATTTTACTGGAATCGTTAAAAGAAATATACTTGCAATTTTTTTAAAAAGGTATCTATTTCTGAGGCCAGTCTTGGTGTCTAGAGTTTTCAAGGTAGTATTAATGACAGCACGTAGAACCTCAAAGCTCATTTGTCGGTGAAAATGCTGTGCTAAGCCTGGCAGAAGTCTGCTCCCACACTCAGAATCACCATAAATGTGCAACATCACCAGAAAGTGCTGGTGTGCTGGGCACTGGGCATTGGAGTTGGGGATGGCTGCCCCAGCCTCTGTACACGACACCTGGCCTGGTGGATCCAGAGTTAGTCTTGCTGCCCAGCTGCCACTCCAGCCACTCCCTAGACACAATTTTAAATTGTCAGATATACCTTTAGTAAAGCTGAAAAAACAATTCCAGAGGAATTAAAAGGAGGAAAATTTTCTATTTATTAAATAGCATAAAGATACCAAAATTGATGAATGTATGATTTGAAAAGAAACCTCAAACTTAAGATTATGCAAGCATCAATATTGAGAAGTTATTAACAGAGAGAAGCTGGCAGTGCATTGCTAAAATATACTATAAGCAAATGGATTCTATTCTAGAAACACAAAGTTGATCAGAAAATCTACTAATATTACCATCGCAGTAAGTTAAGGGGAAAATAAAATCACTTCAATTACATGAAAAAATTAATTTTAAAATATATTTTAGATTTTATAAAAATAGCAAATTTGTTTGCTACCTTAACATGATAAAAAAAGAAAACCATAGGATTTTAACCGTAAAGCCAGTGTGCTTCTTAATGGTAGAATATTAGGAGGAGTTAGGAACAAGATATGGATACTGACTTACATCAGGATTTTTAAAAATTGGACTAATATTAGAAATGCAGAAACTGCAGATAGCGAGTTTCAGTGGTTACTGCTGACACACATTTCTATACATTGGGGGGTTGTTTCTTAAGTTGTCCATTTTTTTTTTTATGCATGGGAGGCATATGGAAAGACAGAGGTTTGCTGACTTCCGGGAAAAAGGAAATTAAGAAACCAACTTATTAACTGTGGCTAAGTGCAGTGGCTCACACCTGTAATCCCAGCACTTTGAGAGGCTGAGGCAGGAACATCGCTTGAGGCTGGGAGTTCAAGACCAGCCTGGGCAACATGGCGAGACTCCCCATCTCTACAAAAAAAATTTTGAATTCCAAAACAAGAAATCAACTTAGCCTGGGATAAGGTCTTGCCTATTGCCCTGCTTACAGTAAGAGTCACCCTAAAAGCAAGCTCCAATTAGGCCCCTATGAAATGCTTTATGAGCAACCCTTCCTTAAAACTAAATTTTGTTAAAATTCCTAAGACAGTCATATTGTAAAAGAACTAGATACCAAAAAATATGTAGAGTCTGGCCAGGCACAGTGGCTCAGGCCTGTAATCCCAGCACTTGGGGAGGCCAAGGCGGGTAGGTCATGAGGTTAGGAGTTCAAGACCAGTCTGGCCAACATAGTGAAACCCTGTCTCTACTAAAAATACAAAAAATTAGCCAGTTGTGGTGGTGTGCACTTGTAATCCCAGCTACTCAGGAGGCTGAGGCAGGAAAATCGTGTGAACCCGGGAGGTGGAGATTGCAGTGAACAGAGATCACGCCATTGCACTCCAACCCAGCCAACAGTGTAAGACTCCATCTAAAATATATATATATAATATATATAAATATCTAAAATATATATAAATATGTATTATTTATATATATTAATATATATTTAAAATGATCTTATCCGTTATTTTATCCATCCAAAATAAATAAATAAATAAATATATATATATACACACACACACACACACACACACACACACACACACACACACAGTCTCTGGGTGCAACTTTGTTCCTATAGATGTTCTTTGTTCCTACAGATGTTCTTTGTTCCTATAGATATTCTTTGTTCCTATAGATGTTCTTTTACAATGCCCTAGCCCAGGAGACCAAGTACCCCTTCAAATCTGGAAAAATCACAACCCTGAGCACCAAATACAGCCCAAATGGAATGGACCCTTATGAAGTTCTCCTGGTAACTCATTCATTCATAAAGTTAAAAGGAGTCAAGCCCTGGGTTCATCAATCACCAGTAAAGATTGTACCTGTCCACTGCACTCCAGCCTGGGTGACAGAGCAAGATCCCATCTCCAATAAAAAAGTAGTATGTGATCATATTTAAAACTCTCTGCAACCCGTCATTACACAGCTTACACTTACCACAGACAACAGGAAGCAGTAGGGCCAAGTCATCCAAACCCCAAATGGCTGTAGAAGCCCAAACTAACTTCTCCACCCAGGAATACACTTGTGAGCCCCTAACTGATCACCCAGGAATACATTCGTGAGCCCCTAACTGATCACCCAGGAATACATTCGTGAGCCCCTAACTGATCACCCAGGAATACATTCGTGAGCCCCTAACTGATCACCCAGGAATACACTTGTGAGCCCCTAACTGATCTTCAGTTACTTTTCAGAAAAAAACAAAAGACTGAAAGGGCTCTTGGATCCCCAGATAAATGAAAAGCCATTTATCCATATTTTCATTCCTTTTAGAGTCTAAAACCAGCCTCTGCCTGATCAAACTAGAAGGCCAGAAACAGAGGGCAGCTGAAGGAAACAGCTCACTCAAGATGCCAACCAGGCCTCTGTTCATGCCATCATGGATAAGATCTATTTTTGAGGGTCTAATTAAGTTAAGAACTATAATTGTATGTATGTTGGGATTCCTTTTCCTTCTTGTCAAGGTACAGATGGAGCAGAGCTATCTTGTATGTCAGTAGCCCCACTCATGCATTCTTTGTACTCAGACCTGCGTGACTTGAAAGCATGAAGTAGCTAGAATGGTCATCACCCCACTTCCCTCAAGATTGAGGAGTGCACAAAAAGGGGGGTACCTGTAACTGTGGGACCAGCTCAAACAAATTAACCATTTCTTAAGTTGTTGCAGGTACACACACAGCCAAAATTGCCTTGGCACATGCAATGCAAAAAGCTTTAATTTCTAATTGTTATCATCACCAGCCTGACAGGCCTGCATTGGCATCATCTGGGTCTAGCTGGAAATGCCATAAAATCTTGACCCACCCCAATCACAGAGACAGATCTGAGCATTGCCTCTTGTCTCCTTGCCAGTTGACTTGGTATAAAGCTTTTTTTTTTTCTTCCTCAAAAGAGGGAACCATAATGTTGGCTTCTGTGCATGTTGTAAAGTAAGCCTATTGCTCAGTAACAAATATATCTTTCCATTTTTTCTTTTTTCTTTTTTTTTTTGAGATGGAGTCTCGCTCTGTCACCCACGCTGGAGTACAGTGGCGCAATCTCGGCTCACTGCAAGCTCTGCCTCCCGGGTTCACGCCATTCTCCTGCCTCAGCCTCCCAAGTAGCTGGGACTATAGGCGCCCGCCACCACTGCCAGCTAATTTTTTGTATTTTTAGTAGAGATGGGGTTTCACCATGTTAGCCAGGATGGTCTCGATCTCATGACCTCGTGATCCACCTGCTTCAGCCTCCCAATGTTAGCCAGGATGGTCTCGATCTCATGACCTCGTGATCTACCTGCTTCGGCCTCCCAAAGTGCTGGGATTACAGGCGTGAGCCACCATGCCCGGCCCATTTTTTAGTTTTTCTTTTACAAACTTTAAAACATTATTGTATTCATAATTTTTCAGTTTATATGTGGTTTTTGGAAGATTTATTCCCAGACAGTTCTCATTTTAAATTTAACATTTTATAAGATATATTTCTAAGTAGCTTATTTCTATTGCTATAATGAATATGAGGGTTTTTTATAGTATTTTTTGTTATTGTTGTTGGTTGTTTTTGAGATGGAGTCTTACTCTGTCACCCAGGCTGCAGTGCAATGGCATGATCTTGGCTCAATGCAACCTCCACCTCCAGGATTCAAGTGATTCTTCCATCTCAACCTCCCAAGCAGCTGGGATTACAGGCGCTCGCCACCAAGCCTAGCTAATTTTTTTGGTACTTTTGTAGAGATGGGGTCTCACCATGTTGGCCAGGCTTGTCTTGAACTCCTGACCTCAGGTGATCCACCCACCTCGGCCTCCCAAAATGCTGGAATTACAGGTGTGAGCCGCCACACCCTGCCTATAGTATGTTTTCTTATTGGAAGTTGGTGGAATCATGGACTGAATGTGCCGCTTAAGTCATATATTGAAGCCCTAACCCCCAGTGTTGCTGTACTGGGAAGTGGAATGTTTAATAAAATAATTAAGGCTAAATAAGGTCATGAGAAGCCAGGAGTGTTGGCTCACGCCTGTAATCCCAGCACTTTGGGAGGCCGAGGCAGGCGGATCACCTGAGGTCAGGAGTTCGAGACCAGCCTGGCCAACATGGTGAAACCCCGTCTCTACTAAAAATACAAAAATTAGCCAGGCGTGGTGGTGGATGCCTGTAATCCCAGCTACTCAGGAGGCTGCGGCAGAAGAATTGCTTGAACCCGGGAGGCAGAGGTTGCAGTGAGCCAACTGCGCCATTGCACTCCAGCCTGGGCGACAAGAGCGAAACTCTTAAAAAAAAAATGTTATGGGATCTTTGAGGTGTCACTTTTCTTGTCAGGAACCTCTGTGGCCAGTGGCACCTTTGCTCGAGTTTTGCTCAGGCTCGCTGGGCTCATTCTGCCCCCTTGGCCTAGCATGCTGTTCTCAGCTCACACTACCAGCCCAGATCCCACACCTCTAAGGGAGACTGAGAGTCAGGTGTGGAGCAGCAAGGGGTGTGTGAGCAAGCATGGGATTCAGCCACTGCACCGACACACTGGCTGCTGCTGTGGGGCAGGCAGCTCCAGGTGCCAGCAGGGGTGCCAGCTCTCTGTGAGGCTGCGGCTGGACTAGGGACACCACAAGCAGCTTCCATGGCTGGCACTGGAGAATGCGGTGTTGCCCAAAGGCTTGGAGACCCCAAACACCACAGGTCCCCAAAGAGGAAGTCACAGCCCTGGCTCAAAGATCTCCCAGGTCTGGGCTCCTCGAAGGGCTGAAGCTCTTCTCTTTTTCTCTTCACCCACAATGTGGCAAGCAAGGGGCATGTTTCAGCTGTGTGTGTTACAGCTCTTTCAGCCTTGCCATTCAGCGGGTCCTGAGTTCTTGTCCTGCGACCAGAAAGAAGTAGGTAGGCAGACAAGTGAGGGTGAGCAAGACGAAGGGGAGCTTTATTGAGTGATAGAATAGCTCAGAGGAGACCGCAGGGGGCAGCTCCTATCTGCAGCTAGCGTGTCCCCCAGTGTTTAGCTCCTTGCACAGAGGGTACCTCCTCTCTGCAGCTGGTTGTCCTGACGAGGGCTCAGCTCTCAGCAGAGAGGAGGCCCTAGAGTGACTGGCTCCTCTCTGCAGGCAGATGGTCCCCCATCTGATCACCTCTGGCTGAGCCTGTGGTTTGTACGGGTCTGAGAGAGGAGGAAGTGCTTGCCGATTGGTTCATGGGCGGCCATGGACGGCCAGGAAAAGGAACCATAGGTTCCCACTCCGGGTGGGAAGCTGGAAGAGTGGCTCAGTCCAAGTACCAAGGCCTCAAAACCAGGGAAGCCTGTGGCATAACTCCCAGTTGGAGGCTGAAAGCCCAGGAACCTTAGGTTCTGATGTTGAAGGGCAGAAGAAGATGATGTCTCAGCTCCAGGAGAGAGAGAATTCACCTCTCGTCAGCCTTTTTCTTCTGTCTGGGCCCTCAACAGATTGGACAGTGCCCACTCACATTGGGTGAGGGTGAATCTTCCTTACCTGATTCAAATGCCAGTCTCGTCTGGAAAAACCCCCACAGGCATAGCCAGAAATAATACTTCGCCAGCTATCTGGGTATCCTTTAATCCAGTCAAGCTGACACCTAACATTAATCATCACAAGATCTTGCTTGCAAATAACCACAAACATTCCTCTTTCTTTCCAGCCCATATACCTCTTAATCTTCATTCCTTGTCTTACCACATTGGTTAGGACTCCAGCTCAACGCCGGGAGAAATAATGAGAGAGCAGTGATCTCAGCGGTTCCTCATTTTAATTATACTGTTCGTAAGGTTCTGCTTGAAGTATGTTTGCTGAGGGGTTTATAATCGTAAAAAGGTGTTGCATTTTATTCTGAGTTTCTTAAGAATTTTATAACAAAGAATTGTTCCAATTTATTGAATATTTTTCTTAACCTATATAGGTATTTATGTTTCATATCACTCTATTTCTACATTATTTGGTTAAAATGATAAATATATAAACTTTAATATTGAATTATCTTTGACATATTTATTTATAAAGTTGAACTAGGCCAGATGCAATGGCTCATGCCTGTAATCCCAGCACTTTGGGAGGCCAAGGCGGGCAGATCACCTGAGGTCAGGAGTTCGAGACCAGCCTAGTCAACATGGTGAAACCCCACCTCTACTAAAAATACAAACATTATCCAGGCGTGGTGGCAGGTGCCCGTAATCTCAGCTACTTGGGAGGCTGAGGCATGATAATCACTTGAACCTTGGAGGCGGAGGTTGCCATGAGCTGAAATTATGCCACTGCACTCCAGCCTGGGTGACAGAACGAGACTCTGTATCAAAAAAAAAAAAAAAAAAAAAAAAAGTTGAACTATATGAAGTTGTCCTTTTTATGGGTTGGTCCAGTCACTCTTCTACATAACAGAACACCTCAAAATTTAGTGACTTATTATTTTAACTTGATTACCTAAAAAAAGAGACTTATTGGCCAGGCGCAGTGGCTTACGCCTGTAATCCCAGCACTTTGGGAGGCCGAGGCAGGTGGATCATGAGGTCAGGAGTTCAAGACCAGCCTGCCCAAGATGGTGAAACCCCATCTCTACTAAAAATACAAAAATTAGCCAAGTATGGTGGCGAGCACCTGTAATCCCAGCTACTTGGGAGGCTGAGGCAGAGAACTGCTTGAACCCAGTAGGAGGAGGCTGCAGTGAGCCAGGATCGTGCCACTGCACTCCAGCCTGGGAAAGAGTGAGAGTGCATCTCAAAAAAAAAAAAAAGTGACTTATTATATCTAATAGTTTCCTGGGTCAGAAATTCAAGATAGGCTCAGCTAGGCAGCTTTTTCTAAGGCTAGATCTAGAACAGAAGGGGCTGGAATGCCTGGGGGTGTTTTAGGCATCTCTCACTCTTGATGTAGTCTGTGTGTGAGCTAGTTTGGGCTTTCTTACTGCAGGGCAGCTCAGGGCCATTGGACTGCTTATATGGCTGCTGAATGGTTCAAGAGTGTGAATTCCAGTGACAAGATGGAAGCTGCATCACCTTTTATGACCTAGCTTTGGAAGTTACACAGCTTCATCTCTGCTGCATTCTTTTTTTTCTTTCTTAAATAGAAACGGGGTCTCACTGTGTTTCCCAGGCTGGTCTCAAACTCCTGGGCTCAAGCAATTTTCCTGCCTTGGCCTCCTGAAGCTCTGGGATTACAGGTATGAGCCACTGCACCTGGCCTATTTCTGCTGCATTCTGTTGGCTACAGGCAAATTACAAGTCCACCCAGGTTCAAGGAGCTGGTGTCGACCTCAACTCTCATGGGAGAAATATATAGCAGGCACACTGTGGAAGAGAATGTGTGATAGGAGATACTGTTTTGGCCATGTTTGGGATTACCACGGTCTGCCCTCTGGCTGTAACAATTCACATCCCCCCCATGCAAAGTACAGCCATCTCCTCCCCCAAGATCCCAATGTCTCATCCCGTTATAATATCAGATTGAAGACCAGGATCTCATCGTCAAACTCTGCTACAGGTGCAGATGGGACTCTTGAGGATGCAGTTCCTGAGGTGCTATTTCTCCCAATCTGAATGCCTGTGAAATATGAGACAAGTTATTTTCATCTTACACACCCAGAACGTAACAGTGGGGCAGACACAGAAAAACTGTTACCAATACTCCTATTCAAAAATGGGGACAAGAGGAGGCACAGAGTAGTCACTGTTCCATAGAAATCCATAAATCCTACTGGGTACCCATTACCAGTTCGGTGATTAGGGTTTGGTTCTGCTTTCTTGGACTTCTCCTCCATGGCTCTTTGCTCTACCCTCTGGATCTTAGTTCTGCTCTCTGAGTCATCCATGGTTTTTCATAAAATGTGACCATGTTTGCAAGTGAGTATCCTTCTCAACCTCCTTCCTGAGCAAAAAGGTTGAGAGTTCAAATATCTTTTTTTATACAGTTTGTCCTTATCTGTAAAGTTAGCATCACTGTTTTTAAGAACGTGTGGGATTTTTAGCTATCTGTGTACAACCCATTCCATTAGACAAAAGCCACACCCCAAAAATCTCTTAATAAGACTTTCTCTACTATGGGCTCTCAGTGGGCCTTTTGTGGGACCTCACCCTTAAAATTCTTAGCAGTTCTGTTGCTTATGAGAGAGGGCTCACAGAAGCATTCTCTCAAGTCCTTAGAAGTCCTTTTTGTTTATTCATTGAAGGGGGTCAGGAGGCACCGCTTCAGATCTTTCTGGAATCTTACATAAGGGTATTATAGCCAGCCTTGGATTACATCTTTTCCCTGAGGAGCTTTCGTACTTTGAGAATGCTTTACAAGCTGAAAAGACTGTTTACCATTTCCTCCATGGAATGGTTCATTTTTTAGTTCTCTTTCCTCTCATTTTATTATAAGCAATGAGGAGCCAGGTAGCATCCTGAACACTGGGTCTAGAAAACACTTAGCTCTATCACTGAGGTCATGAGGTACATCTTCTATTTTCCATTTACATTAGGTGACAGTGTTGATACACCTGTCACTACATAAAAAAGTCTCATTTTCTCCATGTTTCAATAATGCTTTCCTTGTGTTCCTTCAAGCTCTCACCAGCAACCTCCTTGATGACTTTTAGACTCTGCTAATACCATCCCCAAAGCCCACTGGGTTTTACTGATATTTTACTCAAGGGCCTTTCAGATTCTGCTCATCATCCAGTGCCAAGGCCAGTGATGCATGTAAGTAGAACCCCACTTCCAACACTAAATTTCTATTCCAATCACTACTGTAGTCTAACGTATCACCTCAAAACATTATAGCACAAATAGCAACAAAGACGTTATTATTTCTGATGGTTCCTGTTTGTCAGGGATTCAGGAGAGGTCTGACTGAGCCGTTCTGGGTCAGAATTTCTCATGGAGCCAGAAAGGCATGGAACGGGAGCATATGGGGCTGAACAAGCATCTCTTTATGTAATCTCAGAGCCTCTCTATGTGGTTTCTCTATATGGATTATTTGAGATTTCCTCCTAGTACTGCAGCTTCAAGGACTGCTTACATGGCAAATGAAGGATCTCTGCAATCAAGGCAGAAGCCGCATGGCTTTTTATATCCTGCGAAGTTACATGATCACTTCCTCCACATTCTTTTGGCTACAAGTGACTCACAAGCCAACAAAACTCAAAGGATGGGGCAAGACTATAAGTGGGAGGAGTGGCAAGATCACACTGTAGAAGAGGAGATGAGATGGAAGCTACTGTCATAGCCCACTTCAGAAAATAAAATCTGCCACATATGTAAAACATGGTTGATTATTGTAATTTCCTATGGTTCAACCTCATATACAAATGTATGGCGAAAGAGACCTGGATTTCATTTACTCAGAAAATTTTCATATATTAGATTGACCTGTATTTATTTTTTCTTCTACTGTCTCTATCCTGATTTGGTGTAAAGGTTATAAAAGAATTTCTAGGTGAATTTGGAAGTAATCTATATTTTAAAAATTCTCTAATACTGCTTACATAATGATAATCAAGTCCTTAATGTTTGCTAAAATTTTATTGGACATCCATCTGGGCTTTGCTATATTTCACTGAGGGAAGCTTTTGATACTCCAATTCAATTTTGTTATTTATTGTTGATTTTATTCAGTCTTGCTTTTTCTGCTTTGGTCAGTTTTGATAATGTGCAGTATTCTAGAAAACTGAAAAATGTGTTATCTATTTTTATTTGACTGGCGTATGGTTATCCTTAGTATTCTCCCATAATTTTTTAAAATCTAAACTGTTGTATAGCCCCTGTTCATCAAATACTAGTTACAAGTACATTCTCACGAATGCTCTTGAATCTTTCACCCAAACAGAAAATTAAAAATAACTTGAAGCCTCTACTTAGTGTTCCCTTTTTCCAACTCACTGCTTCTTCCACAGGGTGTAGACACTATCCTAAAGATTTTGATTATCATTTTCTAGCTTTTTTTCCCCGTTGTTTTGTCACATAAACACATATGCCTAAACAATATATAACTCCATTTTGCTTTATCTTGGCCTTTAACAAAGATGTTATACTACATACAGTATTTGGGGAATAACATTTATCACTATTAAATGTCTAGGACTTGAACATATTGATGATTCAATTTGTTCAAGCTTGTTCAATTTATTCAGTTTATTTCATAGTTGCATATTTTATCAACTGGATAATAGTCTCTTTATTCTTTTACATCTTTATCAGATTTATTTTGTTTTAATTAAATTTGTATTGAGATAGTTTCACCTAGAGTATACAAAATAATGCAGAGATCCCTTATACACTTTTCCCAGTTTCCCCCAATGCTAACATTTTGCAACACTACAGTATATCACAGCCAGAATACTGACACACAATACTTAACATTTCCCCAGTTTTACTTATACTTTGTATGTGTGTATATTAAGTTCTGTTCAATGTTATCACCAGTGTAGGTTCATGTATCAACAACCACCTTCAAGATGCTGAACAGTTCCAACACCATAAGATTTGTATCTATTTTGTATTTTGATGCCACTGAAAATTGATTCAATTTGTTAAATCCCATTTTATATTATTTTTCTGATATATAGAAATAAAATTGATTTGAATATACTGACATCCAATAATTTTGCAAAATTCAGTTTTTCTTTTTAATGACTTTAATTTTTTGTGTGTGACAGGGTCTCACTCTGTCACCCAGGCTGGAGTGCAGTGATGTGATCCCGGCTCACTGCAACCTCCACCTTTCGAGTTCAAGTGATACTCCCGTCTCAGCCTCCCGAGTAGCTGGAATTACAGGTGCACGTCACCACCCTGGCTAATTTTTGTATTTTTGGTAAACAGGGGCTATCACCATGTTGGCTAGACTGGTCTCAAACTCCTGACCTCAAGTGATCCGCCCACCTTGGCCTTCCAAAGTGCTGGGATTACAGGCGTGAGTCACCACACCTGGCCTCTTTTTAATGATTTGATTTAGAAATGACTCCACAAAACATGAAAGTTTAAAAAGTAATATAGAATTTACACAATGATAATGAATTTGTAAATATTCTTTACCAATATTCCTCAAATTTTTACCATGTTAGCTTTCTCTACAAATAAACGTTTTTCTTTCTTTCTTTTTTCTGAGACAGTTTCACTCTGTCACCCAGGCTGGAGTGCAGTGGTGTGATCCCGGCTCACTGCAACCTCTGCCTCCCGGGTTCAAGCAATTCTCCTGCCTCAGCCTCCCAAGTAGCTGGGATTACAGGTGCCTGCCACCACGCCTGGGTAATTTTTGTATTTTTAGTAGAGACGGGGGTTTCACCATGTTGGCCAGGTTGTTCTCAAACGCCCAACCTCAGGTGATCCACCCGCCTCGGCCTCCCAAAATGCTAGGATTACAGATGTGAGCCACCATGCCCGGCCAAATAAATGTTTTTCTTGAAATGTATAAGCATTGGCAGGGCACAGTGGCTCACGCCTGTAATCCCAGCACTTTGGGAGGCCGAGGTGGGTGGATCACCTGAGGTCAGGAGTTCAAGACCAGCCTGGCCAACATGGTGAAAACCTGTCTCTACTAAAAATATAAAAACTAGCTGGGCGTGGTGGTGGGCACCTGTAATCCCAGCTACTCAGGAGGCTGAGGCTGGAGAATCACTTGAACCCAGGAGGCTGAGGCTGGAGAATCACTTGAACCCGGGAGGCAGAGGTTGCAGTGAGCCGACACGGTGCCACTGCACTTCAACCTTGGTGACAGAGTGAGATTCCGTCTCAAAAAAAAAAAAAAAAAATGAAAAAGAAAAAAAAAATGTATGAGCATAGGTTGGAGGCATAATTTCTCGACATCCCTAAACACTTCAGTGTTGAGTAGTGTCCCCCCAACTCAAAGAGATATGTTGGGGTCCTAATTTCCATACCTCAGAGTGAGGCCTTATTTGGAGAGAGGGTCTGTACAGAGTTAACAATGTTAAAATGAGGACTTAGGAGTCAATATGACTGATGTCCCTATAAAAAGGGGACGTTTGCACAGAGATATGTGCATATAGAAGGGAGATTATGTGATGAGACAGTGAGAAGACAGCCATCTACAAGCCAAGGAGAGAGGCCTGGAACAGATCCTTCCCTCAGAGCCCTCAGAAGGAACCAAAACCTGTCAATGCCTTGATTTCAAACATGGAGGCTCCAGAACAGTAAGACAATATATCTGTGTTGTTTAAGCCATCCAGTTTGTGGTTCTTTGTTACGACAGTCCTAGACAACTTATACGATTGTTCTAATATTGAAAGTGGGATATTAAGTCTCCAACTAGTATTGTTGAGTTGTCTCTCTTCATTTCTGTCAGATTTTGCTTCATGTATTTTGGTGCTGTTATTAGGTACATACATGTTTATAATTATTATATCTTCTTTTTTGCCTTTTTTGAGGCAAAATATAAATATATAAACAAAATGTAAATATATTATAAATATTATCATCATTACCATTTTTAAGTGTACAGTTCAGCAATAATAGATACATTCATATTTTTCCCCTTCATCCTTCCCCCTCTTCCCAGCTTCTGGTAACCACCATCAACTCTATCTTCATGAGGTCTACTTTTTTAGCTTTCAAATATGAGTGAGAACATGCAATATTTGTCTTTCTGTGCTTGGCTTATTTCACTTATTATAATGGCTTTCAGTTCCATCCCAGTTGCTGCAAATGACAGGATTTTATTTTTATGACTGAATAGACATATTGACTGTGTTTATATATATCACACTTTCTTTATCCATTTGTTGATGGGCTCTGATTTTTTTTTTGTTTTGTTTTTTGAGATGGAGCTTTACTCTGTCGCCCAGGCTGGAGGGCAGCAGTTCAATCTCAACTCACTGCAACCTCCGCCTCCCGGGTTCAAGTGATTCTCCTGCCTCAGCCTCCCGAGTAGCTGGGACTACAGGTGTCTGCCACCACACCCCGCTAACTTTTGTATTTTTAGTAGAGACGGGGTTTCACCAGGCTGGTGAAGCTGGTCTTGAACTCTTGACCTCAAGTGATCCACCCACCTCAGCCTCCCAAAGTGCTGGGATTACAGGCGTGAGCCACCACGCCTGGCCTGATTTCATTTTTTGGCTCTTGTGGATAGTGCTGCAGGAAACGTGAGAGTGCAGGTGTCTCTTTGATGTACTGATTTCCTTTCTTTTGGCTTTTCACCCAGTAGTGGGGTTGCTGGATCGTATAATAGTTCTATTTTCAGTTGCTTTGAGGAGCCTCCATACTGTTCTCCATAGTGGCTGTACTAATTTCCACTCCCACCAACAGTGTACGAGGGCTGTCCTTCCTCCATATCCTCACCAGCATCTGTTCTTTCCTGTCTTTCTGATACAAGCCATTTTAACTGAAGAGGGATGATATCTGATTGTGGTTAATTTGCATTTCTCTGATAAGTGGTGATATTGAGCATTTTTTCATATACCTGTTAGACATTTGCATGTCTTCTCTGAGAAACGTCTGTTTGGATCTTTTGCCTACTTTATAATTGGAATATCTGGAGTTTGGGGTTTTTTTTTTGTTATTTTTCTTTGTTTTTGCTATAGAGTTGTTTGAGCTCCCTGTATATTCTGGCAATTAACCCCTTGTCAAATGGATAGTTTGCAAATATTTTCTCCCAATCTGTGGGTTGTCTCTTTATTTTGTTATTTCCTCGGCAGTATGGAAGCTTCCCAGCTTGATGTAATCCCAATTGTCTATTTATAATTGTTACATCTTCTTGATGACTTATCTTTACAAAATACTTTTCTTTATCTCTAGTAAAACTTTTGTTTTAAACTCTATTGTGTCTGATATTAGAAAGCCACTGGAGATTTATTATGGTTGCTGTTTGCGTTTTATATCTTTTTCCATCCTTTACTTCTAATCCAATTGTATCTTTGAGTATGTATGTATGTCTTCTGTACATGGTTGGATTTTTTTTTATCACCACTTTGACAATCTGTGTCTTTTGATAGTTTAATCTATTCACATTTAATGTTATTACTGGCCAGGTGCGCTGGCTCATGCCTATAATCTTGATGCTTCGAGAGACCAGAATGGGAGGATTGCTTGAGCCCTGGAGTTTGATACCTCCATCTCTATAAATAAATAAATAAAATAAAATAAAATAGCCAGGTGGGAGGTGGGAGAATTGCTTGAAGCCAAGAGTTCAAGGCTGCAGTGAGCTATGATCATGCAACTGCACTCCAGCCTGGGCAATAGAGCAAGACCCTCTTAAAAAAAAGTTATTATTGATATAGTTAGATTTACATATGCTGCTTTCCCTTTTGTATTTTATGTCTCATGTATCTTTTGTTCATCTATTTCTCCTTCACTTTTGTCTTAAGTGCATATTTTGTAATGTAATATTTTATTTATTTAATGATTCCTTACAATATTTTTGCAGTTATTTCTTTAGTGTTTGTTCTAGGAAGTGTTAAATACACATTAACTTATCAGAGTCTACTTCAGATTTATACTACCTTAATTCCAATAAGACTTTTATAAACCCATTATTCCTATATAGTTCTAGCCCCCACCCCGACTTTTGTGCTGGTATTGATATATATATCTATGTTACAAATGCAACAACACATTGCTATAAATATTGCTTTATATATTTTATAATTTAAAGAGGCTGAGAGATGAAGAGAAAGTATATATTAACAGCTTTTGTTACAGTAGCCTATTTATTTCCTATTTCTGGTTCTCTCAGCTTATTCTTGTGGCTTTAAGTTGCCATCTAGAGCCATTTCCTTACCCCAACACGACTCTTCTCCCATCCTCCTCCTTTGTGGTGTTATTGGTAGACATATTACACTTCTGTATGTTATAGTCCAAACAGTACTGCATATTGTTTTATATAATTGCTTTTTTTGTTGCTGTTATTGAGACGGAGTCTCACTCTGTTGCCCAGGCTGAAGTGCGGTGGCGTGATCTCGGCTCACTGCAACCTCTGCCTCCTGGGTTCAAGCCATTCTCCTGCCTCAGCCTCCCGAGTAGCTGGGACTACAGGCGCCCGCCACCACGCCCCGCTAATTTTTTGTGTTTTTAATAGAGATGGGGTTTCACCATGTTAGTGAGGATGGTCTTGACCTCCAGACCTTGTGATCCGCCCACCTCGGCCTCCCAAAGTGCTGGGATTACAGGCGTGAGCCACCACGCCTGGCCTATAATTATTAATCAGTTACTAATAAAATAAGAAATCTGCACTTGCACTATCTTTTATTATTACATAATTACCCTTTACTGGTGCTCTTTGTTTTTTCTGTGGAAACAAATTACTGCCTGGGGTCATTCCTCAGACTGTTGCTCTTCAGTCTCCAAACTGATCACTGGAAATGATGTTAAGTGGAGCTGATCCCGTTCCCACTCCTTGGCTCTTGGACCTGTGTACACTCCCTATTGAGGAATCACTACCAGATAAAAGTCTGTGATTCCAGGACTGCATCTTGGAGGACGGTGCCCTGTGCTTGTCAAGTACTGCCACTAAGCTGGTACTTCAAACCACCTTCAGCAGGTCATCCAATGCTCTGTCACACCAGCCGCTTCTAGGTGGTGGGGTAAGCATAAGGTGTGACCAATAGATCAGTCATGGGACCACCACTGAACCTTATCTGTGGTAAAGTGGGTCTCCTTGTCTAATGCCCTGCCATGTGGGATAATCAGAATCTCTACTCCCCTAAAAATTATTAGACTTCTTCCAATGTTACATACTGTTATTTTCTGGGGCTTATTTCCATATTTTTGTACCATCAAATTACATCTTATAATTTTTAAGTCTGTTTAGATTTGGCCGAGCATGACTTTTTATTTTTTTATGTTTCCAACTTTCTTGGTATTAAATATTTTGTTTAAAATGACATTATTTCACCCTGGTTTGTGAATAACCCTTCTAGGTAGATATTTTCTTTCAGAACATTGAAGACATTCTTTTACTGTCTTCTGATTTTTACTGTTGCTATTGAGAAGTCAACCTAAGCATGTAAAATTGGAAAAGGGCAACTCAATGATAAAATATCAGACTTTCAACTAATATTCCCATCCTTACAACCTCCAATGATGGTATCTCATAACATATTACAAATACCAAGAGAGTAGAATTTTTTTTTTTTTTTGAGTCAAGGTCTTGCTCTGTCACCCAGGCTGGAGTGCAGTGGTACAAATATGGCTTACTGCAGCTTCAACCTCCTGGGCTCAAGCAATCCTCCTGCCTCAGCCTCCAGAGTAGCTGGGACCACAGCCCTAAGCCACCATCCCGGGGTATTTTTTTTTTTTCAGAGATGGGGTTTTGCTTTGTTGTCCAGACTGGTCTCAAATTCCTGAGCTCAAGTGATCCTCCTGCCTCCCAAAGTGTTGGGATTATAGGCATAAGCCACTGCACCCAGCCAGAGTAGGGCTGATTTTAAATTTTAGACTTTGGCCCCAAAGTGAGCTGTTATTTTCCTTTTACTGTGATGCTCTTAAAATAGTTAAAAAAAAAAAAAAAAAGTAGCTAAATTGTTTTTAAAAATTAAGGATGCTCTGGCCGGGTACGATGGCTCATGCCTGTAATCCTAGCACTTTGGGAGGCCAAGGCGGGTGGATCACCTGAGGTCAGGAGTTTGAGACCATCCTGGCCAAAATGGTGAAACCCCATCTCTACTAAAAATACAAAAATTAGCCAGGTGTGGTGGCAGGTGCCTGTAATCCCAGCTACTCAGGAGGCTGAGGCAGGAGAATCACCTGAACCCCAGAGGCGGAAGTTGCAGTGAGCCGAGATCACGCCACTGCACTCCAGCATGGGTGACACAGTGAGACTCTGTCTCAAAAAAAAAAAAAAAAAAAAATTACCCCTACACTTTTTCACAATAAACCTTAGATCTTCAAGACACTCACAAAACCAAAAGCCACTTCCTTCTCTCAACACTTACCCCCAAGACAAATGAAGATATATGGAAATATATGGCATACCTAGTTCAGACTTCTATTAAAGAGTCACACAAACATTCCATCAATAAACATGCAGCATGAATTTCTAAATAAACGTCTGCTTGAAGCACTTTTATTTGCCAGTAGAAGTAATATTTCCAACTGTCTCAGGTCAAGAGTTCCTTTTGGCCTCCAGCCTGATCTCAGACTGGACTTTCCTCTTTGGGAACTCCTATGCCCTCTACTCAGAAGACTGTCCTCTTGGCTTCTTTTGGCTTTTCAGCAACATTGACATTTGTCTTCTGTATTATTATTATATAGTTTGTTTATTTATTTTTACTTTTTACAGATATGAGGTCTTGCCCTGTCATCCAGGCTGAAACACAATCATGGCTCACTGCATCCTCAACCTTCTGGGCTGAAGCGACACTCCTGCCTCAGCCTCCCAAGTAGCTGGGACCATAGGAAAGCATCTTATTTTTTTTCATTTTTTAGTTCTCTTTCTTATTCTTTTGCCACAAGTTGATAATTGAGGCCGATGCAAGTGAAGACATAGATACATGCCACAGTTAGGATTGTGTCATATACACAGAACATGTGTTTGTCATTTTCTTTTCTTTTTTTTTTTTTTTTTGAGACAGAGTCTCACTCTGTCACCCAGGCTGGAGTGCAATGGCGCAATCTCTGCTCACTGCCACCTCCACCTCCCGGGTTCCAGCGATTCTCCTGCCTCAGCCTCCCAAGTAGCTGGGATTACAGGCGCCCGCCACCATGCCCGACTAATTTTTGTATTTTTAGTTGAGACGGGATTTCACCATATTGGCCAGGCTGAACTCGAACTCCCGACCTTGTGATCCACCCACCTTGGCCTCCCAAAGTGCTGGGATTACAGGCGTGAGCCACCACGCCCGGCCAGTAGCTACTACTTTCAATAACACACTTTTATTGGGTCTTGGTGGAGGGAGAGGGCTGAGGGTCTTAGGAACACATAATGGATACAATCCAGCATGTCACAAAGCATTATCATTCTTTCTTCTAGATTATGGCAAAGTTCCTGACTTTTGTTCTTCCCCTTGCCATAAGCCAGTGTTGGATCTGGTCTTGCCTTAGCTGCTACAGCTAACTTTTAAAACCATCATCATGGTCAGGCATGGTGGCTCACGCCTGTAATCCCGGCACTTCGGGAGGCCGAGGCAGGTGGATTACCTGAGGTCAGGAATTCAAGACCAGCCTGGCCAACGTGGTGAAACCCCGTCTCTACTAAAAATACAAAAATTAGCCAGGCGCGGTGGCACACACCTGTAATCCCAGCTACTATGGAGGCTGAGGCAGGAGAATCGCTTGAACCCAGGAGGCGGAGGTTGCAGTGAGCCGAGATTGTGCAATTCACTCCAGCCTGGGTGACAGAACAAGACTCCGTCTCAAAAAAAAAAAAAAACAAAACAAAACAAAAAAAAAAACAGAAAGCAAAACCATCATCACTGCTGGGTGTCAGTGCACCAAGTATATGCTGTAAGTAATTGCCCTTCACTGAACACCCTCAAAGGATTTCACAAGTATCTACCCCCTCCCCCAACTTTTTTTTTGAGACAGGGTCTCACTGTTGCCCAGACTGGAGTACAGTGCAGCTCACTGCATCCTTGACCTCCTGGGCTCAAGTGATCCTCCTGCCTCAACCTCCTGAGTAGCTGGGATTGCAGGTGTGCACCGCTGTAACCAGCTTTTAAGAAACTTTTGTAGACAGGGTTTTGTCACGTTGCCCTGGGTGTTGTCATGCTGAGAAGTTTTGATACATTACTCATTCCTGCAATGCTCTATGAATTCTACATATTTTCCTAAATGAGCAATCCCATCCCAGGGCATGTTTAGTGTAGATTATTGTTACCAAACTGGTAAAAATAAGCCATGGGGAACTGGCAGAATAAGCTTCCTCCTGCAAGGCAAATTCCACATTTTCCCAGAAAAGGGAAGGGGTTCTATCTGTATCAGGAGGTGGCAGGTTTTTTATACCTCAACTACTCAACTGTGCCATGGCTGTGCAAAAGCAGTCAAATAATACACAAATATATTTAGCCATGTTCCAACAACAGTTATTTATGGACACTCAAGTTTGAATTTTATATATTGCCAACATCTACTCTATAGCCTTAAATGAAGCATCTGCAGTGCAAAGTCTATCAGAAGAGTTTGCTAGGCTGAGTCCTCAGGTTCTTCCCAGATACTCCTATTCAAAGTCTATCAGAAGAGTTTGCTAGGCTGAGTCCTCAGGTTCTTCCCAGACATTCCTATTCAAAGTCTATCAGAAGAGTTTGCTAGGCTGAGTCCTCAGGTTCTTCCCAGATACTCCTATTCAAAGTCTATCAGAAGAGTTTGCTAGGCTGAGTCCTCAGGTTCTTCCCAGACATTCCTATTCAAAGTCTATCAGAAGAGTTTGCTAGGCTGAGGCCTCAGGTTCTTCGCAGATACTGCTATTCAAAGTCTATCACAAGAGCTTGCTAGGCTGAGTCCTCAGGTTCTTCCCAGATATTCCTATTCAAATTATCAAGGGATAACTTTTTGAGGGGGGGAAGGGTGAGGATAACTTTTTCAACACATGTTTACATTAAGGGATTTAGTAAACATTTGAGGTGAACTGACTTTAATTCACCAAGCCAAATATACTATTTGATTCCCACCACCTCACTCCTACAGCTGTAAGAAACTTTTTCAGCAATGTCAAAGTTGCCAAGTCTGACACTCCACCCTGAGGTGAGATTTCAGGGCTTCAGGCCTGTCATTCTCATGGTCTAAGATCCAGCAAGATCAAAATCAGCCATCTCTGCCCCTGTCTCAGATTTTCTCATAAATTTAAAATTCTTATAATGCTATAATTCTTCAGTGTTTCCAAAATTTCAGTATCAGGCACTACAACGTTCCAGGTGTACAGAAACAATAACCATATTTCACATGATGGCTAAAAGTTGCTATCTTCAAATATAAACAAGAATGTGATTTTCTTGTCTCAGGAAAAACAAACAAACCTAAATCATATACCCCACTTTGTTAACTACATGCTACCAAGGCAACAACTGATCAGTTAAAGCCCTTAGGTTATAAGAAATAGAAAGCTGGCCGGGCTCGGTGGCTCACACCTGTAATCCCATGACTTTGGGAGGCTGAAGTGGGCAGATCACCTGAGGTCAGGAGTTCAAGACCAGCCTGGCCAACATGGTGAAACCCCGTCTATACTAAAAATACAAATATTAGCCAGGCATGTAATCCTAGCCACTTGGGAGGCTGAGGCAAGGAAATTGCTTGAACCCAGGAGGTGGAAGTTGCAGTGAGCTGAGATCATGCCATTGCATTCCAGCCTGGAGGACAAGAGTGAAACTTAGTCTCAAAAAAAAAAAAAAAAAAAAAAAAAAAAAAACCCAAACAACAAAAAGCAAAAGACATTTTTATTGAGAAGTGAGGAAACACACAGATCAGAGAAGCAGGTTCTAAAGGGATCGTATCCACAGTTATTCTTGTAATCAATTAGCCAGAATGAATGGATGTTCTCAACAGAATTCTGGGACAAGAATGAATGAGTTCCCACATTTTCTGGTTCATGTACAAATGAATTACAGACTCAAAATTCTGAAAAAGAGATTACCATTATCCAACAATGGGTAAAATGCTCACCTGTAGCTAGTGGAACGGATACCTGAAAGACACTACCACAGGAAGCACCCCAGAGAGGGGAGGTATTTCTCCAGAGAAAACAGGGGTGCTCATGTCAATCAATGGACAACAGGCATGGAACTGCAAAATATAATAAACGTTCATTATAATGAGTTCTCTTAAGCGGCAGCCCTGTAATAAATGCCAGATCTGCTTATGAAAAAGAAATCAAAAGATAATTAGCATTTAATATGGAAAATACTGGGGGATATTATTCCACAAACTATCAAATATATATATAGATAGATAGAACAAGTTACATTAAAAAATAAAGTACAAAAAATTTTAGAAATACTATTCAGTGTTAACTCAGGAAAGTCACATTAAATATCCATTAACTTTAAGACTCTGTTCCCTGCGTTTTTCCTGAACATTATTTACATATTTTTAAAAAAACAACTTTATACTCCACCATGAAGTCAACTGTTCATACCAAGATTTTATTTTACAAAAACACAGCTTCAAATCTGGAATGTGACTTTCCATGGAACACACTTTCAATGGGAAAATGCTTCCTTAATTTATTCAACTTATAAGGTGTTCCTAGTGTAAATTCTCTGAATCTTCATGATGATACTACAACATTTGATACATTTATTGCTCCACATTCCTTCCATTATTTTCATCTACAAAGATTTGTAACTTATTTCTGAAAGCTTTTACACTCATCCCAAATATGGTTGGTCTCTCTCCTCTCTGATTTTTGACATGAGTGTAATTTTAGGGCCTCCTGCTTGTAAATCCTGTCTATATTATCCGAAGTCTCCTGAACATCAGTTTCTCACATTGCATCATTCTGATTTCTCATTTATGAGTCTTCCGATGTATACGAAGCCCTGAATTCCAACAGAAGGATTTCCCACATTCAGAGCATTTCCATGGTTTCTCTCCGGTGTGAACTCTCTGATGTTCACTGAGAGATGACTTCTGAGTGAAGGCTTTTCCACATTCACTGCATTTAAAAGGTTTCTCTCCCGAATGAGTTTTCTGGTGTATCTGAAGTGATGCCTTCCTAGGGTAGGCTTTTTCACATTCATTGCATTCATAGGGCTTCTCAGTTGAATGAGTTCTCTGATGTATAATCAGCTGTGATTTTCCACAAAAGGCTCTCTCACACAAACTACATTCATAGGGTCTCTCTCCGGTGTGTGTTCTCCTATGTATAACAAGGTATGACTTGCTGCTGAAAGCCTTCCCACATTCACTGCATCCATAGGGCTTCTCTCCTGCATGAGCTCTCAGATGTGCAGTGAGCTGTTCCTTCCTACCAAAGGCTTTCCCACATTCACCGCATTGATAAGGATTATTTCCTGTGTGAACTCCCTGATGTACAATGAGTTGTGTCTTCATATTGAAGGCTTTCCCACAATCACTGCATTGATAGGGTTTTTCTCCTGTATGCATTCGGATGTGAACAAGGAGATAGGACTTACTCCTAAAGGCTTTCCCACATTCACTGCATTTATGGGGTTTCACTCCTGTATGAGTTCTCTGGTGTACAACGAATGGAGACTTCAAACTAAAGGCTTTCCCACATTCGCTGCATTCATACGGTTTCACTCCTGTGTGACTTCTCTGGTGTAAAAGAAGCTGTGATTTCCAACTGTAGGCTTTCCCACATTCACTGCAGCCATAGGGTTTCCCTCCTGTGTGAATTTCCTGATGGACAATGAGCTGTGACCTGAAAGAGAAGACCTTCTCGCACTCACTACATGAGTAGGGTTTTTCTCCTGTATGAACTCTCTGATGAGCATTAAGGTTTGACTTGGCACTGAAGGCTCTTTCACATTTACTGCATTCATAAGGTCTCTCTCCTGTATGAATTCTGAGATGTACAATGAGCTGTGACTTACAACGAAAAGCTTTCCCACATTCACTACACACACAGTTTTTTTCTATGCTATGAGCTCTTTGATGCTTAAGAAAATATGGTTCTTCATAACCATGAAACTTATCAGGATTCTTTCTTAAATAACTTCTGCTTGGAGCTGAGTTTTGTGTCAAACTTTTTCCACGTGTGTTATAGAGTCTCTGTCTTGAAGAATCATGGGTTTTGCTCAGATTAAGTCTTCCCAACACACTACAAGCATAGCTTCTTTCAATACTCTCAAGCTCATCTTGATTGTTCTGGTACCATTCTTCCCAGCCATCTACAAAAAAACAAACAAAATATAACTTTTTGAATCATAACATAAACCTGATATGGAATTAAACAGTATTAGGACTGTGATGTAATCAACCTTTCTCTTTTGGTAACAAGCCTACCACACTGGTTCAAAAGAAATACTGGCCAAGCATGGGGGCAAGGGAACTGAATCAAAACAAACCAAAACAGGTCCCGTCGTGAAAACTGGTAGCAAATTACCAGTAATCAAAAATACTTTTTAAAATAGAGGTTTAAAATTGGCACTTGGATTAGCCAGGCATGGTGGCGGGCACCTGTAATCCCAGCTACTAGGGAAGCTGAGGCAGAAGAATCGCTTGAACCTGGGAGGCGGAGGTTGCAGTGAGCCGAGATCACGCCACTACACCAAGTACAAAGTTCCTGAGGAAGAAGCCTGACTGACAGGGTTTAAGAAATAGAAAAAGGCCAGGAAAGCTAAAACCCACTGAGTGAATGGAATGAAAGCAGAACCAAATTATTCAAATCCATGGCAAAAAGTTGTTCATATTTTTAAGATTTTTTTTTTTTTTGAGACAGGGTCTTGCTCTTTCACTCAGGCTGGAGTGCAGTGGCGCAATCTTGGCTTACTGCAGCCTCGACCTCCTGGGTTCAAGTAATCCTCCCATGTCAGATTCCTGAGTAGCTGGGACTACAGGCACATGCCATCATGCCCAGCTAATTTTTGTATTTTTAGTAGAGATGGGGTTTCACTTGTTGGCCAGGCTGGTCTCAAACTCCTGAGCTCAAGCGATCCGCCCGCCTTGGCCTCCCACAGTACTGGGATTACAGGTGTGAGCCACTGTGCCCAGCCTAAAGGTTTTAATTACAGAAAATCTCAATCTTCTGCATTTAAAAGATCAGTTTGACTGTTCTGTAAAAAGTAAGAAAAGGACAGAGAAATACTTTAGGAAGCTATTGTAGCAGTCCAGAATGAGATAATAATTTGAACTACAGTTCTTGATATACTTTGGGTATCTGTCCCCACCCAAGTCTCATGTTGAATTAGAATCTCTAGTGCTGGAGGTGGGGCCTGGTGGGAGGTGCCTGCATCTGGATTATGGGGGCAGATCCCTCATGGCTTGGTGCAGTCTTCACGATAGTGAGTTCTTGTGAGATCTGGTCATTTGATAGTATGTGGCACATTCCCCGCCCCGCCTTACTCCTGCTTTCACCATGTGATGTGCTTGCTCCCCCTTTGCCTTCCACTATGACCGGAGCTACCTGAGACCTCCCTAGAAGCAAAGGCTGCCATGCTTCCCATACAGCCTGCAGAACTCTGAGCCAATTAAACCTCTTTTCTTATAAATTTAGTCTCAGGTGTTTTTCTTTTTTTTTTTTTTTTTTTTGAGATGGAGTCTCGCTCTGTTGCCCAGGCTGGAGTGCAGTGGCACGATCTCGGCTCACTGCAAGCTCCGCCTCCTGGGTTCACACCATTCTCCTGCCTCAGCCTCCTGAGTAGCTGGGACTACAGGCGCCCGCCACCACACCCCGCTAATTTTTTGTATTTTTAGTAGAGACGGGGTTTCACCATGTTAGTCAGGATGGTCTCCATCTCCTGGCCTTGTGATCCACCCGCCTCGGCCTCCCAAAGTGCTGGGATTACAGGCATGAGCCACCGTGCCCAGCCAGTCTCAGGTATTTCTTTATAGCAATGAAAGAATGGCCTAACACATGTCTGGAGTTGAGGAAATTTGGAACATACGGGAGAGAGAACTAAGATGGTTTGCTAAGGGACTAGATGTGGGAGCAGAGAAGGGGAGGAGTCAACAGCTTGAACGGCAAGATGGCACTGCTCCTTAGAGATGGAAACACTAAGAAAGAAACTTGTGAAAGAAAATGAAGGACTCTGGCCATTTCTTTTGAGGAAGAACGGTAATTTTAGAAGGAAATCCCCATTTCTGATACTGAGAGTAAAGTCTGGGAAAGCGTGGGGTAGCGCTCCCACAGGCAGGTAAAACCCAGGACTCAAGTGCCAAAGAGAAAGACGTCAATTTTGATGTTACAACACTGGGGGGAAAGCGTAAACCTTCGGAACGGAAGAGCCTTTCGACAGTTACAACATTCGGAGAGGAGAGCCAAACTGGGAAAAAATACCCCTCTGGACAACGCAAAAGGGAAGTATAAGGTGTGTAAAGTCACTCAAAGATATAGGAGACACCAGGGCCAAGACTGTGAGTCAAGTCTAGGGGATTTAACTGTGGAAGGCAAAGGAGGAAATAAAAGAAATGGAAATAGAGGGCAATGAGCCACATCAAGTGAGGGGAAAAAGAAATCCTCTAAAGGTCTCGATGCCCAATAAAACCCATGACCATGGGGAGGACGGAAACTTACCCAAAAGCAAACCTGAAGCAGAGTTCAGGAAAGAGGGGCATGCCTGCCTCTCAACAGTAAGGGGGAAGAAAAACCCAAATATATGAAGAGTGACGGCGATGTCCTTATCTGAGGAGCTCCTGGCTTCATCCTGAGTCAGCTCCAATAGCTCAAGGACTTCCAGAAGCATTTCTGAAGACAACACTGTGAGTGCCCACTCCTCAGGTACTCATCAGCTCACTCCCATGCCTCCCACCTTCCTCTTTCTCACTCACCCACCTGGACAGCTCTGCCTGGAAATTTTGGCATTTATTATCCATGGATCTTCTCCTTGTTCCAACTTGAAGATTAAGTCAGGCTTGGTACCATGATACCCTGTTGATGGGAAATCACAAAGGGTGGGGACCAGGCTGTTAGGGACAGGACCGAGGAATCAAGAGCTACAGAGCAAAACTGCTCATCTCACTTGGGGAAAGATTACAATTAGGAAGTGTGGGACAAACAGGGACTAAGGAAATTTGACCCCTAAAGTTCAAGTTCATAATCATTAAGCACTTCAGAGATCCCGGAGTAGTTCAACAACAAAAAAAGGGATGGCAATTTAATATTCACTATCTGAGTAACATTGAGACGCAGTACTTACCCACTGATATCAGGTTATGATAGTTTTCCAATATCACATCTCTGTACAGGTACTTCTGTGTAGAATCCAGTAGCTGCCATTCATCCCAGGTGAACTCCATAGATATATCCTTGAATGACAATAATCCCTGAAATAACACACACCCTGTTCAATTGGATGCAATTACATTAGGTGACATGGAAAAGATGCAGAGGAACTGGGAAGGGATAAATGTTCCTCTACCAACTATTTCCTGTGGCTGGTTCAGCATTTACTTTGTGAGAGAATTAAAAATCAATCAAGGAGTGCCAGGCACGGTGGCTCACGCCAGCACTTTCGGAGGCCAAGGCGGGTGGATCACAAGGGCAGGAGTTCAAGACCAGCCTGACCAAGATGGTGAAACCCTGTCTCTACTAAAAATACAAAAATTAGCTGGGCGCAGTGGCAGGCACTTGTAATCCTAGCTACTCAGGTGGCTGAGGCAGGAGAATCACTTGAACCCAGGCAGCAGAGGTTGCAGCAAGCCAAAATCGTGCCACTGCACTCCAGCCTCGGCGACAGAGTGAGACTCCATCTAAAAAAAAAAAAAAGAAAGAAAGAAAAAATCAATCAAGGAGCTTCTATTTGCCGGTACTCTCTTGGGTCCTGAAGATTTCAGGATGAATAAAATCCAGTTCTGTCTTCAAGAAACTTTCTATCTTGTAGATGGGAATGAACATTTATACATGCAAACAAAATAAGGTGTTCTGAGTCCTTGGTAAAAACATCCAGGGTACATTTTGTACAGAAATGAAGAGAGCCACTCAAGTAGTCTTAGAAGATTCATGATGTGTTCAAGAAGTTGGGGTAGAAAGGGCAATTCAGGAGGTGTTTGGACGAGGTTCAGCTGAGAACAGGGGGATAAACAAGAGAGTTTATCCTTCTACTTGCAGGAGTCTGAAGGCAATTGGTCTGGGGCTTCCATCTCTTGCTCCACCTTACATGGCTTCCACTTCCAGGGCAACCCAGTCTAAGATGGCTCTAGTCATCACATCTGCATTCTAAGCAACAGCAAAGAGTGGGGGCTGGGAGGGAACAGCAGGGAAATTCAGAAATGGAGTTTCTGTATATGCCCAACTGAAAAACTGGCAAATCTATTATGAAAGAAAGAAAAAAAAATAGATGGAACATAATTTGCAGTCCCTGTACCAGAAGCAAGCATCACACAGAACACATGGTAGAGCCTGGTCAATTCAAGGAACAACAAATATTTCAGACACCGAAAAGACTGCTGTCTTTGTTTTCTATTTTTATAACAGAATACCAGAAACTGGGTAATTTATAAAGAAAAATGTTCATTTAGCTCAAGGTTCTGGAGGCCAGGAAGTCCATAAGCATGGTGCTGGCATCTGGTGAGGGCCTTCTTGCTATGTCATAACTTGGTGGAAGGCAATACATGATGAGAGACAGACAGCATGCCAGCTCAGGTCTCTCTTCCTATCCTTTTAAGGCTACTAATCCCATCATAGGGGCCCTGCCCTGATGACTTTATCAAATCCTAAATACCTCCCAAAGGTCCCACCTCCAAATACCATCAACAAATAAATTTAGGAATTAAATTTCCAACACATGAAATTTGGAAGATACACTCAAACCACAGCGATGGCTACAACAGGTGAACAGGTAAGAGCTAGACTACAAAATAAACCTGGCCGGGTGTGGTGGCTCATGCCTGTAATCCCAGCACTCTGGGAGGCCGAGGGAAGCGGATCACAAGGTCAGGAGTTCAAGACCAGCCTGACCAACACGGTGAAACCCCGTCTCTACTAAAAATACAAAAATTAGCCAGGCGTGGGGGTGGGCACCTGCAATCCTAGCTACTCAGAAGGCTGAGGCAGGAGAATCGCTGGAACCAGAGAGGCAGAAGTTGCAGTGAGCCAAGATCGCATCACTGCACTCCAGCCTGAGCGACAGAGCAAGACTCCGTCTCAAAAAAATAAATAAATAAATAAACCTGGAATGATTTTCCTGGTTTATAGAAGAATTACCAATGTAGGTTTATATAAATAAGAGAAATAATAGGGCAATGTTCAAAGAAATGCGGCCTGAAAATTCTCTTGGAGTGAAGACAAATACAGGAGTTCACATGAGAAAAACCTACCAATTGAAATACAAGATAAGTTAACAAACAAAAAAAAGGTCCAAATTTAAGCAGATGGTAATGAAATGTCTGAAAATAAAGTATAAAGAGAACACCTGATAACCAACTAAAAGGAAAGAACAATGCTTCTTGAAAGTGGGAGAGAAATAAAGTACTGAGAAAAAATAATGCTGATTCTGAAATCTTATACCAGCCAAACTAAAAAGCAAAAATAAGGGAAAATAAAAGACATTTTCAAATATACTAGCACCTGGAAAATTTATATCCATCAAATGTGGTACCTCATGCCTATAATCCCAGCATTTGGGAGGCTGAGGCGGGAGGATCACTTGAGGCCAAGAGTTTCAGACTATCCTGGGTCACATAGTTAGACCTCATCTCTACAAATAACAAAAAAATGTGTGGGCATAGTGGTGCACGCCTGTAGTCCCAGTTACTCAGGAGGCTGAGGTGGAAGGATGGTTTGAGCACAGGAGTTTGAGGCTGTAGTTGGCCATGACTATGCCACTGCACTTTACACTGGGCAACAGAACCAGACTCTGTCTCTAAAAAAAAAAAATTACACCCTATAGAGACAACATTAAGACACAGAAAGAATTGGTGGGAAGCTGGATACAACGGTGAGCACTGAAATCAGCAGAACATAAATCTATTGATTCAAACACATCTGAACTAAAATTATAATCAGCTACAATTTAAGCATGTGTGTGATGCAAATAGATGAGAATCATAAAAAATGAAGGTATAAAGAAACATCTTTCACTTGGGAAAAGAGAAAATGCAACTGTTTAGACTTTGTTTTAAAGGGAAACGTTCAGTGTGCCTGTGAACAACTTAAAGACAATCAAGCACTAAAAATGTAGGGAGGGAGCAGGGAGGAAGACAAGTACAGCTTCCCAAACAGTAGAGAAAAAACCGACTGAGAAAGAACACATTCATGTTAGAAGAAACATACTGAAAACAAAACTAAGACAGTTTGAAACTTATGAGATACACCAAAGAAAAAATACAAATTAGAAAATAAAGAAATGAAGAAAGATATCAGGTAAATGCTACATCAATGAAAGCTGATACTCACAGAATTAGCATAAATAATTGCATTTTTACATCAGTTTAACTCAAGGGACTTAAACTAAAGGCATTTCTTATTTATACATCCCAAGTAGCATGACGGTCTCACTACAGCCAACAGACTCCTCTTGCCCAGGCACCTCCACGTGGTTCACCATCCCTCCTGGCTCATCAATACTCGGGCATTATTCTTCTATGCTAGATGGCTTTTCTATAATATATAATTTCACAAATCAAAACACCTACAAAGTTGTAAGATTTATGCCCATTAGGGAGGTTGAGATGGAGACTAAACATGATTTGAAAGTAGGAACAGAGAGAATGGAGAGAAGATTTAAACATGATTATCAGTATCCTCCTCTGAGACCCATTTAAATTACATACAGGAATACAGTACACACAAACACACCTCTAAAAGAAAAGGGAGGCCAGGGGCGGTGGCTCATGCCTGTAATCCCAGCACTTTGGGAGGCCGAGGCGGCGGATCACAAGGTCACGAGATCGAGACCATCCTGGCTAACACGGTGAAACCCCGTCTCTACTAAAAATGCAAAAAATTAGCCAGGCGTGGTGGCGGGTGCCTGTAGTCCCAGCTACTCGGGAGGCTGAGGCAGGAGAATGGCGTTAACCCAGGAGGCAGAGCTTGCAGTGTGCCGAGATTGCGCCACTGCACTCCAGCTGGGCAACAGAGCGAGACTCCATCTCAAAAAAAAAAAAAAAAGAAAAGGGAACTACATAAACAGAAGCCAATATGATATTTTGATAAATTTTTAATAAACAGTAAGCCAAAAATCTGGTAACTGACTTCCGTGAGCAAAAGCTCTCCCAGAGGTAAGCTGATGCACAGCAAACCATCTCTCCCACAGAAGCCCCAAAAGCTTTGGGAACAGTCATCCTGCATGATGAGAATGAGGTGTGAACTGTAAACAGCTAAAAGCAGTATATGAATTAGGCTCCCAGGTCCCACCCACCTAGGGTCTCCAGGGTGGGTGTTACTCAGCCAACACATGACTACCTAACATGCCAGGGGTGCTAGGTACTCTTAACAAAATCCAGGCTGGGCATGGTGATTCACACCTGTAATCCCAGCACTTTGGGAGGCCAAGGCGGGTGGATCACCTGAGGTCAGGAGTTCGAGACCAGCCTGGCCAATATGGTGAGACTCTGTCTCTATTAAAAACACAAAAATTAGCCAGGCATGCTGGTGTACACCTGCAACCCCAGCTACTCAGGAGGCTGAGACAGGAGAATCGCTTGAACCCATGAGGTGGAGGTTGCAGTGAGTAGAAATCGCACCACTGCACTCCAGCCTGGGCGACACAGAAGACTACATCTCAAAACAAAAAAACAAAAAACAAACAAAAAATCCAAGCAGGTAAGGGACAGAGTCATGAGACAGAGGGAGGCACAGGTGCTGTTTCAGACACGGTGATCAGGGCAGCTCTCTGATGAGGTTATACCTAGGCAGAAATGCAAGCGCTGTGAGAAGCCACTGAAAGGCTTCTCGCTCTGACTGGTATTTTGAGATCATCCTGACTGCTGTGGAAGAGGGAGGGGGTTGTGTAAGAGGAGATACCGGGGAGACCAGTTAGAAGGCAACTGTGTTAGTCCAGTGGAAGAAGGCAGTGTAGGCCAAAGTGACAGCGATGGGGATGATAAATGGTGGCTGGATTCTGGGCATCCTGTGGGGACAGAGCCAGAACACAACCTGATAGAGACAGCATGGCACGCTGAGAGACAGAAGGGGGGCCAGGAGGACACCAAGCAGCCTGGCCAAGCAAACTACAGAACTTTCCCTTTAAGGAGGTGGAGAAGCCTGGGGATAACAAACGGAGAAAGAAGATAGTGAATAACTGGTCCATGAATGACGGAAGATGGGGGAGATCCAACCAGAAAACAGTCCACAGAAGTGAGTCACTGAAGGAGAAAAGTGACCTTGCTAAGAACACGTGAGAAGAAAGGGAAGCGGGTATCCATCCTCTCAAACAGGAGGGGCTCTAAGAAAAGGGGACTGTGCAAGTGCCCCACACACAACCTGGACATCTGCAACAGCCGACCAGGCTAAATCTGGGTAATTTTCAGAAGGAACTGACATGTACTTAAGAATTTAAGTAAACAAGGATCGAATAACTGCTTTCCTCTGAAAAATTCTGAAGGCAAAGACTGCCGCGGGACTCTCAAAAGGCAGCTGGGGAGTGAGGGTTCAGCAGCTCACCTCAAACAGGGCCCCGCCTCCCTGCGGCTCACCTCAGGCAGGGCACTGTTTCCCTGGGCCCAAGGAACACCCAGAAGATTCCCGAACTTGACACTTGAGCTCATTAGCAGGCTCCTCCTCAGCAGCACTACCTGCAGGGAGGGAGACCCCAGGGGAAGAGGCAGTGAGTGGACTTCTGGGTGAGTCTGCATGCAGTGAGAGAAAGAATCACATACACCATGGAACTGCAGGGCAGAGCCCTGTCAGAGGCTCCAACCAAGCCCCACTGATGCCTGTCATAACTCTGGGTACTGACCACCGCACAACAGGAGACTCTGTGTCTTTTTCTCTAACCACTGATTTTCCCACCCCAACCCAGAAGGAGCCCCCGTCGGAGGGCAACAAGTAAATGAAGTGGGAATACAGACAAGCCTCCTCCATCTCCCCTCTGCAGGCTAGAATGAGGGGAGGTACAAGAGCTTGGAGTGAGAGTGTGGACTGAACTTTCCCATACCTGAAAGTAACTGAGAGTCAATAACAAACAAGGCTGTGACCAGAGCATCATCAGCTCTCCTCACGACGAGCACTAGGGAAGGGCTGACAGGAAGCCTGAGGCTGTGATGAGAAAAATGAAGCCACTACTGTGCCCTTATTACGTTGAGGTGCTTATCAAGCTGGTTACTTTAAATCTGAGGGAGAAGAAACATGAAACAAGTCACTTCGATGTGACCATATTAGAAGCTGGAGGTCGACAGCAGAAGACGAAACGGAGCCCAAAGTGGCTGCTTCTGGGGACACAGGATGGAAGAGGGAAGGTGCACAGCAGATAGCAGGTAGACCAGGAGCAGCGGGTAGACCAGGAGGCTTATTGTCTATTTTATTTAAAGCCTTTTACTATTTCTTTAAGCTTGATACGAATGAAAACAGGCCAGGCATGGTAGTTCACGCCTGTAATCCCAGCACTTTGGGAGGCAGAGGTGGGTGGATCACCTGCAATCAGGAGTTCAAGACCAGCCTGGCCAACATAGTGAAACCCTATCCTACTAAAAATACAAAAATTAGGCCGGGCACAGTGGCTCACACCTGTAATCCTAGCACTTTGGGAGGCCAAGGTGGGCGGATCACGAGGTCAGGAGATCGAGACCATCCTGGCTAACATGGTGAAACCCTGTCTCTACAGAAAATACAAAAAATTAGCTGGGTGTGGTGGCGGGCGCCTGTAGTCCCAGCTACTCGGGAGGCTGAGGCAGGAGAATGGCGTGAACCCTGGAGGCGGAGCTTGCAGTGAGCCAAGATCGTGCCACTGCACTCCAGCCTGGGTGACAGAGCGAGATTCCATCTCAAAAAAAAAAAAAAAAAAAAAAAATTAGCCAGGTATGGCGGCGCATGCCTGTAGTCCCCACTACTCGGGAGGCTGAGGCAGGAGAATCGCTTGAACCCAGGAGGTGAAGGCTGCAGTGAGCGAGAACGTGCCACTACACTCCAGCCTGGGCAACAGAGCAAGACTCTAACTCAAAATAAATAAATAAATAAATAAAAGAATAAAAGTAAAATACAAAATAACTGTTAAAATTTTGAATTGACCTAGCATGATCAAAAGAAAATTTAAAAAGAAAATTTTATGACCAAGAAGCAGTCCAAAACTCTTAAGAGATTTAAAATTTCACAAGAGATTATGATAAACAGTTCTACTGTAATGGGACATATATGCTGCAAAAAATCACACCATGCAAAGTTGCATAAAAAGCCATAGGATTTATGAGAAAAATGAGGTAAAGGCATAATACTGGTGACACACAAAAAGAGAACCTAGGAGGCCAGGTGCAGTGGCTCACACCTGTAATCCCAGCACTTTCAGAGGCTGAGGTGGGCAGATCATTTGAGGTCAGGAGTTTGAGACCAGCCTGACCAACATGGTGAAACCCTGTCTCTACTAAATACAAAAAAATTAACCGGGCATGGTGACGGGAGGCTGAGGCAGGAGAATCACTTGAACCCAGGAGGTGGAGGTTGTAGTGAGCTGAGATCACAAAATTGCACTCCAGCCTGGGCAACAAGGGCGAGACTCCCCCTCAAAAAAAAATTTTTTTTTCAACACTTTCAAAACTTAGAAGTTAAAGCAAAGTACAAGGAATTTCCTTGACACAATAAAGTGTTTCTTCCTTAAACCTATAGAAAATATTATACTTTGTGTAAACCACTAAAATCATTTTCTTTAAAAACACATGGCGGCTGGGTGCGGTGGCTCACGCCTGTAATCCCAGCACTCTGGGAGGCTGAGGCAGGCAAATAATGAGGTCAAGAGATCGAGACCATCCTGACTAACACAGTGAAACCCCACCTCTACTAAAAACACAAAAAAATCAGCCAGGTGTGGTGGTGGGCGCCTGTATCCCAGCTACTCAGGAGGCTGAGGCAGGAGAATCACTTGAACCCGGGAGGCGGAGGTTGGCAGTGAGCTGAGATCGTGCCACTGCACTCAAGCCTGGGCAACAAAGAGCAAAACTCCATCTCAAACAAACAAACAAACAAAAAAACTAAGAGAATCGGCTGAGATAAAATGAGAACTGGTGGAGATCCACCATCTTGTCTTGCAGCTGCCTGAGACACAGACATGGCTTCTGTTCCACTGACTCTGGAACTGTGTAAACAGCTGTTGGATTCGACAGTCCCTGATAAACAGCTCTCACCTGACTGACAAAGAGCTGCTTGATTTGTGGATGGCAGTTCCAAGGTGAACAAATGACATCCTGTTTGGAAGACTGCTGCTCTGATTAAAGAAGAGTCAAGAATCTTTCTGAGTTATTTATAGCTTAGGGCAATTGGGTAAAGTATGTTTTGTGAGCAAAATTTACCTTTCTCTCTACCTGATTTCTCCAAAATTTGGAAACTATTCATGAGTATTCTGATTTTATGGCAATAGAGTTATTTGCATAAGTTCAGCAAGAATCTGTTTTCTTTTGTAAAAAGGACACAATTGAGAGACTGGTTATTTTATCAAGGCCTCAAATGGAATGGCATATTTTCAGATATAACCAGGCTGCTTTGAGAAATTTAGGTTGGATTTATAGAGCTGATAAAAAGCCCCTTGGAAAGACTCGCCTGGTACCTTGTCCACCTTAAAGATTCCTGATCTGTGGCAAGTAAAGAATGTCACTTTTTAACAGGCTCAGGAACCTCATGGTATTTTGGGATCTCGAGAAGACAGGAATTCATACAGGTGTTACAAGCACAGTCGAGCAGCAAATCCTTGGCTTGGCTTCTGGCCTTCTAAGCTTTTAAAAAGTCGAATCCAAAATTCCTTTAAAAAGTTCCAGCAAGGCCGAGAGCAGTGGCTTATGCCTGTAATCCCAGCACTTTGGGAGGCTGAGGAGGGCAGATCATGAGGTCAGAAGTTTGAGACCAGCCTGACCAACATGGTGAAACCCTATGTCTACTAAAAATACAAAAATTAGCCAGGCGTGCTGGAACACACCTGTAATCCCAGCTACTCAGGAGGCTGAGGCAGGATAATCGCTTGAACCCGGGAGGCGAAGGTTGCAGTGAGCCAAGATCACACCACTGCACTCCAGCCTGGGCGACAGAGCAAGACTCCGTCTCAAAAAGAAAAAAGAAAAAAAAAAAAAAGCTCCAGCAAAGTCAACTTAAAAGAAGCCTACATGGCTGGTCACTATTCTTGCTATTCTTTATGCAAATAACCAGGCCAAGTATAATGAGATCAAAATTTATTTGCAAATAAGTTGGTCCTGCTACGATTTATTCTTGGTAGAAGTAGGGACACCAGAGAGAGAAAATTTTAGATTCTGATTGCTGTTCTGAGTTTTTATTATTTGCCTATAATTTGGGCTAACTGAATTATTTCCTGGCTACAAGAAGTCCCTAAAAAGGAACCAGGTTTTCGTTTTCTTCATGATACTTTTAGTCGGCCCATTAACGGAACAGGTTATTTGCTGGTGTTGTTCTGGCACAATCAAAAGTTCTCTTTCGTTTGTAATCCTTGTGTGCATTCTATTTCTATTATTCAAATTATTGTTATGTATCTCTCATTGTTTTACTTCATCTGAGACAAGCAAAGTCATAGTATTCTGAAGACTAGAAATGATTCAACAACCCTGTGAACCTCCTTAATTTGGAACCCTCCTTGGCCTAATCTGTTTTCCACTGCACTGCTGCTAAAGCTCTGCAATATCAGGCACCCTACCTAACGTTCAGGGGAGGGCGCATAAGATAGAAAAGCTGGACTGGGAGGTGAAGTGTGAAGGCCAAAGCAACTCCATCTTGGAAGCTCATCGACCATGTGGGCTTCTGATTAACCCCTGTTCTGGACTCTATCTTGGAAGCTCATCGACCATGTGGGCTTCTGATTAACCCCTGTTCTGGACTCCATCTTGGAAGCTAATCTACCATGTGGGTTTCTGATTAACCCCTGTTCTGGACTCCATCTTGGAAGCTCATCGACCATGTGGGCTTCTGATTAACCCCTGTTCTGGACTCCATCTTGGAAACTAATCTACCATGTGAGCTTCTGATTAACCCCTGTTCTGGACTCCATCTTGGAAGTTCATCTACCGTGTGGGCTTCTGATTAGCCCCTGTTCTGGGAAGGCCTCTAAGATTTCCAGTTCATCTATTGTTCCTTGTGTCAGACCAGGTACTTACCATAAATCCTACCCTTAGGTCAAACAACCTTGATGTAACTGTACTTCAACTGTCTTACACATCCCTTCTGAACCACCCCTCCCTACGGTCTAGAAGCACTGGGTCTGGGGGTAATGGTGCAGGGATCCACCACCTTGTCTTGCCACTGCATGAGACACAGACATGGCTTCTGTTCTTAAGTCCCTATTAAATGTTTCTTTCTAAGAAAACAAAACAAAACAAAACAAAACAAAAAACCATGAGAACCAGTAAGAAAAGTCAACAGGGTAGCAGTTTTAAACAAAACAATAAGGAATAGCTTTTTGGCACATTAGCAGTCACCAACCAGAAAATATAGTAAGAAAATGCCTATATGATCACAGTAACAAATCTAGAAAGTACTTAGGAATAAAAAGCTTTAAAACGCAGGAAAACCTAACAAAAAATACACATGATAAAATATGTAAGTACAAAGAGATTGAAGCAACATGCCATGTTTATGATGAGTAGACTTACATGGCAAAGATATTAATTTTCCACAAATTAATTTGCACATTTGATAAATTCTCAATGAAAATACCAAGAAAGTTTTTCATTTTATTTCACCTAATAATTCTAACTCTCAATAATGTAAAATAAAATCATATGCTTGGACTACTACTGCTACAACTAGAAAATTCTAAATACTCTTATCTTTTTTAAAACACCAGAGACCTGTGGAAGGAAGGAGGACTAAACAAACTAAAATTGCGAGAGAAAAGAGCTCCTCTTGGGTGAGCTAAAATTGCTGGCTGTTACCTCGCTGGGCCATTTGCTCAGCTTGAGAACAGTGAAGGAAGGGCTCGGCCCAGACAGAGGACTATTCTAGGGGAAAGAGAAACCAGTGAAGGTTTTGATGTGCCCCAGTGGACAGTGAGTTTTCCCCATGGGACATCTGTTGAGTGCTGGTCAGTGCAAGAAGCTGCAGGCTGGGCTGGAATGGCAGACTGAGTCTCCCGCAGCCTCAAGGTGCTCCAGAAACAAAGTACCAGTAGAGAGGAGCCTGCAATAAATATACCATCCAGAAACCCGAAGACACAGGTAACAGAGTACAGCCCCTAAACAGCTCAATTCCTGTTTTGATTGAGGTGATCAGCCATTCCCCTACTGCATGACAGAGAAAAGGGGAAATATCCTCTGATATAAAACAACAGTAAGGTCAGGTATGGTGGCTCACCCCTGTAATCCCAGCACTTTGGGAGGCCAAGGTGGGTGGATCACCTGAGGCCAGGAGTTTGAGACCAGCCTGACCAACATGGTGAAATCCCGTCTCTACTAAATATACAAAAATTATCCAGGCATGGTGGTGGGCAACTGTAATCCCAGCTACTGGGTAGGCTGAGGCAGAAGAATTGCTTGAACCCAGGAGGCGGAGGTTGCAGTGAGCCAAGATCGCGCCACTGCACTCCAGCCTGGGCGACAGAGCAAGACTCTGTCTCAAAAAAAACCACAACAGTAAACTTCAGTCTCTGTGGTTATTCCTTTTAAAACAATGTCAGCAAAAAATTAAAAACTTTGAGACATGAGGCAGGAAAATATGACTGACAAAAGGAATAGGCAGATAATTGATAAAGATGCACAGATGATCCAGATGATGTTAGCAAACAAGTAATATTACAAATAACTATCATAATATATAACTATGTAAATATTTAAAATACAGAGAAGTTGTATACAGTGAATAAAAGGAGAACTGGAATTAAAAAAAAAAAAAAACAAGGAGACATTTAGAAACAAACAACTGATCCCTGAAATGAGCATCAACGGGACAATGGCCAATACAAGTCTGTTAAGGATGTGGAGCAAACCATCCTTCTCGTGGGGTTGTGTTACTGTCCAGTGAGCGCATGGTGAGGGCAATACTGCTAACGCCTACACAACACACCCACATCAACTATGGTGGTGCAATTTTTTGAAAAGTGGAAAACCTCTTTTCCATGAAAATAAAAAGGGATATAGAGCAAATGCAGTTCTCAATTCCTGGTACTGGGAATGTGAAGTCATTTCGCCACTTTGGAAAACTAAGAGTATGTACTAAATTTAAATATACGTATACAATGACTCAACAGTATCATTCGTAAGTATGTGCCCAGTGGTTCTCAATGGGCAGGAGGGAGATTTTGCCCCCCCGGGGGCATTTGACAATGTCTGGAGCCCTTTATGGTTGTCATAGTGGGGCAGTGCTACTGGCACCTACATAAGTCGGGGCCAGGAATGCTGCTCAGCAACCCACGATGCACAGGACGTTCCTCCACAACAAAGAATTATTCCATCCAAAATGTCAATAGTGCTGAGGTTGAAAAATCCTGGTATGTGCCTAACAGAAATGATAGTTGATGTCTACCAAAACAAATGTACAAAAAGGTTCAAAGTCGTGTTATCTAAAATAACCAGTAACTGAAAACAACCTAAACACTGATGTTGATAACAGATTATTACAACAGACAAATTATGAAATGTTCATACAACAGAATATCATACAACTTCACAAAAATAAGCCAACACAAACATTTTAAGGATATAAACATATGCATTAAAAATGTACAGGGAAAGACCTAGAAGAATATCTATCAAACTGATTACCTCCGAGGAGAGAGAGGGGATTGGGATGGGTGGGTGGTTATAAGAGACTGAATTGTGTTCTAAGAGAATCAACTGTATCATCAAAAATTAATAGTTCCAGTTCTGCATGTAAAGAGTTTGGAAGTAGCCACTCTGTCCTAACAAGTAAAAAGTTTAACAAACTGAAAAATCAACAACTCTTCTTAGATCTGAAAGAGAAGTGAAGATACAAGGCAAACAAACCACTGTCCCCAAAATTAGAGACAGGCAGAAACACAGTAGTTACCAGATCACAAATCTCTGTGAGAAAGCGTCAGGACAGAAATACCTGAACTGCAACTGACAAATTGCTAGAGGCTAGGTGTGTACATGTTTGAAGTTAAAAAGTCCAGGGGGACCCAGTCATGGTGGGAGTGGAGGGAGACAAAGTCCCAAGCTTTTCTGAGTTTTACTTTCAGGAGCTCAACCAGGTTCCCAGAGCCTAATATATTGGGGTTTTGTCAGAGCTTAACTAACCTGAGGGAAGAGAGATATACCAAATTCCACCCTGTCCCATCTAAGAGATGGGGTGGGGGTGGCCTGGGAAATACTTGTGAGGTTGAGAGTCCAGGAGAACAGGCTCACAAAGAGACAGACCTAATCAGGGGCCTACAGAATGCTCACCCTTTCCTGACATCTCATCACCACATTAGTAAAGTACTATTAAAAGTAATTCCTTTTACTCAGTACATCATGTCTAGCTATGAATGTAAAGGGACAAGGCAATACTAAAAGGCAAAAAAACATAGGGCAACCACGCGCCGTGGCTCACGCCTGTAATCCCAGCACTCTGGGAGGCCGAGGGGGGTAGATCACCTGAGGTCAGGAATTCGAGATCAGCCTGGCCAGTATGGTGAAACCCCGTCTCTACTAAAAATACAAAAATCAGCCGGGCATGGTGGAGTGCACCTGTAGTCCCAGCTACTCGGGAGGCTGAGGCAGAAGAATCACTTGAACCCAACAGGCGGAGGTTGTAGTGAGCCAAGATCACACCACTGCACTCCAGCCTGGACTCCATCTCAAAAAAAAAAATAAAAACAAAAACAAAAACACAGACAGGGCAAGCATCAGAACCAGACATGATAGGGATGTTGAAGGTATCAGACAAAACTTAAAACAACCATGAATAATATGTTATGGGCTCTAGTGAATAAAGTAGGCAGCATGTAAGAACAGATGGGCAGGCCAGGCGTAGTGGCTCACACCTGTAATCCCAGCACTTTGAGAGGCTGAGGTGGGTAGATCACTTGAGGTCAGAAGTTCGAAACCAGCCTAACCAACATACTGAAACTCTGTCTCTACTAAAAATACAAAAATTAGCTAGGCACGGTGGTGCGCACCTGTAGTCCCAGCTACTCAGGAGGCTGAGGCACAAGAATGGCTTGAACCTGAGAGGTAGAGGCTGCAGTGAGCCCAGATCGCACCACTGCACTCCAGCCTGGGCAAGAAAGTGAGACTCCATCTCAAAAAAAAAAAAAAAGAAATACTAGTGATCAAAAACACTGTACAGAAGTGAAGAATGCCTTTGATGGGCTTATGTATTATGTAGACTGCACGAGATTGAGGAAAAAAATCTTTGAACTTAAGGATGTATCAACAGAAACCTTCAAGCAAAGAGAACACTGGGGAAAAAAAAAAAGAACAGAATATCCAAGATGGACAGCCACAAAAGGTGTAGATATGCACAATGGAAATACCCGAAGGAAAGGAAAAGAACAGAAGAAAGACAGTCGGTGCCTGACGCACAGTGGTTTGACTTAGTATTTTTCAATTTTACAATGGCGCAGAAGCAATACACTTCAGTACGTTCCCCAACTTATGATGAGGCTCCATCTGGATAAACCTATTATAAGTTGAACATATTGTAAGTCGAAAATGCACTTCTGACAAAGAGATTTTCAATTTATGATGAGTTTATCAGGATGTAACCACATCATCAAGTCAAGGAGCATCTATATATGAAACAATAATTACTGAAAATTTCGCTGAAGTAATGTCAGACACCAAATCACAGATGGAGGAAAATCCGAGAATACCAAGAAGATAAATGCCAAAAAACCTGCACGTAGGCATATCATTTTTAAAACACAAAAAATCAAAGATAAGCCAGAGATGAAAAAAAATACCTTACCTACAGAAACCACACAAGCAAGAAAATGGAGTGAAACAGTTAAGGTGTTTAGAGAAAAAAAAATCATCAAAACAGAATTCTGTACCCTGCAAAATTATCCTTCAAAAGTAAAAAAAAGTCTTTCTCAAACAAAAACTAAGATAATTTATTGCTATTTCAAGTAAACTTGCCTTAACTAGGCAGAAAAGGAAAATACAGGTCAGAAACACAGATACACTTTTTTTTTTTTGAGATAGGGTCTTACCCTGTTGCCCAGGCTGGAGTGCAGTGGCATGATCTTGGCTCACTGCAACCCCCGCCTCCTGGGTTCAAGCGATTCTCATACCTCAGCCTCCCAAGTAGCCAGGCCTACAGGCACGCACCACCATGCCCAGCTAATTTTTGTATTTGTAGTAGAGACAGGGTTTCACCATGTTGGCCAGGCTGGTCTCGAACTCCTGACCTCAAATGACCCGCCGGCCTCAGCCTCCCAGAGTGCTGGGATTACAGGGATGAGCCGCCAGGCCCGGCCACAGATATATATTTTAAAAAGTGAGAACATCAAAGAAAGAATAAGTGAAAGTAAAATTAAAATTTTTTTTCTGATCATTTTTTTGAGACGGTCTCGCTCTGTTGCCTAAGCTGGAGTACAGTGGCACAGCAGCCTCGAACTCCTGGGCTCACCTCACCATCTCACCTCCCAAGTAGCTGGGGCTACAGGTGCACACTAGCACACCTGGTTTTTTTTTTAGGTTTTTTTTTTTTTTGTTGTTGTTGTTGTTTTGTATAGGCAAGGTCTCTGCGTTGCCCAGGCTGGTCTCAAACTCCTGGCTTCAGTCTCCCAAAGTGCTGGGATTACAGGCATCAGCCACCATGCCTAGCTATTTTTATTTTGTTGTTGTTGTTGAGTCTCGCTCTGTCGCCCGGGCTGGAGTGCAGTGGCACGATCTTGGCTTACTGCAACCTCTGCTTCCTGAGTTCAAGCGATTCTCCTGCCTCAGCCTCCTGAGCAGCTGGGATTACAGGTGTGTGCCACCATGCCCGGCGCTAACTTTTGTATTTTTAGTAGTGACAGGGTTTCACCATGTTGATCAGGCTGGTCTTGAACATCTGACCTCGTGATTCACCCGCCTCGGCCTCCCAAAGTGCTGGGATTACAGGCCTGAGCCACCACGCCCAGCCATGCCTAGCTATTTTTCTTATACTTAGTTGACCTAGTCTGTTCAAAATAGTAATGGAGGCTGGGCACAGTGGCTCATGCCTGTAATCCCAGCACTTTGGGAGGCTGAGGTGGGTGGATCACTTGAGGTCAGGAGTTCGAGACCAGCCTGGCCAACATAGTGAAACCCTGTCTCTACTAAAAACGCAAAAATTAGCCGGGCATGGTGGCACACACCTGTACTTCCAGCTACTCGGGAGGCTGAGGCAGGAGAATCGCTTGAACCTGGGAGGCAGAGGTTGCAGTGAGCCATGATCATGCCACTGCACTCCAGCCTGGGTGACAGAGTGAGACTCTATCAAAAAAATAAAAAGAAAAAAGGACAATAAAGGAACATCATACTATGTACAATTCTACGTCCACACATTTCATGACCTAGATGAAACAGACCAAATCCCTGAAAGACACAATCTGCCAAAACTGAACAAAAAGAAACAGACACTCTAATAAGCCTAAATTGAATCAAAAATTAAGAATCACCCAAACCAGAAAGTGCCAGGCCAAGATGGGTTCACTCACTGGTGAAGTCTACCAAACATTTAAGGAAAAAAATCACACCAATCTTTTTTTCCCTCTACAATATTTTTCAGAAGATAAAGGCAGAGGGAATCCTAACTCAGTCTATAAAGACAGCATCGCTCTAATACCAAAACCAGACAGAAACCCTAGAAAACTACAGAAAAATTATCTCATAAATATAGATACAAAAATCCTCAACAAAATACTAGAAAATAAAATACAACAATGTATAAAAACAAGTGTACACCACAGCCAAGTGGGATTTATTCCTGGTATGTAAGGTTGGTTCAATACTTGAATCAGTTCCATCGTATCAAATGACTAAAGAAGAAAAAGCATAGATAGATGCAGAAAAAACTTTTTTTCTTTTTTGAGACAGGGTCTCGCTCTGTCACCCAGGCTGGAGTGCAGTGGTGCAAACATGGCTCACAGCAGCCTCAACCTCCCAGGCTCAAGCAATCCTTCCACTTCAGCCTCCTCAGTAGCTGAGACTACAGGCATGTGTCACCACGCCCAGCTATTTTGTTTTTTAATTTTTTGTAGAGATGGGGTCTCACTATGTTGCCCAGGCTGGTCCTGAATTCCTAGGCTAAAGCTATCCTCCTGCCTCAGCCTCCCAAAGTGATTACAGGTGTGAGCCACATCTGGCCCAGAAAAAAAATCTGACAAAATCCAACCCCATTCACAATTAACAACAACAAAAACCCTCACTAAACTAGGAACAAGGGTCTTTCTCAACTTGATAGAGAATATCTACCAAGAAAAATGCTACAACTAACATCATACTTAACTGTGAGAAACTTGAAGCTTTCCCACTAAGATCAACAAGGCAAAATGTATCTTTAATCCCCTCTCACCACTCTTTTTCAACATTGTACTGGAAGTCCTATCTGAGGCAAAAAAACAAGAACAGAAAATACAGGATGAGAATCCCTGTTCCAAAAACCTGAAATCTAAATGCTCCAAAATTCAAAACGTTTTGAGTCCTCACACGTGGAAAATCCCACACATTAACTTAATACAACCTTTGTTTCACACACAAAATTATTTAAAATACTGTATAAAATTACCTTCAGGCTGTACGTATAAAGTATATATGAAACATAAACAAATTCTGTGTTTAGACTTGGGTCCCATCCCCAAGATATCTTATGTATATGTAAATAGTCCAAGATCTGAAAAAATCCAAAATCCAAAACAATTCTGGTCTTAAGCATTTTGAATAAAAGATACTTAACCTGTAAAATGTATAATGACTGTGAAGGAAGGAATAAAACTTTGTTCACAGATGGCATAATTGTGCAAAGTCCAAAAGAATTCACCAGACCCGGCACGGTGGCTCATGGCTGTAATCCTAGCACTTTAGGAGGCCGAGGTGGGCTGATCACGAGGTCAGGAGATCGAGACCATCCTGCTAACACAGTGAAACTCCATTTCTACTAAAAATACAAAAAAATTAGATGGGCGTGGTGGCACATGCCTGTAGTACCAGCTACTCAGGAGGCTCAGGCAGGAGAATCGCTTGAACCCAGGAGGTGGAGGTTGCAGTGAGCCGAGATTGTGCCACTGCACTCCAGCCTGGCCAACAGCGAGACTCTGTCTCAAAAAAAAAAAAAAAAAAAAAAAAAAAATTCACCGAAAGACTCCTGGAACTACATGATTATACCAAGGTTGCAGGATACAAAGTTAATATACAAAAGTCAACCCCTTTCCTGTACACAGGTGTAAGCTGAATTTGAAATAAAAAACACAATACCATTTACAGTAGCACCCACAAAAATTAAATACTTAGGTGTAAGTCTAACAAAATATATAATGATACTATATAAAATCTATATGAGAAAAACTACCAAACACTGCTGAATGAAAACTAAGAACTAGATAGAGAGATATAACATGTTCATGGATAGGAAGACTCAATATTCAAGACTTCAGCTCTTCCCAACTTGATCTACAGATTGAATGCACTGTCAGTTAAAATCCCAGCAAGTTATTTTGCAGATGTTGACAAACTGATTATAAAGTTCAGACAGACAAAAGACTTAGATTAGCTAACAGGATACGGAAGCAGAAGAATACATTTGGGAGAATGAACCTGACTTCAAGACTTATAGGCTGGGCATGGTGGCTCACACCTGTTATCCCACCAATGCTTTGGGAGGCCAAGGAGGAAGAAGTGCTTGAGGCCAAGAGTTGCAGGCCAGCCAGGGCAACACAGTGAGACCCTATCTGTACAAAAAAAAAAAAAAATTTTTAATTAGCCTGATGTGGTGGCATATGCCTGTAATCCCAGCTACTCAGGAGGCTGAGGTGGAGGATCCCTTGAGCCCGGGAGTTCGAGGCTGCAGTGAGTTGTGACTGTTCCACTGCACTCCAACCTGGGCAACAGAGTGAGATCCTGCCTTGAAAAAAAAACAAAAGATTTACTATAAAGACCAGCCTGGGCAACATGGCTAAACTCCATCGCTACAAAATATACAAAAATTACCCGGACTGGGTGGCATGTGCCTGTAATCCCAGCTACTCGGGAGGCTGAGGCTCAAGAATCGCTCGAACCCGGGAGGCAGAGGTTGCAGTGAGCCGAGATCGCGCCACTGCACTCCAGCCTGGGCGACAGAGCGAGACTCCGTCTCAAAAAAATAAAAAAAGACTTATTACAAAGCTACAAAAATCAAGACAGTGTGGCAGTGTGGTATTAGTGAAACAACAAATAGATCAATAGAACTCAATAAAGAGCCCAGAAATAGACCCATATAAATATAGTCAACTGATCTCTGACAAAGGAACAAACTCACAGGGGGAGAAATCCACTCCTAACTTTCTCTCGTTTCTTTAGCACAACAGCCTTTCTCCACCGTGTGTCCTTTCCTTTCATTAACCTGAGTCCTCACCTCGGTCCTCTTGAGGGTTCCAGTTGGTCACACTCTGAGCTTCCACGAATACAATAAGGTGTCTTTATGTATTTCCAGTTTAGACCTCCCATGTGAGTTACAGGCTGAAATACAGGCATTGGATATTCAACACCTGCGAAAGTCATTCCCAGGGTCCCTCTTCCAATAGCATTCCTAGTCTCCGGCTGTATAGCTCAATGGTAGAGCACCACATCCGGCAACGTCGTCAACACCACTCACCGAGGGCAAAGGATTTGGCAATCAAATCACTTGTAAAGACTCCCCTCTGGTTCACTCCATCAATAATTCATAAAGTCCCGATGATCCACTGGCCCGCCCCTTACCTTTCGGACTCTCGAGCTCCGCTCCTAGCCTTTTCTCCCTATTCATTCACCTGTAATTGCGTCCATAGTTCACTAGACTACCCTCTCCACCAAACCAAAGCTCCTCTAAAATTAGGAACATACATAATTTATCTCTGCATTGCCAGCACCAGCCTTAGAGTCCAGCAGACAAAAGGACACTCCATAAACAAGCATTTGGCCAAACGAAAAAGGAGGAACTGATCATTTCTCCAGCTAAGTTCTAAGGGTCTCCATAAGACAACTTTGTGTAGAAAACATGAAATGATGGAGGATCCTCAGACTTCAGGGCCCGCAGCTGGCCATGAAGTGCAGTATAACTGCCCGTCACAGAATACCACAGGCACGTTTCTGCAGGGCCAGAGCTTGGGCGAGCTTCAGAGGCGCTTTGGTTTGGTGGGGAGGGTAGTCTAGTAAACTACGCACACAATTACAGCTGAATGTGAGTTCAGTTCCCGGAGTAACCCTGAAGAGATTAACGTGGCCACCCTCAGTATCCAGTCGAATTTTAAACACGGAAAGTCTCTACTTACCCAGCACGAAGCTGTCCGGAAACTGGTGGCCATCCCCACGCCCACGTTCGCGCGCTGCCTGCGGGGGCAGGACCCGCGGGCTGCGGAGAGACCGTGAGGGATGCGTCCGCCCGAAGACAGGTGCGGGACCAGGGCCCCAGGCTCCTGACCGTCCCGGGGCCGAGTCGTTGGCAGGGACGCCGGCTCCTCAGCTCTCGCCCAACACAGACCGCGCGTGACTAGACAACCTCCCGGTCTGGGTACCAGGAGTCGCACGGATGGATTTGTGCCTTTCCGTGGCCCTGACTCGGGAGAGCAGGAGGCTGATCTGGCCCCGTCCACGCCCCGGACCGACGGAAGTGTTTAGCTGGTCAAGTCTCTGGTCTGCCCAGGATAATCCGAGCCGCTTAGCTCCGCGCCTCCGCGGCCACAGAGACTCAGCCAGGTACACCCGCTGGCCAGATTCCGGTCCACTGAGTCTAAGCCGGAAACAGCCCTGCACGCGCGCACCCGACTAAGGCCGGGAGTGCGGCGCATGCGGAAGTGCGTCCTGCGTCGATGCGCCAGGACGCGAAGGCGCCGGAAAAACTACATCTCCCACAATCCTCGGAGAAGGCTCCCTCGTTACAGGCCTGGCTTCCAGCTGCCGCGGATCTAGAGAGGGGCACAGCCTGACGGGAAAGGAAGGCTGGGAGGGGGCTCCGCCAGCGGCACCTGGTTCACCCTCCCACGGCTGCGCCAGGTTCAGTACCATCCTCGGAGCCTGGACGCCCAGTTTCCCAGGGCCTGTAGAACTGACTCAGAGTCCGACCCCAGCAGAGACGCAGGCGTGCTGAGGTTTTGATATCAAACAAGATAGGGTTCAGACCAGAAGGCACAGCAAAAAAGGACGCTTTGTAAAGCTAAAAGCTGCAGTTCATAGGGTTAAATAACAGTTTTGAATATCAGTGCACCAAATAATACAGTAACCAACTTCATAAAGGAGAAACTATAGTAGATGTGAAAAACAAATAAATAGAACCACACCAGTAATGAAACTGCCTTTGCAAAAATTATATCAGTGAGAAAATTATAGCAGTGGGGGAGGTCTAATCTAACCAAACCCCCAACTCTGCGCGCCTTTGGCTGTCAAGATGCCTTCATTATTCCTGGGCTTAGGCCAAGCTAACTTTGGAAGACATTTAGGTTATAGTTCAAATGATAGCCCTTTTCCAAAACCCAACTGCCTTTGTAAAACCTATGAGAGACCACCAAGCTAGCGGGAGGAGAGGAGCCTGAATTCTGCTAAGATGTGGATTGGTCACAAGACACGCAACTTCCCCAGTTACTCCTACAGATAACACCACTATTGTAGATTGGCCTTTTGAGATTTAAAAATGTGCAAAATGGCCAGGCACGATGGCTCACGTCTGTAATCCCAGCATTTTGGAGGGCTGAGGTGGGTGGATCGCATGAGCCCAGGAGTTGGAGACTAGCCTGGGCAACATGGTGAAACCTCGTCTCTACAAAACATATCAAAAGTAAGCCGGATGTGGTGGCATGCATCTGTAGTCTCAGCTACTTGGGGGGCTAAGGCAGCAGAATTGCTTGAGCCCGTGAGGTGGAGGTTGCAGTGAGCCGAGATTGCACCATTGCACTCCAGCCTCGATGACAGGAGTGAAACCCTGTCTCAAAAAAAAAAAAAAAAAAAAAGTGCCAAACATCTGAATAGACATTTCTCAAAAGAAGACATACAAATGGCAAACAGGTATATGAAAAGGTACACAATATAATTGATCATCAGAGAAATGCAAATCAAAACTACAACGAGATATTATCTCACCCCAGTTAAAATGGCTTTTATCCAAAAGACAAGCAATAATAAATGCTGGTGAGGATATGGGGAAAAGGGAACCCTGGTACATTCTTGGTGGGAATGTAAATTAGTACAACCACTATGGAGAACAGTTTGGAGGTTCCTCAAAAAAATAAAAATAGAGCTACCATACAATGCAGCTATCCCACTCCTAGGTATATACCCGAAAGAAAGAAAATCAGTATATCCAAGAGCTGTCTGCACTCCCTTGTTGACTGCAGCACTATTCACAATAGCCAAGATTTGGAAGTAACCGAAGTGTCAATCAACAGGTTAATGAATAAAGAAAATGTGGTACATATACACAATGGAGTACTAGGAAGCCATAAAAAAGAATGAGATCCTGTCATTTGCAACAACATGGATGGAACTGGAGATCATTATATTAAGTGAAATAAGCGAGGCAGAGAAGACAAACTTCACATATTCTCACTTATTTGTGAGAGCCAAAAATTAAAACAATTGAACTCATGGTGATAGAGAGTAGAAAGATGGTTACCAGCAGCTGGGAGGGTAGTGGGACACTGTGGGGGATGGAAATAGTCATTTGGCAGAAAAAATAGTTAGAATAAGACCTAGTATTTTCTAGCACAACAGGATATACTCAAAAATAATTTAATTGTACATTTTAACATAACTAAAAGTATAATTGGATTGCTTGTAACACAAAGGATAAATGCTTAAGGGTACCCCATTTTCCCTGATGTGATTTTTATGCATTGCATAATAATCATTGCATTATAATATGCATTCTATATCAAAATATCTCATGTAATCCATAAATGTATACACCTACTATGTACTCATAATAATTAAAAATTAAAAAAATTAGCCAGGTGTGGTGGCATACACCTGTAATCCCAGCTACTTGGGAGGCTGAGGCAGGAGAAATGCTTGATCCTGAGAGGTTGAGGCTGCAGTGAGCCATGATCCCACCACTGCGTTCCAGTCTGGGCAACACAATGAGACCCTGTCTCAAAAAAAGAAATTAATTAATTAAAAATTTTCCCACAGAGAAAATCTGGGAATGGATGGCTCCACTAGTGAGTTCCATCAAATACTTAAAGAAGAAAGGATAATTCTTTACAAATTCTTTCAGAAAATAGATGAGAGGGAATACTTCCCAACTTATTCTATGAAGCCAGTATTATTCTCATACCAGAGCTAGACAAAGACATCACGAGGGAAAAACAAAACAGAGCTACACACCAATATTCCTATGGTGTGTAGTACCATAGACATAGACACAAAAATTCTTAAGGCTTGAGAAAACTCTTTTTCTCCTGAAACTGGTTTTGCAGGTGGTTACTCATGTGAAAACTTACCAAATTGTTTAAATACATGCAGTTTATTCTATATCACTTTATAACTTAATAAAGCTGTTTAAGAAAAATGTTAGTAAGCTGAATCTGGCAACATACAAAAAGGATTTTGTAAAATGACCAAATGGAATATATACCAAGAATGAAAGATTGGTTCAACACTGAAAATCAGTATAATAAAAAACAAAAACTATGTGACTATTTCAATAGATGCAGCAAAAGGCATTTAGCAAAACCAACGTCTATTCATGGCAAAAACTCTCAACAATCTAGGAATAAAAGGGAATTTCCTCAACTTGATAATGGGCATTTTTTAAAAACCCTAGCTAACATCCTACAGAATGGTGAAAGACTGAGTGTTTTTCCCCTATAATAGGAAACAAGCAAGGGTGTCTGCTTTCAACACTTCTGTTCAAAGTTGCACTGGATGTTCTAGCCGGTTCTGTTCCACGTTGCACTGGATGTTCTAGCCAGTTCTGTTCCACGTTGCACTGGATGTTCTAGCCGGTTCTGATCCACGTTGCACTGGATGTTCTAGCCGGTTCTGATCCACGTTGCACTGGATGTTCTAGTCGGTTCTGTTCCACGTTGTACTGGATGTTCTAGCCGGTTCTGTTCCACGTTGAACTGGATGTTCTAGTTGGTTCTGTTCAACATTGTACTGGATGTTCTGGCTAATACTGTTCAACGTTGCACTGGATGTTCTAGTTGGTTCTGTTCAATGTTGTACTGGATGTTCTAGCTGGTGCAATCAAGCAAAAGAAAAGAAAGAAAAGGAAGCATCCAGATTGGAAAAAAAAGTAAAATTGGCTTTATTCACAGATGACATAATCCTCTATATAAAAAATTTCTAGGAATCAATAATAATAATAAAACCACTGAAACTAATAAATGATGTTAGCATGGTCAAAGGGTACAAGATCAATATATAAACACTATACTTCTATATACTAGCAGTGAATAATCTTAAAATGAAGTTAAGTAAACAATTTCTTTCACAGCATCAAAAAGAATAAAATAGTAATACATTTAATAAAAGAAGTAAAAATGTGGCCGGGCACGGTGGCTCATGCCTGTAATCCCAGCACTATGGGAGGCTGAGGCTGGTGGATCACGATGTCAGGAGATCGAGACCATCCTGGCTAACATGGTGAAACCCCGTCACTACTAAAAATACAAAAATTAGCCAGGCATGGTGGCAGGCGACTGTAGTCCCAGCTACTCGGGAGGCTGAGGCAGGAGAATCGCTTGAACCCAGGAGGCGGAGGTTGCAGTGAGCCGAGATTGTGCCACTGCACTCCAGCCTGGCAACAGAGCGTGACTCCGTCTCAAAAAAAATAATAAAATAAAAAATAAAAAAGGAAGTACAAACTTGTATGTTGGAAACTACAAAACATTACTCAGAGATATTAACAAATATTTAAATAAACAAAGACATTTCATATTAGTGGATTGAAAGGCTGAATACTATCAATATGGCAATTCTCCTCACATTGATCTATGAATTAAATGCAATTCCTGTCAAAATCCCACCAGACTTTTTGGTAAAAATTGGCAAGCTGAACATAAAATTTATAATGACATGCAAAGAACATAGAATAGCAAAACAATTTTGAAAAAGAATAAAGTTGTAAGACTTACACTACTTGATTTTAAATTTGCTATAAAGCCACAGTGATCAAGACAGTGTGATATTAGCAAGAGGATAAGTAAATAGATCAATGGAAAATAACTAAGGATCTAGAAATACATTGTAACATTTATGGCCAATTAATTTTTGACATAGTTACCCAGATAATTCAATGATGAAAGGTAGACTTTAGTAAATGATTCTGGGTAAATGGATGCCTATATGCCAAAGGAGGAGAAGGAGAAGACTTGCCTTACACGTCATACATGAAAATTAGCTGAAAACGGGTCAGAGACCTAAAAGTAAGAGCTAAAACTATAATACAATAGAAAATTGTTGTAAATTTGGGTTGGGTAAAGAGATTCCAGATATAACAACAAAAGCATGATCCATGAAATAAAAGCATTGATAAATTGAACTTTGTCAATATATAAAAACTTTTGTTTCAAAAGACAGTATGAAGAAAGTGAGAAGACAAGCCACAGTCTAAAAGAAAATATTTGCAAATCATTTATCTGATAAAAGACTTGTATTCAGAACACTTATGACTCAATAATAAGACAAGCAACCCAATTTTGCAAATGAGCAAAAGATCTGAATATATATATATTTTTTTCACCAAAGAAGCTACAGAAATGGCTAATAAGCACATACAAAGATGCTCAACGTCATTATTCATTAGGGAACAGCAAAGTTAACCACAATGAGATACCAGTAAAAATTCAATAGAATGGCTATAATAAGAAAAACAGACAATACCTAGTGTAGGCAAGTATGTGGAGAAACGAGCCTTCATGCTTTGCTAGTGAGATGTAAAAATAGCAGTCACTTTGGAGAACAGTTTGACCATTACTTAAAAAGTTAACCATAAACTTACCGCATGACTCTGCAATGCTACTTCTAGATAGCTAAGAGAAAATGAAAACTTATGTCTGTATAAAGTCGTTTATGATAATGTTTATAGCAATATTATTATTATTATTATTATTATTATTATTATTTTGAGACGGAGTCTCACTCTGGCCCAGGCTGGAGTGCAGTGGCACGATCTCGGCTCACTGCAAGCTCCGCCTCCCGGGTTCACGCCATTCTCCTGCCTCAGCCTCCTGAGTAGCTGGGACTACAGGTGCCCGCCACCATGCCTAGCTAATTTTTTGTATTTTTAGTAGAGACGGGGTTTCACCGTGTTAGCCAGGATGGTCTCGATCTCCTGATCTCGTGATCCGCCCACCTCGGCCTCCCAAAGTGCTGGGATTACAGGCGTGAGCCACCGCACCCGACCAGCAATATTATTTATAATAGCCAGAAACTGGAAACAACCCAAAATGTCTATCAACTGCTGACTGGATAAAGAAAAGTGAAAGCAACTCAAATGTCCATCAAATGATGCCTGGATAAACAAACGTGGTATAGCCATAACGATGGAATACTGTTCAGCAATTAGAAGAGGGGGGAAGTGCTGATACATGCGATGTGAATAAACCTCAAAAACATGATGCTGATGTCAAGAAGCTAGACAGAAAAGTCATCGCATGTATGATTTTGTGGATATAAAATGTCTAGAAAATGCAAATTTGTAGAGTGAAAAATCACATCAGTAGTTGCCTAAGGATAGGAGTAGGAACAGGGGTTAAATGTAAATGGGCATAAAGAACTTTGGTAATGAAGATGTTCTAAGGCTGCATTGTGGTCATGGTAGTAAAACTCTATGAATTTACTAGTATCACTGAATTGAATACTTACAATCGACACATTTTGTGGCATGTGAATTGTATTTCAATAAAACTTAATTAAGGCCACTGAGTTTGACTATTGGAAATGAGAGAGATAAAAGCAGAAATAAATGAGGTCGAAAGCAGAACAACAGCAGAACTAATAAATAAAAACATTTGTTTTTGAAGAACGTTAACAAAATAGAAAACTCGGTGTTCTAATCCAGCAAAAAGAGAAAAAGTACAAATATACAAAATAAGACATACAAAGAGGAAATAACTACTGAAACAAAAGATAGATGTTTTTTAAATCATAAAAGACGTTTTTGCCCAACTCTAGGCAAAAACATTTTGAAGACCTAGATGAAATGATTAAATTCTTAGGAAAATTGAATTTTCCAAGATTTACCTCAGAAGACTCAACAGCCTACTTTTCATCAAATAAACTTGTGAAGAACCACCCCACAAAAAAGTAACAGATTTTGATGGTTTCATAGGAAAATGCTGCCAAACTTCAAAGACCAGATAATCCCAATGCTCATAAATTATTCCAGAATAAATAATACTTCTGGCCGGGCGTGATGGCTCACACCTGTAATCCCAGTACTTTCAGAGGCCGAGGCAGACGGATCACGACGTCAGGAGATCAAGACCATCCTGGCTAACATGGTGAAACCCCGTCTCTACTAAAAATACAAAAATTAGCCGGGCGTGGTGGTGGGCACCTGTAATCCCAGCTACTCAGGAGGCTGAGGCAGGAGAATCACTTGAACCCAGGAGTCGGAAGTTGCAGTGAGCCGAGATCGCGCCACTGCACTCCAGCCTGGCAACAGAATGAGACTCCGTTTCAAAAAAGAACAAACAAACAAACAAAAAAACTTCCGAATTTCTGGAGCAATTATAACAATACTATGTTAACCTAAAAAAGTATCACAGAAAATGAAAACAAAAATTGATTTCACTTGTCAACAGTGATGCAAATATCTTAAGTCATAAACAGAGTGAGGTATTGAAGTCTTCAATTATTACTCTAGAATATTGCTCTCATGAATTCTGTCAGTTTTTGCTTTATATATTTTTATGGTCTGTTATTAGATATATAAGTATTATAATGTCCTATGTTGAATATTTTATTAATCTACAAGGTTATTCTTTGTCTTGTGATCTGTTTTGGTTTAAAGGCTATTTTGTCTGATGCAACCATCACTGCTTTCTTTGGGATATTTACATGGAATATCTTTTTCAATCCTTTCACTTTCTACTATTTGTGTTTTTGGATGTAAAGTCAGTCTCTTATAACAGCATATAGTGGAATTATGTATTTTTATTCAATCTTCAAATGTAAGTCTTTTGATTGAAAAGTTTATCATTTACATGTAAATTAACTACTAATGAGGAAGTTTTTTTTTTGAGATGGAGTTTCGCTCTGTCACCCAGGCTGGAGTGCAGTGGCGCAATCTCAGCTCACTGCAACCTCCGCCTCCCGGGTTCAAGTGATTCTACTGCCTCAGCCTCCCGAGTAGCTGGGACTACAGATGCGTGCCACCACGCCCAGCTAATGTTTGCATTTTTAACAGAGACGAGGGTTTCACCATATTGGTCAGGCTGGTCTCGAACTCCTGACCTCAGGTGATCCACCTGTCTCAGCCTCCCAAAATGCTGGGATTACAGGTGTGAGCCACCGTGCCTGGCCGGAAGATATTATTTCTGTCATTTTGCTTTGTTTTTGAAGTGGCTTATAAGCGTTTTTATCTCTAATTTCCTGCATTGCTGTCTTCTTTTGTGTTTATTTATCTATTTTTTTTGAGAGGGAGTTTTGCTCTTGTTGCTCAAGCTGGAATGCAATGGCACAATCTCGACTCACTGCAACCTCTGCCTCCCGGGTTCAAGCAACTCTCCTGCCTCAGCCTCCTGAGTAGCTGGGATTACAGGCGCACACCACCATGCCCGGCTAATTTTTTGTATTGTTAGTAGAAACAGGGTTTCACCATGTTAGCCAGGCTGGTCTCAAACTCCTGACCTCAGGTGATCCACCCACCTTGGTCTCCCAAAGTGCTGGGATTACAGGGGTGAGCCACTGCGCCCGACCTAGTTGATTTTTTATAGTGGAATGTTTAAATTCCTTTCTGATGTTCTTTTGTGTCTGTTCTATAGCTATTTTTTGTGGTTGCCATGAGGAGTACATTTAACATCGGAAACGATAACGCTCTAATTTGAATTTTTACCAGTTTAACTTTAATAACAGGTGAGAACTCTGCTCCTTTAAAGCTCTGCTCCCACCCCTTTGATTTGCTGATGTCACAAAATTACATCCTTATACATTGCATGCCCCAAAACATACATTAATCCTTCTTTTAAATGCATTAATCTCTTAAATTATGTTTAAAAAAAAAGAAAATGTGGAGTTATAAACCAGAGTTACAATAATGCTATCGTTTGGTCTAATGATTATTTTATGGTCTACTCAAATTTTTTTTTCTTTTGAGACAGTGTCTCACTCTGTCACCCAGGCTGGAGTGCAGTAGCACAAACATGGCTCACCGCAGCCTCAAACTCCTGGGTTCTCCCAAGTCAGCCTCCCAAGTAGCTGAGACTATAGGCATGTGCCACCATGCCTGTAGGGTCTAGCCCTACAGGGTCTGTGGGATTTTCTCCCCATGTGCGGAGACGAGAGATCATAGAAATAAAGACACAAGACAAAGAGATAGAAGAAAAGACAGCAGGGCCCGGGGGGCCACTACCGCCAAGACGCGGAGACCGGTAGTGGCCCCGAATGCCTGGCTGTGCTGTTATTTATTGGATACAAGACAAGGGGGCAGGGTAAGGAGCGTGAGCCATCTCCAATGATAGCTAAGGTCATGTGGGTCACGTGTCCACTGGACAGGGCACCTTTCCCTGTTTGGCAGCCGAGGCGGAGAAAGAGACAGCTTACGCCATTACTTCTGCATTTCAAAGACTTTTAGTACTTTCACTAATTCTGCTACTGCTATCTAGAAGGCAGATCCAGGTGTACAGGGTGGAACATGAAAGTGGACCAGGAGCGTGACCGCAGAAGCACAGCATCACAGGGAGACGGTCAGGCCTCCGGATGACTGCGGGCGGGCTTGACTGATGTCAGGACCTCCACAAGAGGTGGTGGAGCAGAGTCTTCTCTACCTCCCCCGGAGAAAGGGAGATTCCCTTTCCCGGTCTGCTAAGTAACCGGTGCCTTTTCTAAGCACTGACGCTACCGCTAGACCATGGTCCGCTTGGCAACGGGCGTCTTCCCAGGCGCTGGCTTCACCGCTAGACCCAGGAGCCCTCTGGTGGCCCTGTCCGGGCATAACAGGAGGCTCGCACTTGTCTTCTGGTCACTTCTCACTGTGTCCCCTCGGCTCCTATCTCTGTATGGCCTGGTTTTTCCTAGGTTATGATTGTAGAGCAAGGATTATTATAATATTGGAATAAAAAGTAATTGCTACAAACTGTGATTAATGATATTCATATATAATCATATCTATGATCTATATCTAGTATAACTATTCTTATTTTATATATTTTCTTTATTATACTGGAACAGGTCGTGCCCTTGGTCTCTTGCCTCAGCACCTGGGTGGCTTGCCGCCCACACATGCCCGGCTAATTTTTTGTATTTTTTGTAGAGACGGGGTTTCACCATGTTGCCCAGACTGGTCTCCAACTCCTGGACTCAAGCAATCCACCCGCCTTTGCCTCCCAAAGTGGAGATTACAAGTGTGAGCCACCATGCCCGGCCAAATTTTCTATTCTACATGACTCAGTCTTGTTAAGTTATATGTTTCCAGGAATTTATTCATTTTTTTCTGGGTTATTTACATTTTTTTGCTGTACATTTTCTTGTAGTATTCTCTCATGATCCTTTGTATGTCTGTGGTATCAGTTATAATGTCTCCTCTTTCATTTCTGATTTTGAGTCATTTCTCCTTTTTTCTTAGTCTAGCTAAAGGATTGTCAATTTTATTTATCTTTTCAAAAACCAACTCTTAGTTTTGTTGATCTTTCTATCATTTTTATAGTTCTATTTCATTTATTTCTGCTCTGATGTTTGCTATGTCCTTACTTCTACTAACATTGGGTTTAATTTGTTCTTTTCCTAGTTTCTGGAGGTGTAATGCTAGCTTGTTTATAATCTTTTTTAGCATAGGCATTTAGCACTATAATGATCCCTCTTAGAACTGCTTTTGCTGCATTCCATAAGTTTTCATATGCTGTGTTTCCATTTTTTCAAGTCTTAAGATAATTCTAAATTTCCCTTTTGATTTCTTCCCATTGGTTGACCCATTGGTTGTTCAGGAGTATGTTGTTTAATTTCCACATATTCGTGGTTTCTATTTGCATAGAACATTTTATTCTATTCCTTCACTTTCAGCCTATGTGTATCCTTAAAACTGAAGTATGTCTCTTATAGGTAGCGTATGGTTGGGACTTGTTTGGGTTTTTTTCTAATCCACTTAGCTACTGTCTGTCTTTTGACTAGATAATTTAATTCATTTATATTCAAGGTAATTATTGATGGGTAAGGACTTACTATGGTCATTATGTTAATTGTTTTTCTGACTGTTTTATAGATCCCTTTGTCCTTTCCTCCTCCCTTGCTGTTTTCCTTTGTGATTTGATCATTTTCTCTAGGTGATATGCTTTGGTTCATTTCTCTTCATTTTTCATGTATCTACCATAGGTTTTTGTGTTGTAGTTACAATGAGGCTCACGTATAACATAGTTATAATAGTCTATTTTAAGCTTATAACAACTTAACTTTGCATATAAAAACCACATCTTTACTCCTCCTCTATTTTATGTTTATGATATTACAATTTACATCTTTTTATATTGTGTATCTACTAACAAATGGTTGTAGCTATAGTTATTTTTAGTAGTTTTGTTGGCTGGGCACAATGGCTCACACCTGTAATCCCAGCACTTTGGGAGGCCGAGGTGTGTAGATCGCCTGAGGTCAGGAGTTTGAGACCAGCCTGGCCAACATAGGGAAACACCGTCTCTACTAAAAATACAAAAAATCAGCTGGGCGTGGTCGTGGGCACCTGTAATCCCAGCTACTCGGGAGGCTGAGGCAGGAGAATTGCTTGAACCCGAGAGACAAAGGTTGCAGTGAGCTGAGATCGTGCCACTGCACTCCAGCCTGGGCAACAAGAGCAAAACTCCCTCTCAAAAAAAAATTAATTTGTCTTTTAATCTTTATACTAGAAATATAAGTGATTTACAGATCACCATTATAGCATTAGAGTATTCTGAATATGACTGTATGCTTTTACTAGTTTTATACTTTCATATGTTTTCATGTTACTAATTAGCAACTTCACTTCAGCTTAAAGAACACCCTTTAGCATTTCTAGTAAAGCAGGCCTAGTGGCGATGTACTCCCTCAGCTTTTGTTTGGGAAAATCTTTCTCTCTCTTTCATTTCTGAAAGACAGCTTTAGGGATAAAGTATTCTTGATTAGCAGTGTATTTTTCTTTCAGCCCTTGGAAAATATCATCCCACTCCCTCCTAGCCTGCAAAGTTTCTGCTGAGAAATCCACTGATAATCCTTCGTGATTTTCTCTTGCTACTTTCAAGATAGTCTTTGCCTTTAATTTTTTTTTAAGCAGGGACTGCTCTGTCACCCAGATGGAAGTGCAGTGGCAAGATCCTGAATCGCTGCACCTCAACATCCTGGGGTCAAGTGATCCTCACCTCAACATCCTGGGGTCAAGTGATCCTATCACCTCAGCCTCCCAATTAGCTGGCACTACAAGCACATGCCATCACTTCTGGCTAATTTTTATGTGTGGAGACATGGTCTCACTATGTTCCTCAGGGTGGCTTCCAACTCCTGGGCTCAAGTGATCCTTCTGCCTCAGCCTTCCAAAGTGCTGAGAATACAAGTATGAGCCACCACGCCTGGCCTGTCTTTGATTTTTGATGGTTTGATTATAATATGTCTTGGTGATATTTTCTACCTGATTAGAGACTTTTGAGCTTCATGCACATAAATGTTCATATCTATCCCCAGACTTGGGACATTTTCAGCCATTAGCTGCAAACCTTGTGGGGCATTGTTGGATTCCCCTCTTTTTGTGGCTTCTTATCATCTTCCCGATTGCTCCAAAACCTGTCCTAGCTTATCACCCTAGATGTTCAAAAGATATTTGGTTTGTAAAGTGTCTTTATTTATTCTCCCATCTAGTTTCCTCTCCAGGTTGGCTACCCTGTTTCTTCATTTACTGTGCTATCACCCATAGTGTTTCTTGTTGACATGCTTTAGGTTTTGAATTTGTGAGTATGAATTCTTTCTAGTTTCTGTGATATTTTTCACTGTTTCTTCTTCCATTTGAACTTTCGTTTCATGAAATTAGAAAAACTCTATGAAATTTTCAGTAGGTTTTTTAAAGACAGGGTCCCACTCTCTCACCAAGGCTGGAGTGCAGTGGTGTGACCATAGCTCACTGCAGCCATAAACTCTTGGACTCAAGCAGTCCTCCCACCTCAGACTTCTGAGCAGCTGGGATGACAGGCAATGCCCCACCAGGCCTGGCTAATTTTTAAAAATTTTTTGTAGAGGCAGAGTCTGGCTAAGTTGCCCAGGCTGGTCTTGAAGTCCTCAGTTCAAGCAATCCTCCCACCTTCACCTCCCAAAGTGCTGGGATTACAGGCATGAGCGCCGTGCCTGGCCTTGAGTAGAATTATATTGAATAGACAAGTTAACTTGACATTATTTACTCTTCCCATTAAAGTACATCAGAAGTTTCTGTTATTGTATATACATATGCCTCCTCCTGACTTCTTCTTATTAAAATTTGGAGTCTTTACCCATTGCTTCAACTTCTACTCCCATTTTATTCCGAGAATCTAGCTTTTGCTCCCTGTATCCTACCAACAACATTCTTCACATATTCTACCAACAACATTCTCCTGAAAGACACCTTTGACTTTGAGGCAAATTTTAGAACCTCCACTTTTTCAGAGGTTGACATCTTCTCTTATAGCTTTTCATAATTGGCTTATTATTCACCCTCCTGCCTTTTGAATTGGGTCTTCTCTTTGTCTTCCACTGTCCTGTTTTACTTATTTAAGTTTTCTCTAAATTCTTTGATATCTTTGGTCTTGTTTCTGTATAGACATTCTTCATTCAGCAAAGTTATTTATTATTTCCATATTACTTACAATTTGTTAGGTTTTATAGCTGTGATGTTGCTATTTACCAGGTTTATAGGGATGAATAAAGTAGATTCTCAAGATTATGGTTTACAGAGAGCACTAGGGGAAAGAGAAGCAAGAAAGAAAGCTTTGAAAGAGCAGCCATTGACTTTGAAGGAAATCCGGGAAAGGATGGCATCCAGGAAGTGGGAGAAGAAATGTTTTCAAGGTGGAGAGAGCTCCTGATACTTCAAGACTTTTCTGAGGTAAAACATGCGGTGCTGAGAATTTTTTTTATTTCTAAAAATCAAACAGAGACTCTAAGAGAGAAGACTCAGAGCCAAACAATCATGGATGTAAGTCAGCAAAGGCTGGAAGGTAGTGATAACTTCACAGAATTGAAAAGTTGGGATCCTGTTATACAGAAACAACCGGCTATGCCTTGGGATCAAAATTCAGAACAATCAAATGGAAATTACAGTGAAGATGAATAAAAGGGAAAGCAGAAATGGAGAGGAGGAGGAGAAGCAGGCAGAAAGAGAGAAGGAGAAAAACAAGAGGAAACATTAAAGGAGCTGGAAGATGAACAGGAAAAAGAAAGCAAAAAAGAAAATGAAAAACAAAATATCCCAAGAAAAGACTAGTCAGCAAATCCCTCATGGAAACTCTTTGGGCAAAGTTTAAATTAAGCAGATGCCCCACAATACAAGAGAGTCTATTACTCTCATTTGAATTTGGCATGACACATAAACAGATATGTCAATGGTTTTGTAAAAAGGGGACGAAATATAATACAGAAATGTCCAAGGGAAAGCATAATAAAAAACATAAGAGATGAGGGTCTTGCTGAGTTGCCAAGGCTGTTCTTGAACTCCTGCCCTCAAGCGATCTTCCTACCTTGCTCTCCAGAAGTGTTGTGATTACAAGCATGAGCCACCCATACCTGGCTAAGATGTTTTATATGACACCATTCTCACAAATAAATGGAGTTCGGAAAGGATAAACAAGAAAATATTAACAATCGTTAATTTTGTGGAGTAGAACTAAATGAGGGCAGTGCAAAGTGGTTCCTGGACATTCTATTTTTACCCTACTGTGGATTTAACATTTTTATAATGGACAATAATTGATTTTATTTAAGAAAAAAATCAATAAGGAAAGTATCAACCTCTGGGGGGAAAAAAGATTATGGTTTAAATCTTTGACAGACAACTAGACTGGAAATTACTACCAAAAAAAAAAAAAACGTGTTTCAGTGGAAAGCTATGTGTTGGTCACATACTGTACAACCTTCCTCAAAGTTATCTGATTCCAGACATATTTCATTATCTTTTAGCTATTTTTTAAAAAACTCGTTGGGCCGGGCGCGGTGCCTCACGCCTGTAATCCCAGCACTTTGGGAGGCCGAGGCGGGTGGATCACGAGGTCAAGAGATCGAGACTATCCTGGCTAACATGGTGAAACCCCGTGTCTACTAAAAATACAAAAAATTAGCCAGGCGTGGTAGCGGGCGCCTGTAGTCCCAGCTACTCGGGAGGCTGAGGCAGGAGGATGGCGTGAACCCGGGAGGCGGAGCTTGCAGTGAGCCGAGATCACGCCACTGCATTCCAGCCTGGGCGACAGAGCAAGACTCTGTCTCAAAAATAATAATAATTTTAAAAAAGTAAAAACTCTTTGTGGGTTGTAGGGTATCTTAGTCCATTTGTGCTTCTATAACAAAATACCTGAGGCTGGGTAATTCATAAAGAACAGAAACTTATTTATCATAGTTCTGAGGGCTAGAAGATCTAGATCAAGGCACCAGCAGGTTTGGTGTCTGCTAAGAGCCCAGTGTCTGCCTCCAAGACGGCATCTTGTAACCACACCCTCCAGAGGGGAGGAAAGCTGTGTCCTCACAGGGCCAAAGGGATGGAAGGGGCAAAAAGGGCCAAACTCCCTCCATTAAGCCTTTTATTTTATTTTATTTTATTTTATTTTATTTTATTTTTTGAGACAGAGTCTTACTCTGTCCCCCAGGCTGGAGTGCAGTGGCGCGATCTTGGCTCACTGCAACCTCCGCCTCCCCGGTTCAAGCAATTCTCTGCCTCAGCCCCCCAAGTAGCTGGGATTGCAGGCGCCCACCACCACGCCCAGCTAATTCTTGTATTTTTAGTAGAGATGGGGTTTCACCATCTTGGCTAGGCTGGTCTTGAACTCCTAACCTCGTGATCCACCCGCCTTGGCCTCCCAAAGTGCTGGGATTACAGTCGTGAACCACCGCGCCCGGCCCCATTAACCCTTTAATAATGGCATTAATCCATTTATGAGGGCAGAACACTCATGACCTAACACCTCTGCCAAGGCCCCACCTCCCAACAGTGTTGCATTGGGGATTAAATTTCCAAGTTTGGGGGACATATTCAGACCATAGTATAGGAAAAGACAGGCATGCAGAACTCTTGTTTGGTAGAGTTTGTCTCCCTCCTGGGGAAAATGTATTTTTTTCTTAATTTGAAATTCTTTTTTTTTTCACAGTCTCACTCTGTCACCCTAGGCTGGAGTGCAGTGGCTGCAATCTCTGCTCACTGCAACCTCTGCCTCTCAGGTTCAAGCAATTCTTGTGCCTCAACCTCCCAAGTAGCTGGAATTATAGGAACCTGCCACCACGCCTGGCTAGTTTTTGTATTGTTAGTAGAGACAGGGTTTCGCCATGTTGGCCAGGCTGGTCTTGAACTCCTGACCTCAAGTGATCTGCCCGTCTCAGCCTCCCAAAGTGCTGGGATAAGAGACGTGAGCCACCGCCCCCAGCCTATGTAGCCATTTGATGTAAACTGTTTGAGCTTATACCTGGCTTGGAACCACTGTTGTCTGTAAGTGATATAACTGCACTGCTGACTCTGTAGGGGAGAGAATAAAGCCATGTCCCAACCACCTTCGGTCCCTTCAGTGTTCTTTCTGCTGCCCACCACCCATCCACCAACTCCACTCAGACTCCAGCTCAGGTTGGAACCTAACAGAATCCCAAAGCTGAAGAACTTGGAGTCCAGTGTTCGAGGGCAGGAATCATCCAGCGTGGGAGAAAGACATAGGCTGAGAGGCTAAGCCAGTCTAGTCTTTTCATGTTCTTCTGCCTGCTTTTTTTTTTTTTTTTTTGAGACGGAGTCTCACTCTGTCGCCCAGGCTGGAGTGCAGTGGCACGATTTCAGCTCACTGCAACCTCTGCCTCCTGGGTTCAAGCAATTCTCTGCCTCAGCCTCCCGAGTAGCTGGGATTACAGGTGCCTGCCACCACGCCCAGCTAATTTTTGTGTATTTTTAGTACAGACGGGATTATATCATCTTGGCCAGGCTGGTCTTGAACTCCTGACCTCGTGATCCACCCGCCTCGGCCTCCCAAAGTGCTGGGATTACAGGCGTAAGCCACTGCACCTGGCCCTCTGCCTGCTTTTTATTCTGGCTGCACTGGTAGGTGATTAGATGGTGCCCTCCCAGATTAAGGGTGCGTCTGCTTTTCCAAGTCCACTGACTCAAATGTTAATGTCCTTTGGCAACACCCTCACAGACACACCCAGGATCAATACTTAGCATCCTTCAATCCAATCAAGTTGACACTCAGTGTTGACCATCACATAGTGGAAGAGCAGCCCCCATTTTCTTTATGTTAGTCACTTTATCAACATCATTCCTTTTTTTTTTTTGAGATGAAGTCTCGCTTTTGTCCCCCAGGTTGGAGTGCAATGGCGTGATCTCGGCTCACTGCAGCCTCCGCCTCCTGGATTCAAGCAATTCTCCTGCCTCAGCCTCCTGAGTAGCTGGGATTACAGGTGTCCGCCACCATGCCCAGCTAATTTTTGTATTTTTAGTAGAGACAGGGTTTCACCATGTTGGCCAGGCTGGTCTCTATCTCCTGACCTCAGGTGGTCAGCCCGCCTTGGCCTCCCTAAGTGCTGGGATTACAGGCGTGAGCCACTACGCCCAGCCCATCATTCCTTATTCTTAAAACAACTCTATGAGGATCTTTTTATTATGCTCTGATATAGTTTGAATATATGAAACTAGATATAGTTTGAATGTATGTTCCCACCCAAATCTCATGTTGAAATGTAATCCCCAGTGTTGGAGGTGGAGCCTGGTGAGAGGTGTTTGGGTCATGAGGATAGATCTCTCGTGGTTCGGTGTAATCCAATAATGAGTGAGTTCTCACAAGACATGGTTGTTTCTTTTTTTCTTTTTTTTTTTTTTTTGAGACAGTCTCACTCTGTCGCCCAGGCTGGAGTGCAGTGGCGCAATCTTGGCTCACGGCAAGCTCCACCTCCCGGGTTCACACCATTCTCCTGCCTCAGCCTCCCGAGTAGCTGGGACTACAGGTGTCCACCACTGTGCCCGGCTAATTTTTTGTATTTTTAGTAGAGACAGGGTTTCACTGTGTTAGCCAGGATGGTCTTGATCTCCTGACCTCGTGATCCGCCCACCTCAGCCTCCCAAAGTGCTGGGATTACAGGTGTGAGCCACCTCGCCTGGCCAAGATCTGGTTGTTTAAAAGTGTGGTGCCTCCTCCATTTTTCTGCCATTTCTGCCGCATGAGATGCCTGCTCCACTCCATGTTCCACAATGACTGGAAGCTTCCAAAGCCTTCCCCAGAAGCAAATGCCAGGACTGTTTCCTGTACAGCCTGCAGAGCTGTAAGCCAAATAAACCTATTTTCTTATAATTACCCAGTCTCAGGTATTTCTTTATAGCAATGCAAGAATGGACTGACACCTGCTCATTGTGAAGAAACAAGCATAGAAAATTTGCTATTTGCCCAAGGACATAGGTAGCAATTGAAGGACTTATGGTATAAAGTCTGGGTCATTAGGGATCCAAATCCTGAGTTCTTTTCTTTATTCCATTTACCCCCAGTTGTCTCAGGATCCTTGGGGTGTTGCTTTTCCAGCCAGAAACCTCTGTGGCCTGTGGCGCCTTTGCCCGAGTTTTGCTCAGGCCCTCTAGACTCATTCTGTCCACTCAGCCTGGCATGTTGTGCTTGGCTCATGCCACCTGTCTGGACCCTGCGCTTGGCTCGCGCCACCTGCCTGGATCCTGCGCTTGGCTCGCGCCACCTGCCTGGATCCTGCGCTTGGCTCGCGCCACCTGCCTGGATCCTGCGCTTGGCTCGCGCCACCTGCCTGGATCCTGCGCTTGGCTCGCGCCACCTGTCTGGATCCTGCGCTTGGCTCGCGCCACCTGTCTGGATCCTGTGCTTGGCTTGCGCTACCTGTCTAGATCCTATGCCTGCAAAGGCTGAGTCAGGCGTGGCGCGATGAGGAGTGTGTGAGCGAGCATGGGGTCTGGCCGCTACACAGTAGACATGCCGGCTGCTGCAGTGGGGTGGGCAGCTCCAGGTGCTGGAATAGGCACCAGCTCTCGGCAAAGCTGTGGCTGGACCAGGTACACCACAAGCAGCTTCAACAGCTGGCACTGGGAAACGCAGTGGCATTCAGAAGCTTGGTGATGCCAAGGACCACAGGGCCCCTAAGAGGGAGTCACAGCCCTGGCTCAGGGAGCTTCCAGGTCTGGGATCCCCGAAGGGCCGCAGCTCTTCTCTCCTCTGCACTCGCAACATGGTGAGCAAGGGGCATGTTTCAGCCCTGTTTGTGTTACAGCTCTTTTAGCCCCACCATTCAACAGATCCTGAGTTCTTGTCCTGCGACCAGGAAGAAAGAGGTACACGGACAAGTGAAGGGTGAGCGAGGTGAAGAGGAGCTTTATTGAGCAATAGAACAGCTCAGAGGAGACCCACAGTGGGTAGCTCCTTTCTGCAGCCAGGGTGTCCTGACAAGCATTCAGCTCCTAGCAGAGAGAACACCCTGGAGTCGGAGGTGTTCTCACTCTCTACAAGCAGGTCATCCCATTATCTCTGCAGCTTTCAGCAGAGAGGAGGCCCTGGACTGGGTAGCTCTTCTCCACAGCTGGTTATCCTGACACCTGCTCAGCTCTGGCTGAGCCTGGGGCTTTCATGGGCCTCAGAGAGGAGAAAGAGCCTTCCAATGGGTCCATGGGTGGCTGTGGGTGGGCCTGGAAAAGGCACCACAAGTTCCCGCTCTGGTCTGCGGGACTGGGAGCCCGGCCCCCAGCCTTCTAGCCCTTCCTGGCCTCAAGGTGGGGCTCACCAGGGACACGCCCCCTTCCACCCAGGAACCTGTCTGCCTCCTGCTGTCTTCATGGTGCCCAGGCTGGGCAGTGCCAAGCTGCCCTCAGCCCCCCATCATCTTCCCTCCTATGCTCATCAGTGCCCAATGTCCAGAGGGGGCTGAGGCAGCAAGGGACTGGCGGGTCAGCACTGCCTTGAGAGCGTGCACACCCAGCCAGGCTGTGACAGTGCCCAGGCTTGGCCCCAGCTTTGCTCCGAGATTGGAGCAGGCACCGACAGCAGAGAAAAGCCAGGCAGGGGGAGCAGGCATTTCCCAGCCTGCGAGGTCAGGGGGGTCTTCCTGGGCCCTCCAGAGTGCAGAGATGCCTGGGTCTGCAGTCATGGTTTGCAGCTGCGTGGGAAGGAGGGGCGGGGTGGGATTCCTGCCTGTTTCATGGAGCCAGAGGCTCAGATCTGCAGCCACAGTTTGGACAGCTGCAGCTGTGTCCAGGAGGGTGGGGCTCCAGCCTGCTCCCCACCCTGAGAGCACGGGGATACCTGGGTGGTTTGGGCAGCTGCAGTGGCACCTGGGGAACTCCCACCCCAACTTGGAAGGGACGACGTGCTCACTTGTCCCCAGCTCCATGGAGCATGTAGCCCCAGGCGTGCTCCGCTGCTGCAGCCTGCATGATGGCAGCAGGCACTCCAGACAGCCCGCCGCTGCCACAATTTAATCTTCCCTTTCTATCTAAACCCAGAGCTAATAAGGCACTGCTATAGCCTCATAACATTCCTAACAAATTGTATTTTTAGCAAATTCCAGACACATATTCTATGCCCAGTTCTCTAACTGAAGCAAACTTAGTCACCACTTATGACCGTTCTTAGGCCGTCCTTCCACCTGGATTGTGAGATTATATCGTTGACGTAAGTTTAAATGCATAGTCCCTAATCATGCAGGCTTCCCAGAGCTATCCATATTAGACAAGAACCCTGGTCTCCTGCTACCCCAGGTCTTCTTATTCATAATTATATGAATCTTTTGTTACGTGTAAAGCTGCAACTGGCCTAAAACGACGCAGAGCTCCTTTGAGGGAAGAGAATCTACGGTTAGGAATCTACCGTTAGATTTACATGGAGGGGCGGAGAATCTACAGTTAGGAATCTACGGTTAGATTTACATGGACGGGAAAGAAAAGAGGTCCTGGAAAAGTGCGTAAGAGAAATAGACACCTGTAAAAATAATGAACGACAGGATACAGACCAGCGAAGAACAATGAGAACATTTGGGTATGTGAGACACGATAGAATCAACACAAGATAACCATTCTGTTCCTAGATGATCAGGGACAGTGTTCGGGCATTAAAAGAAGCAGAGTTAGCCGGGCCCAATGGCTCACGCCTGTAATCCCAGCACTTTGGGAGGCCAAGGAGGGCGGATCACCTGAGGCCAGGAGTTTGAGACCAGCCTGGCCAACATGGCAAATTCCCATGTCTACTAAAAATACGAAAATTAGCTGGGCATGGTGGCATGTGCCTGTAATCCCAGCTACTGGGGAGGCTGAGGCAGGAGAATCGCTTGAACCTGGGAGATGGAGATTGCAATGAGCCAAGATTGCAATGAGCCAAGATCACGCCACTGCACTCCAGCCTACAGAGACTCCATCTCAAAAAAAAAAAAAAAAAAAAAAAGAGGTAGAGTTGGGCCAGGCACGCAGTCATGGTGGCTCACGCCTGTAATTCTAGCACTTGTGCTCAGGACTTTGAGGCCAGCCTGGGCAAGATGGCAAAACCTGTCTCTACAAAAAAAATTTTCAGAAAATTATCTAGGCACGGTGGCATGTGCCTGTACTCCCTGCTACTTGGGAGGCTGAGTGGGAGGAGGCCAAGGCTGCAATGAGGCATGATCACACCCTTGCACTCCAGCCTGGGTGACAGAGTGAGACCCTGTCTCAGAAGAAAAAGCAGAGTTGCAACAACATGCATTAAAAAAAAAAAAAAAAAAGTATGGCTCACGCCTGTAATCCCAGCACTTTGGGAGGCCGAAGTGGGTGGATCACGAGGTCAGGAGACGCAGACCATCCTGGCTAACATGGTGAACCCCCGTCTCTACTAAAAAATACAAAAAATTAGCCGGGCATGGTGGCGGGCGCCTGTAGTCCCAGCTACTCGGGAGGCTGAGGCAGGAGAATGGCGTGAACCCGGGAGGCGGAGCTTGCAGTGAGCCGAGATCGCGCCACTGCACTCCAGCCTGGGCGACAGAGCGAGACTCCATCTCAAAACAAACAAACGAACAAAAAAGTAAAGTTACAACAACAAATAAGCATACATGATTTCTATAGGGACCAGCCCTACAGAGCCTGTGGGTTTTTCTCTTTATGTGCGGAGACGAGAGATTGTAGAAATAAAGACACAAGGCAAAGAGACAGAAGAAAAGACAGCTGGGCCCGGGGGACCACTACCACCAAGACGCAGAGACCGGTAGTGGCCCCGAATGCCAGGCTGCGCTGTTATTTGTTGGATACAAGACAAGGGCACAGGGTAAGGAGTGTGAGCCACCTCCAATGATAGGTAAGGTCACGCGAGTCACGTGTCCACTGGACAAGGGGCCCTTCCCTGCCTGGCAGCCGAGGCAGAGAGGGGAGTGGGGAGGGAGAACAGCTTATGTCATTATTTCTTATATGCATTTCTTGGAGGAATCAACAGCTTAATACTTTCACTAATTCTGCTACTGCTATCTAGAAGGTGGAGCCAGGTGTATAGGGTGGAACATGAAAGTGGACCAGGAGCATGACCGCTGAAGCACAGCATCACAGGGAGACGTTTAGGCCTCTGGATGGCTGCAGGCGGGCTTGACTGATGTCAGGCCTTCCACAAGAGGTGGTGGAGCAGAGTCTTCCCTCATCTCCCCAAGGGAAAGGGAGACTCCCTTTCCTGGTCTGCTAAGTAACGGGTGCCTTCCCAGGCGCTGGCGCGACCGCTAGACCAGGGAGCCCTCTAGTGGCCCTGTCCGGGTGTGACAGAAGGCTCACACTTGTCTTCTGGTCACTTCTCACCGTGTCCCTTCAGTTCCTATCTCTGTATGGCCTGGTTTTTCCAAGGTTATAATTGTAGAACAAACATTATTATAATATTGGAATAAAGAGTAATGCTACAAACTAATGATTGATATTCATATATAATCATATCTATAATCTATTTCTAGTATAACTATTCTTATTCTATATATTTTCTTTATTATACTGGAGCAGCTTGTGCCCTCGGTCTCTTGCCTCGGCACCTGGGTGGTTTGCGGCACACAGATTTCTTTTACTTCTATATTTTTAAATTATTTATCTTAGGGTTCTTTTGATTGGCATGGAAACAGATGCTGGGAATGCCCTACATAATTACTACAGTAAGTTTGTATTAAGACTCTTTCGAAGTAAAAGTGAATTTGTGGCTGGGTGCAATTGCTCATACCTGTAATCCCAGCACTTTGGGAGGTCAAGGTGGGTGGATCACTAGAGCTCAGGAGTTCGAGAGCAGCCTGGGCAACATGGTGAAACCCCGTCTTTACAAAAATTAACCAGGCATTAGGCTGGACACAGTGGCTCAAGCCTGTAATCCCAGCAGTATGGGAGGCCGAGGTAGGCGGATCACCTGAGGTCAGGAGTTTGAGACTAGCCTGACCAACATGGTGAAACCCTGTCTCTACTAAAAATACAAAAAATTAGCCAGGCATGGTCGTATGTGCCTGTAATCCCAACTACTCGGGAGGCTGGGGCATGAGAATCACTTGAACCCAGGAGGTGGAGGTTGCAGTGAGCCGAGATCGTGCCACTGCACTCCAGCCTGGGCAACAGAGCTAGACTCTGCCTCAAAAAAAAAAAAATTAGCTAGGCATGGTGGCACGTGCCTGTGGTCCCAGCTACTCAGGAGGCTGAGGTGGGAGGATCACCTGAGCCTGGAAGGTGGAGATGCAAACTGTATTTGCACCACTGCATTCCCATTGGTTCACAAAGTAAGATCCTGTCTCAAACAGAAAGAAATGAAAAGAAAAAAAAAAGAGTAAATTTGTAATAAGGCTCTGCCAGAAATATAACTCAAACTAGCTTAGACTAATAGAGGAAATCTATTGGCTTTTATAACCAAAGAAGTCGATCTGTAGGCTTCAGGAATAGCTGACTCCAGGGCTTCAATCAGCATAGGATATGCTAATTTAAAATAACTAAAAGGGCCTGGTGTGCTGGCTCACGCCTATAATCCCAGCACTTTGGGAGGCCGAGGTGGGAGGAGTTAAGAGACCAGCCTGGCCAATATGTTTAAACCCCATCTCTACTAAAAATATAAAAAGTTTGGCCAGGTGCGGTGGCTCACGCCTGTAATCCCAGCACTCTGGGAGGCCAAGGCAGCCAGATCACAAGGTCAGGAGATCAAGACCATCCTGGCTAACATGGTGAAACCCCGTCTCTACTAAAAAATACAAAAAATTAGCCGGGCTTGGTGGTGGGCGCCTGTAGTCCTAGCTACTCGGGAGGCTGAGGCAGGAGAATGGTGTGAACCCGGGAGGCGGAGCTTGCAGTGAGCAGAGATCGTGCCACTGCATTCCAGGCTGGGCGACAGAGCGAGACTCCGTCTCAAATGATAGTAATAATAAACATAATAAAAAACATAAAATCAGCCGGGCATGGTGGCTCAAGCCTGTAATCCCAGCACTTTGTGAAGCCGAGGCGGGCAGATCACGAGGTCAGGAGATGCAGACCATCCTGGCTAACAAGGTGCAACCCTGTCTCTACTAAAAATACAAAAAATTAGCTGGGTGTGGTGGTGCACGCCTGTAATCCCAGCTACTCGAGAGGCTGAGGCAGAATCTGGGAGGTAGAGGTTGCAGTGAGCCGAGATCACGCCACTGCACTCCAGCCTGGGCTACAGAGCAAGACTCCGTCTCAAATAATAATAATAATAATAATAATAATAATAATAATAATAAAATAACTAAAAGGATCTGACTGGGTGTGGGTGGCTCATGCCTGTAATCCCAGTACTCTGGGAGGCCAAGTCGGGTGGATCACCTGAGGTCAGGAGATGGAGACCAGCCCGGCCAACATGGCGAAACCCCGTCTCCACTAAAAATACAAATTTAGCCAGGCGTGGCGGGCGTGGTGGCAGGCACCTGTAATTCCAGCTACTCAGGGGGCTGAGGCAGGAGAGTCGCTTGAACCCGGGAGGCGGAGGTTGCAGTGAGCCGAGATCGCGCCATTGCACTCCAGCCTGGATGACAAGAGCGAAACTCAGTCTCAAAAATAAATAAATAAATAAAATAAAATAACTGAAAGGATCAGAATCTAGTTTAAAGAGAGTTTAAGTGTAAAGTTTGAGGACAGCCACCTGGGAAGTATAAATCTTAAAGAAAGAAAGTTCATATTTTGAAGTGTAGAAGTTTGGGATTGTTTATATAGACAATGTTTAGGAAAGTTTAGCAGAACTTTAATTCTTTACATATAAGGCTTAATGTAGAGTTATAATGGCCTGATTAGTTAAGGTAGTTTCTTTAGGGGGAAGATATACTCACTATTTTATATTGAAGATGTAGTAGTTATGGGTTTTCTGTGTTATTTGGTCTGAGTTAGGTTAGGTACAGGACGATAAAAAGGCATATATGTTAAATACATACAATTATAAATATATATATTTACAACTTGTATAGATATATAAATTGTCGTGGGGGAGCAGTGACTATATGGGAAAGTGGAATAGGAGTAAAAGAATTTACCAAGACAGGGCCAGGCGCGGTGGCTCACACCTGTAATCCCAGCACTTTGGGAGGCCGAGGCGGGCGGATCATGAGGTCAGGAGATCGAGACCATCCTGGCCAACATGGCGAAACTCCGTCTCTACCAAAATACAAAAAATTAGCCAGGCGTGGTGGAACACACCTGTAGTCCCAGCTACTTGGGAGGCTGAGGCAGTGGAATAGCTTGAACCCAGGAGTTGGAGGTTGCAGTAAGCCGAGATCGCGCCCCTGCACTCCAGCCTGGTGACAGAGCAAGACTCCGTCTCAAAAAAAAAAAAAAAAAAATTTACCAAGATAGGCAGATTTATTAGAGAAAGTAGGAAAATACTTTCAAGAAGGTAACAGGCAGCCAGCAAGAGAGGAACTGACTGCAAGGAAACAAAGGTTTCCTGGAGATGTAATAGGTGGTTCTTGGGCTGCAGAGTGCTACGTTCAGTTCTGACAACACCAAGGTTGCAGGAAGCTGACGTGCATTTTTTGTATCAGCCGAGGATCTGGTGATAGCTGGCCACAGGAAGATTGTGAGTTATGACAGCTCTGTGTCCTGGACCATTAAGAAAGGCAGACTTACAGCTTATCTGCTTTCTCTTATTTCGTATTTTGCTTTCCCCTGCTCCCACTACCCTGTCTCTTTTTCCCTAATTAGGACTCCACATTAATACATATTAATTTACAAAAGATAAGTGATTGTATGGGGAGGAGGAAAAAAGAAGTCAAGTCTTGGCAAGGCAGTTTGGAGAAGGAGGGATAAAGAGATGCAGAAGCAGAAGGGTGAGAAGTTTTGGCAGTTTCCTTTTTTAATATATCAATAGTTCTAAAGAGTTTAATTTTTTCTGTAGGGAAAGAAATTTTCAGTCTCTTTTAGATGCTTTTTAGTATTATTGAAAGTAACTTTCAATTTTTTAAAAATTTTAGACTCAGTTTTTAAAAATTATGCACGTAAATAAACTAATTAAGGTATTTTTAATGTCATTTCATTTTGGTCTTTGTAGTTTGGGGTCTTTATGGGTTAAATAAGACCATTTTAAAAGATATTGACAGGAGGTCGCATCATAAGTACTATATATGAATTTAGCTGGAGTTACTTAAAGGTATATATATATTTTTTTTTTTGAGATGGAGTTTCGCTCTTTTGCCCAGACTGGAATACGGTGGCACAATTTCAGCTCACTGCAACCTCCACCTTTCTGTTTCAAGCAATTCTCTTGCCTCAGACTCCCAAGTAGCTGGGATTACAGGCGCCGGCCACCATGCCCAGCTAATTTTTGTATTTTTAGTAGAGACGGGGTTTCACCATGTTGGACAGGCTGGTCTCGAACTCCTGACCTTGTGCTCCACCCACCTCAGCCTCCCAAAGCACTGAGATTACCGGCGTGAGGCACTGCATCCAGCCATTAAAGGTGTATTTCTTTTGAAGGGGAAAGACTCAGTTTTAGATGGATGAATGTCCATAATTTGGGGTTTTTGTTTTAAAGATCAAAGACTGAAAGGGAAAGAGTTGTTGGATCTGGTATGCTGCTTAATAAGGATTATTTATTGAAGAGTCACTTTTCAATAGATGTCTTGGTGAAACCCAGTAATTTTGGGCACTTAGGGCACTAGGAGATTTTTGTATTTTTTTTGTTGAGGGGAGTCTTATGGGTCCAACGTATGTCATGAACGATGAGCTTAAAGTTTCACAAAACCTAAGTCACTAAATTATCTTGTGGCTGGGAGAAAGAGTGTCTTATCTTTAAGACTTATCTCTGTCTTTATACAAAGTTTTTTTTACTGGCTTTGGTCATTTAAAATGGGACTTCAGATGTGCCAAATGAACTGAACTTAAGAGTTTAGCCAGTTTTTTTTTTTTTTAAACTTACAAGTTTTACTTAAGCCATGGAATTTTTTTTTAGAGAGAGAAACTGTTTTCTTTCCTGACCAAAATTGGAATGAAAGAAAAGGCCATGGCCATGCTCAGTGGCTCATGCCTGTAATCCCAGCACTTTGGGAGGCCAAGACAGGCGGATCACCTGAGGTCATGAGTTCGACACCAGCCTGGCCAACATGGTGAAGCCTCGTCTCTACAAAAATACAAAAAATTAGCCAGGCATGATGGTGGGTGCCTGTAATCCCAGCTACTCGGGGGGCAGAGGCGGGAGAATTGCTTCAACCCAGGAGGCAGAGGTAGCAGTGAACTGAGATCGCGCCACTGCACTCCAGCCTGGGTGACAGAGCAAGACTCCATCTCAAAAAAAAAAAAAAAAAAAAGGCGTATAAATTCTAGTAAGTCATTTAATAAATGACACGCTTAACCTCGGAGAAAAGTGAAAATCATAAATCTGTGAACAGCAAAATTTTCTGAGAACAAAAACAAAACTACCTTAAAGCAGAATTTTAATTTTAGCTCTGTTGAGCATGGAATTGGTTTGCTTAAATAAAGTTGAATCTCAGTTAGAAGCAGGGCAATGTGGGCTGGGTACGGTGGCTCAGGTCTGTAATCCCAGCACTTTGGGAGTCCGAGACGCATGGATCACCAGAGGTCAGGAGTTTGAGACCAGCCTTGCCAACATGGTGAAACCCATCTCTACTAAAAATACAAAAAGTAGCTGGGAGTGGCTGGGCGCAGTGGCTCACGCCTGTAATCCCAGCACTTCGGGAGGCCGAGGCAGGCGGATCACGAGGTTAAGAGATCAAGATCAGCCTGACCAACATGGTGAAACCACGTCTCTACTAAAAATACAAAAATTAGCCGGGCGTGGTGGCGCACGCCTGCAATCCCAGCTACTCGGGAGGCTGAGGCAGGAGAATCACTTGAACTCAGGAGGCGGAGGCTGCAGTGAGCCGATATTGTGCCACTGCACTCCAGCCTGGGCGACAAGAGCAAAACTCCATCTCTCACAGGCTCCAAATTTACTAATATAGAATTGAGCAAAATATTATTTCATATATACTTTAATTTGGTCTTTATGGCCATTTCAATTTTTTAAATTGCCAATTGTGAGTGTGTTTCCTGTTTCTCCCCATTTTTATTTTAAAAAACTAATATGCTTTTACAGTTTTTCTTTTTCTTTTTTTTTTTTTTTAGACAGAATCTCACTCTGTCTCCCAGGGTGGAGTGCAGTGGTGAGATCTCAGCTCACTGCAACCTCTGCCTCCTGGGTTCAAGCAATTCTCATGCCTCCACCTCCTGAGTAGGTGGGATTACAGGTATGAGCCATTACAGGCATGAGCCACCACACCTGGCTAATTTTTATATTTTTAGTACAGATGGGGTTTCACCATGTTGGTCAGGCTGGTCTCGAACTCCTGACCTCAGGTGATCCGCCCGCCTTAGCCTCCCAAAGTGCTGGGATTACAGGTGTGAGCCACCGCGCCTGGCCTGGCCAAAAAATATTTTTAAGAGAAGGTGTCTCCCTCTGTGGCCCAGGCTGGAGTGCAGTGTTGCCATCATAGCTCACTGCAGCCTCAACCTCCCAGGCTCAGGCAATCCTCCTGCCTCAGCCTCCAGTAGTTGGGACTACAGGGACAAGCCACTGCTTTATATATCCATAAATATATTTTATTTCCCTGTAATGTCCTCATCTCATTTATTTTTCCTTTTTTTTTTCTTGAGATGAGGTCTCACTCTGTTGCCAGGCTAGAGTGCAGCGGCATGATGGCTCACCGCAACCCCCGCCTCCCGAGTTCAAGTGATTCTCCTGCCTCAGCCTCCCGAGTAGATGGGATTACAGGCGCCCACCACCACGCCCAGCTAATGTTCTGTATTTTTAGTAGAGACGGGGTTTCACCGTGTTGGCCAGGATGGTCTCAATCTCCTGACCTGGTGATCCGCCCACCTCAGCCTCCCAAAGTGCTGGGATTACAGCCGTGAGCCACCGCGCCCAACCCTATCATCTATTTTCATTCCTTTTGTCAATACTGCTGGATTGGATGTACTAAATGTAAGGTCCTCTGAGCTGGCCGCACCATGGTCAAGCCATCGTGACATTCCCCCACCCTTGTGATAATGTACTTTGTAATATTCCCGGTCCTTGTGAATGTACTTTGTAACATTCCTCTCCGCCCTTGTGACAATACACCCTCCCCGCCCTTGTGAATGTACTTTGTAACATCCTCCCCTGCCCGCAAAAAATTGCTGCTGAGGCCGGGCGCGGTGGCTCACGCCCGTAATCCCAGCACTTTGGGAGGCCGAGGAGGGCGGATCACGAGGTCAGGAGATCAAGACCATCCTGGCTAACACAGTGAAACCCCGTCTCTACTAAAAATACAAAAAAATTAGCCGGGCGTGGTGGCGGGTGCCTGTAGTCCCAGCTACTCAGGAGGATGAGGCAGGAGAATGGCGTGAACCCGGGAGGCGGAGCTTGCAGTGAGCCGAGATCGCGCCACTGCACTCCAGCCTCGGCGACAGAGTGAGACTCTGTCTCAAAAAAAAAAAAAAAAAAAAAAATTGCTGCTGACTCCACCGCCTATCCTATCCCAAAGCTATAAGAACCAATGACAAGCCCACCACCCTCCGCTGACTCCTTTCTCAGACTCAGCCCACTTGCACCCAAGTGAATAAACAGGCGTGTTGCTCACACTTAGCCTGCTCAGGTGGTCTCCTATACGGACGCACGTAACACTAACATTTACCGATATTACTTACAGCTACGATGAAAAATGGAAAAGCAGCCGGACGCAGTGACTCATGCCTGTAATTCCAGCATTTTGGGAGGCTGGGGCAGGAGGATCATTTGAACCCAGGAGTCGGAGACCAGCCTGAGGCTGCAATGAGCGTTCATGGCACCACTGCACTCCCCACTGGGTGACAGAGCGAGACCCTGCCTCCAAAAAAAAAAAAAAAAAAAACAAGGAAAAGATGCAGACGCTTCCTCCTGGAGGCGCCTTTAGGTTCTCTCACAGACATGTTGGGCCAGCAGTGCTGGCTCCATCCTAGATTTCTTCCAGTCCTCCCCAGTTAGCCGCCAAGGGGCTTTTCCAACCGGAAACCTCCAATCCGCGACCCCGGCGGGTGCACCGCCGAGCCCCCCGGGAAGTGTAGTTCCAGCGCGAGCGGGACGCTGGGAAATGTAGTTCTGCGCGTTCACGTCCCCGATCGGGCCGTGTCCGCCGCGGCCCTGCGAGGTCCGAGGGGTAAGGGAGCGTGCAGCGGGGGCGGGACCACGAGGCGGCGGGGCTGGGGGCGGCCTCTGTGTCTGCGCCGGGGATCGCGGTGACCCCGCTGCGGACCGGCTCGCGGTGACCCCAGCGCGAACGAGCTGGCTGCCGGCTGGGGCGAGAAAGGCCTGCGGACCGGCCTGGGCGCATGCGCGGAAGGCGGGCCTCAGGCGGGGGCTCTGGGGGCGCGCGGGGGTGGGAGGCAGAGGGTGGGGTGGGGGCTGTAGGGCGGGCGGCGGCGGGGCGCTGAATGTGGGTGTCGGGGGAGATTTGGGGTCAGCTGGGCGATTCACTGGGGGCCTATGGAGGTCGCTGTAGACTTGGGGTGCAGCACGGGCGGGGCAAGGGGACGCGAGGTTGCCCTTGGCCCCAGGGGAGAGGGGCCCCTGGGAGGCCGTGTGGAGGATTTGTCTGCAGCGATTAGGACTCTGCTGATGAATGATTTGGATGCCTTTGGGTGAGCATTGGAGGCCAGCGGGGTGAATGATGAGGCTTCTGCGGGGGCCTGCGTTGGAGGGCTTAGGGGCTTGCTTGTGTGGGTTCCATTCACTGGAAAGCCTGCCGGCTGTGACAGTGTTGGATTTCACCAGAGCCCTGTGCTCCTGGAAAACAGCGAAGGTTGAGGAATTTCCCACCCTTTTGGGTTCCAGCAAATGGCTCACTGCAAAGATCTCCCGTTCCCTATATGACTTTGGTCAGCCTCCAGGATGCCCCTTGTTCACACAGACCTGCCACGTTGCCGTCGCTTGCCTCATCGGTGACTGGCTGAACTCCACCGAGCGGTCGGAGCAAAATGCTCCTTAAGCAAACTTTAGCTAAGCTTCTTTCCTTTCCCCATTTTCTTGAGCTTTGGCCCATCCCCAGCCTGAGCCAACACGCAGCCTCGCCTGAGAACAGGCTGGCTCAGGGTCAAGCTTTCCCCGCTCTGCTGTCTGGTCGCCCGCACTTCCACCTCGCTTGGCCAGGCCTGGTCTTTGCTAACCTTGTTCACACCTCTCTGTGAAAGAAAAACCCTTTTTGCCTTGCAGAGATGCACGTGAGTCTCGTGGCTTCACGGTTCTTCCCAGAAGCCCGTTCTCCTTCCCCTTCCCAACCCTCTTCCGCGTCTTTTTTTCCCCACTTCCAATAACCCTTTGGAACCGTCTTTCTTTGCTCTGTCCAGTTGTATGTTTTATTTGACAGCTGAATAACAGTGGTTGCTCTTTCAACCCCTGTCTCCAATAGCGGAGGCGAGTATGGGGTGGCCTATGCTGGCGAGTGGCTGGGGTTTGTTTCTGTGCTTGTGTTTGGGGATCTTATGATGGAAGCATTAGGAATGGCGCTGTGTATTTGTGACAAGGGAGTCTGGATGTAAGTTAATGGTGGACCTGTTGCAAGTTGTGAGTGCGTGGACAACGGGGGTCATACTTGGCGTCATTGGAGGGGCCTGCGGGATCGGCATTTGTGCAGAGCCCCACAATCCCTTTCCAGGTGGTGTTTGGGAGGGCCTGTGGGAATGTCAGTGAATGCTCCAGCATGGAGTGGATTAGAGAATGGGGTGTCATGGGGGCGAATGCTTGGGGGCCCCGGGGATAAGGGATTAGGGATCCCTGGGCATTGAGTGACTGGGGTCTAATTTAGGGGGTCTGTGGCGCAAGCCTCAGAATGTCAGTTACAGGGGAGGGGCTCTGTGAGCGCCTGACTTGGGCACCTGATGAAGTGAGTGAATGGAGACCAGTGTGTTCGTCCCAGGACAGAAGCCCCTTCTCCTCCCCTCCCCACCCTTCTCCTCCCCTCCCTACCCTTCTCCTCCCCCATCCTTCTCATCCCCTCCCCACCTCACCTGCAGGAGTGACTGAAGCCCCTTCTCCCCCGCTCCCCACCCTTCTCCTCCCCTCCCCAGCTCATCTGCAGGAGTATCTGAGTTCTGTGGGGATCCTTTGGGACTCAGAGTTTGGGGTTTCAGTCTGTGGTGATTCTTAAGTGGGGCTTTGGGGGTGCTGGTGATTATGGTGTCTGGCATCTGTATTTAAAAGCCCTGTGGGAGTCACTGAGGTCCAGTCATCAGTTGGGCCTGTAGGGATAACTCTGCCTGGCCTGTGAGGTCTATGGTGTGACGTAGGAATGGTAAGTGTCTGGGGGCCTGTGGAGGATTAGGAATAAAGGGTCCAGTGTACATCGTTGAATGGGGGACAGTTTTATTGGCTCGTGCCCTGGCATTGGCTTTGTTATTTGAGGGTGTTGGAACCAGGTGAGAAGGAGCTTGTTTGTATTAGTGACCGGGTACCAGAGATGACTGAATGACTGATGGGGTGGGCAGTGAGGTCTGTGAGGAGGAATGATCGGAGGGCTTGGGATCAATGCCAAGTATGCGTGCAAGTGTCTGTGATGGGTGTGCGGGTGGGTGAGGGTGAGAAATTGGGGACCCTGTGGGTGTCAGTGAGAGGGAAGCCTGGGGAGCCTAAGAGTTTGTTTGCCATTTGCGGTGAATGTGGAGTTAGAAGTTAGTGGCCTTAGCTGGGCACCGTGGCTCACACCTGTAATCCCAGCACTTTGGGAGGCTGAGGCAGGCAGATCAGGAGGTCAAGAGATCCACACCATCCTGGCCAACATGGTGAAACCCCGTCTCTACTAAAAATACAAAAATTAGCTGGGCATGGTGGTGGGCGCCTGTAATCCCACCTACTCAGGAGGCTGAGGCAGGAGAATTGCTTGAACCCAGGAGGCAGAGGTTGCAGTGAACCGAGATTTTGCCACTGCACTCCAGCCTGATGACAGAGTGAGACTCCATCTTAAAAAAGATAATAATAAGTTAGTGGCCTTTGGGTATCTGTGATTAGTGGTCTATACTGTGCCAGTCTGTGGAGTCTGTGGTCAGGTGTTTCTGGAGGCTGTTGTGGGGCCACTAGAGTTACCGCCTGGGGTCTTTGTTGGATGGTCACTGGGGAACCCATAGTGTGTGTCTCTGAAGGCCCTGGAGGGGCGGCCTCTTGGGGAGAGAGACTGGGTGGCCTGTGAAGTCAGCCATTGTGGTCCTGTGGGAGTGATGGGGGCACATGGGGTGAGTGAGAGTGGGGTTGATGGGGTTCGGTGGTTGTGTGGTCTGGAGGTCTGTGAAGCAGGCCTATTGGATTCAGTGATCTGGGGATGTCTTGGGATGTGGACCTGGAGAATTCTCAGGTGGTCACTGTGAGTGACTGGGGGACTTGGGATGCTGGAGGTTGGCAGGGGCTTGGAGCTGCGGAGTTCAGTGGTTTGTGTCTGGGGTGTGTGTGTGATGGAGGCCCTCTCTGGGACTTGGTAATCCGGGGAACTTGGCAGGGCCGTGTTGGTGGGTCTGGAAGCAGATCCGAATGTGAATGGGTCGTGGGTTGGCTCAGGCAAGCCTCTCGTGAGTGACAGGTCTTTTTGCCCTTTGGCCCTCTCCTTGTAGCTTGTGACCGCTGATCAGTGATCACTCTTTTTACGTGATTATTTCCTTTTTTAAAAGTTCTCAGTGACCCCGTTGGCCTTAAGGTCTTCTCCTTGTAGAATTTCCCCCTTGCTGTTTGTACCTCCTAGGCCTCTTCCATCCCTCCTGATGACCTCCGGCTCCCCCACCCAAGACCTTTGCATCTGAGGTGCCTGGAGTGGTGTGGTCGGCCCAGCCTTCCGTGGCGGACTGCTCCTGCTTCAGGCTCAGCTAAAAGCCACCTCCTCCCACAAGCCTCTACGACGTCTGGGAGGAATATCTTCTGCCCATTCATCCCTTGGTCACAGTTAAAATTTCCTTTTTTTTTTTTTTTTTTTGAGACAGAGTCGCCCATGCTTGAGTGCAGTGGCGTGATCTCAGCTCACTGCAACCTCCATCTCCTGGGTTCCAGTGATTCTTCCGCCTCAACGCCCCCAGTAGCTGGGATTACAGGTGCCCGCCACCATGCCCGGCTAATTTTTTGTATTTTTAGTAAAGATGGGGTTTCACCATGTTGGCCAGGCTGGTCTCGAACTCCTGACCTCAAGTGATCTGCCTACCGCCTCAGCCTCCCAAAGTGCTGGGATTACAGGCGTGAGCCACCGCGCCTGGCCCACAGTTAAAATTTCTTCTGAGCGCTCACAGTCAGAAATCATTTATTTACTTGGCTGTTTCCCTAGAGGGCAGAGACACCGTACATCTTGTTGAGTGGTCTTTCCCGTGTGCTCAGAACAGTGCCTGGTGTGTAATAGGAATTCAGCAAATGCTGCTTTCGTAGCGAGTAAATGAGACTGTGTGTGTGTGATGTGTGTGAACGTGTGTGTATGTGATGTATGTACGTGTGTGGGAATGTGTATTGTGTGATGTACGTATGTGTTTGAATGTGTGTGATGTGTGTATGAGTGTGTATGTGTGTATGAGTGTGAGTATAGTGTGTGATGTATGCGTGTATGTGTATGTGTGGTGTATGTGTATGTGTGTGATGTGTGATGTACATGTGTATCAATGTGTGTGTACTTGTCTGTGTGATGTGTGTTGTACATGTGTATGTGTCATGTATGTATCATTGTGTGTGCATGTGTGGTGTACGTGTATATCTGAGTTTGTGCATGTCTGTGTATGTTATGTGGGATGTACGTGTGCATCAGTGTATCTGTACGTGTCTGTGATACGAACGTGTGTATCTGTGTCTGAGTGTGTGCATGTCTGTGTGTATGGTATACGTGTGCATCAGTGTGTGTATGTGTGTGTGTGACGTACGTGTACATCAGTGTGTGTGTACGTGTGTGTGTATATGTGATGTATGTATGAATCTGCGTGCATGTCTGAGTGTGTATATGTATGAGATACGTATCTGTGGGTGTACGTGTCTGTGAGTGTGTGTGATGTACGTATCTGTGTGTACGTATATGTGTGATGTACGTGTGTATCTGTGTGTACGTGTCTGTGTGTGTGATGTACGTGTGTATCAGTGTGTGCATGTCTGTGTACGTGTCTGTGTGTACGTGTATCTGTGTGTGATGTACATGTGCGTCTGTATGTACGTGTCTGAGTGTATGTGTGATGTACATGTGTATCAGTGTGTCTGAGTGTGTGTGCATGTCTGTGTGTACGTCTGTGTATACGTTATGTACCAGTGTGTGTGTATGCGTGATGTACTTGTGTATCAGTGTGTCTGTACGTCTGTGAGTATGCGTGATGTACGTATCAGTGTGTGTACATGTCTGTGTATGATGTATCTGTGTGTACATGTCTGTGATGTACGTGTTATCAGTATGTCTGTACATGTCTGCGTGTGATGTACATGTGTATCAGTGTGTCTGAGTGTGTGTGTGCATGTCTATGTGTACGTGTCTGTGTATACGTTACGTGTGTATCAGTATGTGTGTGCGTCTGTGAGTATGTGTGATGTATTTGTATCAGTGTGTCTGTACATGTCTGTATGTGTGATGTTCGTTATCAGTGTGTGTACATGTCTCTGTGTATGATGTATCAGTGTGTCTGTGTGTACATGTCTGTGATGTACGTGTGTTATCAGTATGTCTGTACATGTCTGTGTGATGTACATATCTGTGAGTGTGTGTGCATGTCTGTGTGTACTGTGTGTGTACCTGTGTATCTGTGTGTGTCTGTGAGTGTATGTGCGATGTACTCAGGGTGTCTGTGTATGCCTGTCTTTGTGTGTGTGTACGTGTGCATCAGTGTGTGTGCACGTCTGTGTGTGATGTACGGGTGTATTAGTGTGTCTGAGTGTGTGTGCGTCTGTGTGTGTGCATGTCTGCGCATGTCTGTACGTGTGCGTCTGTGTGTGCATGTCTGTGTGTCTGTATGTGCGTCTGTGCACGTCTGCACGTATGTGCGTGTCTGTACGTGTGCATGTGTGTGCATCCGTGAGTGTGTGCGCATGTCTGAGTGTGCGTGTACTTGTAGATCAGTGTGTGTGGGGTGAGAGTTTCGGTGTGAATGTGAGAGCAGAGGGATTAAATACTCAGGATTCTGAAGGGGGAGGCCAGGGTGGCTGCTTTTGGACTCAGGACGACAAGATGTTCCCTTTGCTGGAGAAGCAGCCGGAGGAGGTCCCCTCTGCATTCACTCAAAAAGGGTCCGAACTAATTCGAAGCTTCCGGGAGGGCAGGGGGACCTTGATCTCAGGGACCCCAGGTTTGGATGCCAGTAACTATGGGGTCTCTTTGTAGTCAGGGCTTCTCTCTGGGCCTCCTAGATGGTAGAGCCCCCGACCTCTGTGCCACAAGCCTGAAGGAGCTCCCAGGCGTCTCAGGAGGAGCTGCGTCTTTGGATGCCAATCTCTGGGCTCTTCCAGGATGTTTTTTCTCGAGAATCTGCCTCGAGCCGCAAACCCTTCACACTGCGGACTAGAAAGAGTCCTCTTAGAGCCTCTGACCTTTCTCTCTACTTCAGCTGCGAACGGGCGAAGCCTGCGCCATGCCTCTCCTTTCCCGCCATTTCTAGGAATTCCTCCTACCTCAGTGTCCTTGCTCTGCCATTCACCACGGTTTGGGTCAGAATCCAGAGTTCAGCCAATGCTTCCAGAGAGACTGTGGCTGTTAACTGTCCCTGTTGACACTGGGACCTGTCTCCCCTCATGACCTGAGTCTTACCTTGATTCTCTTAATGACGGAGAGGGAGACATTAAGAACTTGGGAGCCAATGCCAGGCGCGAGCTACACTGGTCTCCGCCTCCTGCTCCCTGCAGATACTGTTGGGGACCAGCCTCAACACCACCCGTAGGGTACCCAAAGTCCGGTGGCGACAAAGGAATGAGAAGAGACAGGTTAAGAGTGCATAAAGAGTGAGGGCCAGGGGGCCAATTGCAAATCGGAGGCTGCAAAAGGCGCAGGGTTCTGGTCTCCACTCTATTGATTGAGTACCATCACTTACAGCTAAGAAGCAGACGTTCAGGGCGAAACAGTGAAAGGGAGGCAGTGCGCCCATCATACGTGTAATCTATAGCACTGGTGGTTTAAATGAATCTCCTTTGTGCTCAAACAGCCTATTTTTAACTTATCGGAGAGTAGCTAGTGGGAGTGGGCTTAAGTAGGAGCCTGCACGTCTGGCTTCCAGTGCTTCAAAGGAGTGTCCTTCTCCTTGAACACAGTGTTTATGGATGATGGAGCAACTCACTCAGAGCCTGGGAACATCACGGCGATAAGAAGGCTTTCCTCCTCAGAGGCCTCTTGTGGCTTTCCACAACTTCTTGTCCCATATTTTTATGGCCAGTTAATACAGGCACCCCATAAGCCTTTCCCCCAACAGATACCAAGCAGGCGTGAGCTACACTGGTCTCTGCCTCCTGCTCCCTGCAGGTGCCAGGCGTGAGCTACGCTGATGTCTGCTTCCGCAGGTGCCAGGCGTGAGCTACACTGGTCCCCGCCTCCTGGGCCCTGCAGGTGTGGCTGCTGCTGGCTGTGCACCGTGGGGTTCCTGAGCGTGGGGTCACCTGGGAACGACCCTTGTCTAATTCTCCAATCCTCAGCCTCTGGGGTACGTGGGAGACCGCGCAGAGGAGTGGCGTCTGGCTGTACTCTTTTTTTCAGTTGCCCTGAGGCAAAACCCGGCCATTTGCTAATATCCAGTCCTAACTTTCCTCCCTCATTTGAGGCAGGGGAGCGGAGACTTCAGTCATTGCTTACTCTATTTCTGTGGGACAGTGAAGACACACAAAGACGAGAAAAGGGCTCTTGCTGTAGGTCTTCTCGCTCAGTTTACCTCACTTTCTGGAAAGGTGCCACTGGCCTCGTGCCACTTGTTATCTTCCTGGCTAGCCGGTTAGCCCCTTGCCTGTGGGGCCCTTGCCGTGTGCTTGGGAGTCACCTGCTTCAGCCCTGGGAGCTTCAGAGCTGCTCGACAACCATTCCTAGGCCACGTGGCCTCGCTCCACAGGTGTAGATGGCAAGTGCTGGACAAACGTTGCTTGGCAGGATTGCTACGTGAGGTAGAATTTCCGTCCCTCTTGTCTCCCAAGTTTACAGGAAGCTTTTTTTGGACATTTCTTTTCAGACTCATTCTGATGAAGGAAAGAGCGTCCCTGTGCAGCTGCGTGTCCTTCAGTTCTTTGGCTCTGATTCCGTGTCTGGCTTCATCTAAGTGGCCTGGTCCATGGGCAGTGAAGAAATGTAAAGTGTGAGCATTCGTGTGTACCAGGATGTGGTGCTTTTTGAGTTCATTATGCTTATTTTAAATCTTGGTCAGTCTTTTCCATCTTCTGCCTAAGATGGTATCTTTTGTGCAGTTTGTGGTCTTTGAAAAAGTTTTAAAAGTTTTTAAAACTGGAAAAGATACCGCCTGCACTTTCCTTCAGAAATCAGCAGTAACAGCCCAGGCTGTTGGTTTCCAAGGGGTACCTGAGGCAGACCCCAGTCCCTGTGGAACTGAGGAATCATGGAGGGGTTAAGGGCTCCAAAAGTTTGGAGGTGGAGGTTGCAGTGAGCCGAGATCACGCCACTGCACTCCAGCCCTGGCAACAAGAGCGAAACTCCACCTCAAAAAAAAAAAAAACTTTTGAAAAAGTTTTAAAGATGATGGTTATACTTAGTTACCTGATTATTTGGCCTGATTATTTGGGGAAATAAACCTAAAATCTGCCAACCCAGAAGACCTCTTCACAAAAGTAGAAAATAAAGAAAAATAATTTTATTATTGAATAAAAATTAAACGAGGCCAGACACAATGGCTCACACCTGTAGTCCCAGCACTTTGGAAGGCCAAGGCCAGTGGATCACTTGAGCCCAGGAGTTCAAGGCCAACCTGGGCAATAAGGCAAAACCCCGTCTCTACAAAAAATACAAAAATTAGCTGGGGATGGTGGCGTACACCTATAGTCCCAGCTACTCAGGAGGCTGTTGTGGGAGAATTCACCTGAGCCCAGGAAGGTTGAGGCTACGGTGAGCCAAGATCATGCCACTGCACTCCAGCCTGGGTGACAGAGCAAGACCCTGTCTCAAAGAAAAAAATGTGGCCGGGCGTGGTGGCTCACACCTGTAATCCCAGCACTTTGGGAGGCTGAGGTGGGCGGATCACCTGAGGTCAGGAGTTCGAGACTAGCCTGGCCAATATGGTGAAACCCCGACTCTACTAAAAATACAAAAAAATTGGCCAGGCGTGATGGTGGGCACTTGTAATCCCAGCTACTTGGGAGTCTGAGGCAGAAGAATCGCTTGAACCCAGGAGGCGGAGGTTGCAGTAAGCCGAGATCATGCCATTGCACTCCAGCCTGGGCTACAACAGCGAAACTCTGCCTCAAAAAAAAAACCAAAAAAAAACAAGGGGGTGAATCTCTTTCTGTATTTTGCATGAGGGAAAATTAGGGATTTTTTCCTCCTTTTAAATCTATATTTGCCCTTCCAGGCCTGTGAGCACACATTCCCCTCGGGGTGTCAGCTGCTCCCCCACGTGGTCTGGAGATGCGCGTGAGGGAAGGGCTGAAGGCCAGGCTTTAGTCTCTGAAGCTTCTGATGAGTTGAAGCAGAGGGGCGCTCAGGGGCCCAGGACAGAGGGTAGACCTGGGAATTGTGCCCCCTCTTCCAGCTGTGAGCTGCCCCCACTCTGGGCAGCTTGTGAGTTGCCACTCCCGCAACTCCCAGCCCTGGGATGCTGGAGGCAGGAGGTCAGAAAATACCCAAAGAACAGCAGCAGCCTTTACCCCTCCATGATTCCTCAGTTCCACAGGGACTGGGGTCTGCCTCAGGTACCCCTTGGAAACCGGCAGCTGGGCTGTTACTGCTGATTTCTGAAGGAAAGTGCAGGCAGTATCTGTTCCGGTGTGAACTGGGGAAGAGGCAACATAAGACATTCCCTGCCTTGTGTCTTGCTGCGCCCTCTGGCTCCCATCTGCTGTAGGCTGCAGCCAGGCCCTGCTCAGCCTCAGACCCACGCCTCAGCTCCACCCCAGCCTGCGTCTGCCCAGGGGTGTCTGTTTTTCTTTTTTTACTCTTACATTAGTTCCTCTGATCTATGTTTTCCTTTTGTTCCTGGGCTGATCCATCTCCGTCTAAAGTCCATTTTCTGTTTACCACCCTGCCTAGAAGTAAGTTGGTGTTTTACTCTGTAGCACTTAACACAAGTAATTTGATTTAGGTGCCTCCAGGAAGTATTGCTGCCAAATGGATAAGTCCTCATGGCATTTCCAGAGCTTCATGATGTCTGTGCTGAGCAGTCTAGGGTAGTGGTGCTCCTCTGGAGGTGTCTGCTTGAACCAGCCAGGGGAGTGGTTTCCATCTGGCATTTATGGGTGGAGCCGGGGCTGTTCAGTTCCGTGCGTACTGCAGACCTGGCCTAGATGCAGGTCAGACCCGACGGAGACGTGCTAGTAGCTCACATTCCACCCTGCTTCCCGCCCGCTAGCCCTGGTGTGAGCCTACCCAACATCTAGTTCGAGACTTTAAATAATCTGAGCTCCCAGCAAGAGAACACCAAGATTTAGGTTCCCAAATTAATTAGATCATCTAAAATAAAATGTCCACTGCATCCACAGGCAATAGCCCTCTGGAACAAGACAATTCATGTGAGATAAGAAAGAAGAGCCCACAAGACCAAGGATGTATTCTCAGTTTACAGACCACTGACCAGAGGCCACTCCAGGGTGTCAGGACTAAGAGAAGTCACAAAACAGCAGATTTCCCAAGAGCAGCGGAAAATGATCCAGTCACAGGTGGGTTATCGGTTTATCCTCTGTTTCATGAAAATGATCCAGTCACAGGTGGGTTATCGGTTTATCCTCTGTTTCATGAAAATGATCCAGTCACAGGTGGGTTATCGGTTTATCCTCTGTTTCATGAAAATGATCCAGTCACAGGTGGGTTATCGGTTTATCCTCTGTTTCATGAAAATGATCCAGTCACAGGTGGGTTATCGGTTTATCCTCTGTTTTGTGGGTGTTATGAGGCTTACAGAAATCTCTGCAACACACAGAAGGGTCTAAATACATTTAAATAAGAGAAAATATAAACTTGGGAAAGAAGATGTCCAAAGAAGCACAAAGTAGATTATAGAAACATACAAAAGTCTCAGCTGGGCATGGTGGCTCATGCCTGTAATCCCAGCCCTTTGGGAGGCCGAGGAGGGCAGATCATTTGAGGTCAGGAGTTTGAGACCAGCCTGGCCAACATGGCAAAACCCCGTCTCTACTGAAAATACAAAAATTAGCCTCCCAGCTACTCGGGAGGCTGAGGCATGAGAATCACTTGAACCCAGGAGATGGAGGTTGCAGTGAGCTGAGATCGCATCAGTGCACTCCAGCCAGGGTGACAGAGTGAGAAAAAGAATCATACAAAAGTCTTAAAGTTGGAAGAGATCAATAAGAAATGGGATCCTTCCCTGTTACAGAGTTGAACTGCAAGCTTTTCTGTTATTTCCAGAAGCCATAACAGAAAGGGAAGTAGGAATAGTTAACGTGGGTTCCTCTTGTCAAAAGGAAAAAGCAGACAAATTACTCTGGAGAAGCAAATACTTCCGATAATTACACATAAAGAAAATGTTTTGATAATTATTCATATACATGGCATAGTGGTAAGATCCTAAATAGCAGCCTTGTAATAAACAAACAGGTTTCCTAGGACTATTTCTTGGAGCTCCTCAATGTCAGCTAAGGGCATGAATCGAAAGAATTCAGAACACAGTTTCTTCGAGGACTGAGATGGGGTCTTGGTTGCACATCCTACCTAGATTCCAGTTTTAGGAAAGAAACTTAAATCACCTGGCAGAATTGATCATTACGAAACCTTCAAATGGTCCCCATAAGTATGCTCTCCACTGGAATGTTGATGTGTTTTGGATGGAAATGCCGCTCCTGTTGGCAGAGGCTTGACATGCAGGGATCTGCGTTCAGCTCTGTTTCCATACTTTGTTGACTCAAGAAACAGACTGTGGTGTCCCCTCACCTTTCGGAGGAATTCTTACCACCTAGTCAGCCTCTCCCCTCTCACCCTTTCCCTGCCTTTCCTTTCTTCCTGATATTTTCTTTTTTTGATGTTCAGTCCTACGCCAGGAGTGGCACCACTGCACTCCAGCCTGGGTGACGGAGCAAGACGCCGTCTCAAAAAAAAAAAAGTAAAGGAATAAAGGATAGCTACTCCATAGGCAGAGCAGGGCATTCCGGAAAGCAGGAGGAGGAAGGCGCCCACCCTAGGTACAAGGCTTGTTGACATGTAGGACAACAACAATGACAGTCACAGGGAGATGTGCTCAGCCACAAGGGTTTGTGATAAAGGATTGATTTTCTTAATATATTTTATAAGAATCAATATTATTATCTTTAAAGCAAAATTAGAAACGGTTTTGTTCTCAAGACATGGGGACATCAGGACGTTCCTGGGCATGGGCCTGTTTAGTAAACATTATTAATCTGTTCCCTTAACCGTAAACATCTAGAGGCCAGGAATACCTCACCTCCCGGCAATGCTGTCCAGCAAGCTCCAGCCTCATTTTCCCTCGCCCTCACTCAAGATGGAGTCGCTTTGGTTCTAATGCTTCTGACAAAGAGCCAGTTGCATCAGTGCAGATGTGGGGATTGTCTCTTTGCCCTCAGCCGAGGGAGCCCTGAACAAAAAACTCCAGCAATTTTTTTGGACCCTGGGGTAGGGAGGGAGGGGCTGGGAGTAGAAAAGTACCAGGTACTGAGTCAAAGTGGGGAAAAGTGTCTTCAGGGTTCTCCCCCACCCCAACGAGGAGGTCTTGCATTAGCACCTGAGAAAGGCCTCAGGAGACTGGAGTGCAGGTGCCTGGGTAAGAAGGGCAAATGTGTGAGATCACGACCCCTGACTGCAGCTCCCCTCAAAGACCAGAGTGTGCTGGCCGTGCACCAAGTCTCTTGGGAGGGCAGTTTTCCCCTGAGGCCTGCTGGGTAAAGCCTTGGTAATTGCCTGTGCTTACACCTGAACATGCACTACAGGTTTTTTTTGTTTTTTTTTTTTTTGAGATGGAGTCTCGCTCTGTCGCCTAGACTGGAGTGCAGTGGCACAATCTCTGCTCACTGCAAGCTCCGCCTCCCGGGTTCACACCATTCTCCTGCCTCAGCCTCCCGAGTAGCTGGGACTACAGGCGGTACCACACCCAGCTAATTTTTTTGTATTTTTAGTAGAGACGAGGTTTCACTGTGTTAGCCAGGATGGTCTCAATTTCCTGACCTTGGGATCCACCCACCTCAGTCTCCCAAAGTGCGGGGATTACAGACGTGAGCCACCGTGCCCGGCCGCACTACAGGTATTTAACCAGGAGCTGAACTCCTTGACTCCACTCCTTGATTTTTTAGGACCTAAGTGTGAAACAGGCTACCTCATCATGGACCCCAATAGGTCAGACTTTGACGGGCCGTGACAATAACCAGGTAAATCGTCTGAGGCAACAGCAGACCATGGCTATGACGCCACTCCAAGCAGGATGGTCGGGCCCGGAGGACTGAACATGGCCTCAGCAGTCACCTCGGCAGTTGCCATGCCAGGAAAGACGCCCCACAGCCCACTGGAGAGACAGAAGAATCTGTGTGAATCTTCTTTACCTGGCCTGAGGCATCAATTCAGGCACAGCAGAACACTGGCCAGGAAACTGAACGTGACCTGAATGTCTTCCAGGCTGAGACAGGTCCTGAGTGCAATCCCAGAGGGCACACGTGGTCCCCTAGAAACAACGAATTCACAAGGTCAGGTGCCCCAGCCGGGCACGCACGCCTCAGGTTGTGAGGTTAACAGGGATCCAAGGTGGCTTCCCATCGTCGGGCCTCTGTCCAGTCTGGATCATTGGGTTTAGGCCTTGACTTCAGAGGGCCTGCCTGGGACTGAGTTCCAAACCATTCTGTTTATCCATGACATGAGTTTGTTAGTCCCACCTTATCAAGTGTGGACAGTCTCTGGAGGAGTTCTGCACAGAGCCCAGGAGCCAAGGCAGTCCTCTGCCTCTCCTCGTCAGCACCGTGAGGAAGCCGAGGTGTGGGCTCAGCAGACGGTCCAAGTCCACAGCCGCCACAGTCCATGGAAAGGCAGCAAGAGGACCTCTTGTGTTTGGTTTTTTAGGAGGAGGAGAAAGCTTTTAGGAGCAGGTCTGAAAAATAAAGATCATTATTATTTTTTCCCTTTCCCTGAGCCTCCCAGATGCCAGTTTTGTTTTGTTTTTCTGTTACCTGTGTGTCCCATGTAGTAATCAAAACTTAAGAACAAAATGTCTCCTGTTTTCATTCATACGTGCTGTCTGGAAAGGTTGTATACAAGAGGGACAAAATATTTTTACATAACCAAAAAGATAAATCATGTTTAAGAATTGTTGAGCACAAAATCCTGAACTTTTAAAAGGTTTAAAAATAGGTTTACATATCTCCCGTCTATTTGAGGCTTCAGAAAGGGGATGAAAGGGCCTTGCACCGTGCCCCGTGGAGTCTGAGGTGTCTGTAACTGGAGAAGAAGAGTGCGTGATGGAGGGCAGCCTGGAGAAGAAGGACGCGTGATGGAGGGCAGCCTCGAGAAGGAGCGTGACAGAGGGCAGCCTGGAAAAGGGCGCGTGACGGAGGGCAGCCCGGAGAAGAGGGACGCGTGACGGAGGGCAGCCTGGAGGTACCCGTGGGAAGTGCCCTGCGGGGAACGGCTGCGTGAGGCCTGAGGTCGCTTGCCTGAGCTGCGTAGTCCAGGCTGCGGTTATCTCGTCCCCTCCCAGCAGCCACCGAAGCTGTCCGTTACAACAGTCAGTTACCCTGTTGCTCGTGAGCGATACGGTTCCTCAGACGCCCCATGATTGGGCCTATTGATGTGTAGTTTGGACTGGGGCTGTTCTCAGAAGCACTGCGCTCAGGAAACCTGAACGGGAAGCAGATCTGGTCATGTCGGGCCTGGATAGTGTGGCCCAAGTCAGTGGAATGTGTGGGGTTGGCTGGGCCAAACCACAAGGAAACAGCGAAACATTGATCTACCTGCCGAGAATGTCATGGCCGATTGACCTGGCAATCTACCTTTGGGCGCTGCTAGCCTTGACCAGAGTCTGGAAAGCAGGACAGCTGTTTCCCGTGGTTCACCGTCTTCTGAGAGCAGAAGCAGCACACGCGGAGGCTCGGTCTAGGCCATGTCTGCATCTCTGTGGGACGTTTCTCATGGCTCCATGAGGCGGTCAGTCACATATCTGCTTGCTCCGGAGTGGAAGACATCTTAGTCTGCATTTAGCAAGCGCAGTTGGGTGGTTGTGTTTCCTGGGTCAGCACTGGAGTCTTTTTGGTGAGCACCCGTATGGGTAACAAAATGCTTCTTAGGAGCAGAACTGATTTTTATCTAAATGTCTCATCCTCAGGAACAGAAAACCAAATGTTCTCTGTTCTTATTTATAAGTGGGAGCAAAACACTGGGTACACGTGGACACGAAGATGGGGCCAGTAGACACAGGGGACCTCAAACGTGGGGAGGGAGGGAGGGAAGAGGGAAGCCTGTTGGGTTCTGTGCTCACCACCTGGGCGACAGGATCAGTCGTACCCCAAACCTCAGCATTACGCAGTAAACCCACAAAACAAACCTGCACATGGACTTGTGGATCTAAAGAAAAAGTTGAAATTATTTTTTTTTTAAAAAGTCCTGTCTCCACCAGGAACCTTGTTTTACCTGCCAGTCTGAGGCTGGCCGGCGGCCTGATCCAATGGCCAGGGAACTAGCCATAGCCTGAGTCGGGTGGATTCAGTCTTCCTATGCTGCTCTGTAACGGCCCTAACTGCAGCAGTTCCCATCAGGGACTGGGGCAAAGGCTAGCAGGGGTGTACATAGATGGGACATCAGCATCAACAATACACTCAGGACCGGGGACCACATCATAGTCCTGTAGCATCCACAGTACGTTGGCTGTACACCACGTCCGTTGTGGGGAGGGCAGTTTTCCTCCATGAGGCCCACAGGGTAAAGCCTTGGTGATTGTTTATGTTTGTGCCTGAAATTTCGCACAGACCTTTTTAACCAGGAGCCAGCTTCCTCAGAGGAGTTTTAAAACACGTCCAAGTTCATGTCATCAACATCACAGTCGGGACAGAGCGGCTCCGTCACCACACAGGAAGTCTGTGAGGCCCCTCTGTGGCTGTGCATCCCTTATCCCTGGCCGCCACTATCTGTTCTCTGTCACTACAGCTTTGCCTTTTCCAGAATGTCCTATAAATGGAATCATGTCGGCTAGGCACAGTGGCTCACACCTGTAATCCCAGTGTGTCCAGAATGGGTGGGTTCTTGGTCTCACTGACTTCAAGAATGAAGCCGCGGACCCTCGCGGTGAGTGTTACAGCTCTTCGGGTGGCGCGTCTGGAGTCTGTCCCTTCTGATGTTCAGCTGTGTTCGGAGTTTCTTCCTTCTGGTGGGTTCGTGGTCTCGCTGGCTCAGGAGTGAAGCTGCAGACCTTCGCGGTGAGTGTTACAGCTCTTAAGGTAGTGCGTCTGGAGTGTTCGTTCCTCCCGGTGGGCTCGTGGTCTCGCTGGCTCAGGAGTGAAGCTGCAGATCTTCGCGGTGAGTGTTACAGCTCATAAAAGCAGCGTGGACCCAAAGAGTGAGCAGTAGCAAGATTTATTGCAAAGAGCGAAAGAACAAAGCCTGCACAGTGTGGAAGAGGACCCGAGCGGGTTGCCACTGCTGGCTCGGGCAGCCTGCTTTTATTCTCCTATCTGGCCCCACCCACATCCTGCTGATTGGTAGAGCCGAGTGGCCTGTTTTGTCAGGGCGCTGATTGGTGCGTTTACAATCCCTGAGCTAGATACAAAGGTTCTCCACGTCCCCATCAGATTAGTTAGATACAGAGTTTCCACACACAGGTTCTCCAAGGCCCCACCAGAGCAGCTAGATACAGAGTGTCAATTGGTGCATTCACAAACCTTGAGCAAAACACAGGGTGCTGATTGGTGTGTTTACAAACCTTGAGCTAGATACAGAGTGCCGATTGGTGTATTTACAATCCTTGAGCTAGACATAAAGGTTCTCCATGTCCTCACCAGCAGCTAGATACAGAGTGTTGATTGGTGCACTCACAAACCTTGAGCTAAACACAGGGTGCTGATTGGTGTATTTACAATCCCTGAGCTAGATATAAAGACTCTCCACGTCCCCACCAGACTCAGGAGCCCAGCTGGCTTCACCTAGTGGATCCCGCACCGGGGCTGCAGGTGGAGCTGCCTGCCAGTCCTGCGCTGTGCGCTCGCATTCCTCAGCCCTTGGGTGGTCGATGGGACTGGGCGCCGTGGAGCAGGGGGTGGTGCTCGTCAGGGAGGCTGGGGCCGCATGGGAGCCCATGGAGTGGGTGGGAGGCTCAGGCATGGTGGGCTGCAGGTGCCCAGCCCTGCCCCGCGGGGAGGCAGCTAAGGCTCGGTGAGAAATCGAGCGCAGCGCCGGTGGGCCAGCACTGCTGGGGGACCCAGTACACCCTCCGCAGCCACTGGCCCGGGTGCTAAGTCCCCCATTGCCCGGGGCCAGCAGGGCTGGCTGGCTGCTCCGAGTGCGGCGCCCACCAAGCCCACGCCCACCCGGAACTCCAGCTGGCCCGCAAGCGCCGCACACAGCCCCGGTTCCCGCTCGTGCCTCTCCCTCCACACCTCCCTGCAAGCTGAGGGAGTGGGCTCCAGCCTTGGCCAGCCCAGAAAGGGGCTCCCACAGTGCAGTGGGGGACTGAAGGGCTCCTCAAATGCCACCAAAGTGGGAGCCCAGGCAGGGGAGGTGCCGAGAACAAGCGAGGGCTCTGAGGACTGCCAGCACGCTGTCACCTCTCACCAGCACTTCGGGAGGCTGAGGCGGGCAAATCACCTGAGGTCGGGAGTTCGAGACCAGCCTGACCAACATGTAGAAACCCCGTCACTACTAAAAATACAAAAATTAGCAGGGTGTGGTGGCGTGTGCCTGTAATCCCAGCTACTCGGGAGGCTGAGGCAGGAGAATCGCTAGAACCCAGGAGGCAGAGGTTGCAGTGAGTCGAGATCGTGCCACTTCACCCCAGCCTGGGCAACAGAGTGAGATTCTGTCTCAAAAAAATAAAAAATAAAAATAAAAAAATAAATGGGATCGGCCTGGCACAGTGGCTCTTGCCTGTAATCCCAGCACTTTGGGAGGCCGAGGCAGGTGGATCACAAGGTCAGGAGATTGAGATCATCCAGGCTAACAGGGTGAAACCCCGTCTCTACTAAAAATACAAAAAGTTAGCCGGGCGTAGTGGCAGGCGCCTGTAGTCCCAGCTACTTGGGAGGCTGAGGCAGGAGAATGGCGTGAACCCAGGAGGCGGGGCTTGCCATGAGCCGAGATCGCGCCACTGCACTCCAGCCTGGGCGACAGAGCGAGACTCCCTCTCAAATAAATAATAAATAAATAAATAAATGGGATCACATATGTGACCTTTTGACAGTGGCTTTTCTCACTTAGCATACCTTTGAGATTCATTCATATCTTATCGGTAGTTTCTTCCTTTTTCTTGGCGTGTGATTCCCTTGAATATGATCCCATGTATGGATGGGCCACAGTCTCTATCCATTCACTTATTGAAGGACATCTTAATTGTTCCACTTTTTAGCAGTTTTGAATAAAGCATTCATCTGCATATAGGTTTGAATATAAATTTTCAGGTGAATGTAAGTTTTCAGTTCACTACTTGAGTAAACACCTAGGAGTGGAATTGCTGCGTTGTGTGGTAAGTCTGTGTTCAACTTTATAAGAAACTGCCAAAATGTTTTCAAAAGCTGCTGTACATTTTACATTCCCACCACAATGAATGACAGTTGCTCTTGCTCTGAGTCCTCACAGATATTTGTCAGGGGTGTGTGTGTGTGTGTGTGTCTGTGTGTGTGTGTGTTTAGTTTTAGCCTTCTAATAAGTACATAGTAGTTTTTCATTATAGTTTTAATTTGCATTCACCTTTTGACAGATATATTGAACATCTTTTCATATATTTACTTTCCATCCATACATTTTCTTTTTTTTTTTTTTTTTTTTTGAGACAGAGTTTCATTCTTGTCGCCCAGGCTGGAGTGCAATGGCACCATCTCGGCTCACTGCAACCTCTGCCTCCTGGGTTCAAGCAATTATCCTCCCTTAGCCTTCCCAGTAGGTAGGATTACAGGTGCGTGTCACCATGCCTGGCTAATTTTTGTATTTTTAGTAGAAATGGGGTTTCACCATGTTGGCCAGGCTGGTCTTGAACTCCTGACCTCAGGTGATCCGCCTGCCTCGGCCTCCCAAAATGCTGGGATTACAGGCGTGAGCCACCGCGCCCAGCCACCTTCCATATATTTTCTTTGGTGAAATGTCAAGATATCTTGTTAATTTTTAAAATGAGGTTATTTTCTTAGTAAGAGTTCTTTATATCCTGGATATGAGTGCTTTAGCAAGTATGTAATTTGCAAATAATTTTCTCTTAGTCTGTGCCGTGCCTTCTCTTTCTCTTAACATTGTCTTTCACAGAGCAAAAGTTCTTAATTTTGAAAAAGTCCAATTTATCAAATTTTTTTCTTAAATTGATCAGGCTTTTGGTGTTGTATCTAACTCATTGCCAAACCCAAAGTCACACAGGTTTTCTTTGGTTTTCTTCTAAAAGTTTTATAGTTTTTTATGTTTAGGTCTGTGATCCATTTTGAGTTAGTTTTGATATAAGGTGTGAGGTATGTGTTGAGATCCCTTTTGCTTATGAGTATAAAATTGTTGAGACATTATTTGTCACAAAGACTGTAGAATTGCTTTTTGTACTTTTGTGAAACAATTGAGTATATTTGTAGGGGCTTATTTTTGAGTTCTGTGTTCTGTTCCATTAACTTGTGTTTTTATCCTTTCACAAATGCCATCCTGCCTTAATTACTGTGGTTGCATAGGAAGTCTTGAAATCAAGTAATGTGAGTCCTTTTATGTTTAAACTATTTTGAATATAAATGTGCCTCTTTCGTAGGCAGCATGTAGCTGGGGTTGCTTTATATTTTCCATTTCTGAGCTTTTGCTTTATTATTTCTTCTGGTCTATCTTCCAATTCACTTATTCTCTCTTTATCTTTTCCTAATCTACTCTTAAGCCCTTCCATTGACTTCTTAACTTTACTTATTATGCATTTTATCTCTAGAAGTTATATTTCATTTTTTTCAAATCTGCTTATTCATTTTTATAGTCTTCTGATTATTTTTCGTACTTTCATTAACCTCTCATTTCTTTGAATATATTAAATATATTTATTTTATATTCTGTGCTGACAGTTCAAATATCCTAAGTCTTTTATACCACTCCTGTTTGTTTTTTTTTGGTTTTTTTTGAGATGGAGTCTTGCTCTGTCGCCCAGGCTGGAGTGCAGTAGCGCCATCTCGGCTCACTGCAAGCTCCACCTCCTGGGTTCACGCCATTCTCCTGCCTCAGCCTCCCGAGTAGCTGGGACTACAGGCACCCACCACCACGCCCGGCTAATTTTTTTTTTTTTTTTTTTAAGACAGAGTCTCACTCTGTCACCCAGGCTGGAGTCCAGTGGTACGATCTCTGCTCATTGCAACCTCCGCCTCCCGGGTTCACGCCATTCTCCTGCCTCAGCCTCCCGAGTAGCTGGGACTACAGGCGCCCACCACCATGCCCGGCTAATTTTTTTGTATTTTTAGTAGAGATGGGGTTTCACCATGTTAGCCAGGATGGTCTCGATCTCCTTACCTCGTGATCCACCTGCCTCGGCCTCCCAAAGTGCTGGGGTTACAGGCGTGAGCCACCGCACCTGGATGATTTTTTTTTTATGTGTGCATTCCGGTTTCTCTTTTACTCTGTACTCATTTTTCTTGAATCTTTATTTGTGAGAATTATTTTGATCTCTTTCTCTAAATAGAATTTGCATTTGATTCTGCCGGATGCCTGAATGCATGGCCCCCTCAAAAACACTTTAGAACTCTCTGTGCTTAAGGTTTTTGCAAAACACATCTATACTGGAGTTGAGCCCACACACCCATATAAATCCAGCTTGTTATAATTCTCAGGGACAATTTTTGACCTCTTTGTGTAACACTAACATTTGAGGCAAGAAATTGATTTTCTTTGATTTTTTTTTCATTGACCCACACACGGAGTACTCCTTGTGTTCCAGCTTTATGAGGGAAAATAACCTATTAGTCCCCTATGCTTGGGCTTATTCTAAGCTTTCCTCCTTTTTCCTGTGTCCCTTGTAGCTGCTGGGACTGGAATGCTCAAATTTACTTGAGTCCAGCTGAAGGCTGGCCTCTGCTTACCTCTCTAGGTTTCCACGTTCCCTTTTAAAGAGGCCAGGACCATTCCCACCGCTCCCACTCCCTCTCTTATATTCCTGAACTTTCATCCCTCAGAAAACACACTTTATTTCCATGTCTTTGCTCATGCTGCTGCCTTGAGAGTGTCCTTTTCCTCATCCCCCTCTGTAACCAGGACTTTCTAAAGACCCTTTCTAAGCCTTACTGTCTTTACAGCACCTAACCCAGTGTTGTTAAATCCAGTGTTTTTATCCCCGTTTTGTCTCTATATTCTGTAAATGCTAGCTTCATAGCCCTGTAACCTTATTCACTCTGGCCTGAAAGGTACTTGAGAATGTGATTTTTTTCTACTCATTTTTAAATTTCTAGTACCTGTTATGGTTCCTGGAATCTTTTTTTTTTTTTTTTTTTAGACGGAATCTTGCTCTGTCACCAGGCTGGAGTGCAGCGGCACAATCTCAGCTCACTGCAACCTCTACCTTCTGGGTTCAAGCTATTCTCCTGTCTCAGCCTCCCGAGTAGCTGGGATTACAGGCACACACCACCACACTTGGCTAATTTTTGTATTTTTGGTAGAGATGGGGTTTTACAGTGCTGGCCAGGCTGGTCTCCAACTCCTGACCTCAGGTGATCCACCTGCCTTGGCCTCCCAAAGTGCTGAGATTTCAGGTGTGAGCCACCACACCCAGATGGTTCCTGGAATCTTAATTGCTCAATATGTGTGTTTTGGAAGATACCTAAAATAGCTGGCCAGTTCTTACTTGGGAGCAGAATCACTCCCAGAGGAAAGAGAGTGTTTTTGTTTTTGTTGTTGTTTATTTATTTATTTATTTATTTGAGACAGAGTCTTGCTCTGTTGCCCAGGCTGCATGCAGGTGCACGATCTTGGCTCACTGCAACCTCCACCTCCCAGGTTCAAGTGATTCTCCTGCCTCAGCCTCCCTGGTAGCTGGGATTGCAGGTGCCCACCACCACCCCCAGCTAATTTGTGTGTGTGTGCATGTGTGTGTGTGTGTGTTTAATAGAGTTGGGGTTTCACCATGTTGGCCAGGCTGGTCTTGAATTCCTGACCTCAGGTGATCCGCCCACCTCAGCCTCCCAAAGTGCTGGGATTACAGGCATAAGCCACCGTGCCCAGCCAGTGACTGAGAGATATTACTGTCATTAGCAGACAGAGGCCAGGCATGCTGAAGGGCTCAACTGCATGGAACAGTATTCCTTACCTAAGAATGGTTCTCAAATACTAGTGGCACCTTCTTTGAGAACCACTGTATTGTTTAAAGACAACCTATTCTGGTTTCTTGTTCAGTGGATAGGTACATGGATGAATGAATTCACAATGATAAATATTTTTAAAACATTCCTTCCTCAAGGCATAATGCAAGATTATTATATTTATTATATTAGATTATATTGGTTATTCATTATTGTGTCACAAATTACCCCAAACCTCAAGGGCTGAAAACAACAAACATTGATCTGTTTCTGGGTTTTGGAATCTGCCAGGTACTTGCCCAGTTGGTTCTGGTTGAGGGTCTCACATGATGCAGTGATGAAGGTGTTGAGAAGGGCTGCAGCGAGGAAGGAGCTGGCTCCTCCAGGCTCACTCAGTGGCTGTTGGGAAGCCTCAGTTCCACGGCACATGAGCTTCCACATGGCGGCCTTACAACACAGCAGCCAGACTCCTCCAGAGAGAGAGAGTGCCCAGGATAGAAGTTGCATTTCTTTCTAACCTAGTCTTGGAAGTGGCATCTCATCATGTTTCCCTGTTCTGTTCAGGACAATGAGTCAGTGAGTCCAGCCCACGGTCAAGAGGGGAGGATTATGCAAAAGCATGAATACCGGAGTCAGAGGTCACTGGGGCCATCTTAGAGGCCACCTACCACAAATACAGAAGAAAGTATTTTACAAGACCAAATGAGAACCACTTCAGGTTTAACAGGGATTATGCTTTTCCAGATATCATTTGAGGATGTGGCTGTGGATTTCACGCTGGAGGAATGGCAGCTACTTAATCCTACTCAGAAGAACTTGTACAGAGATGTGATGTTGGAGAACTATAGCAATCTGGTTTTCTTGGGTAAGAACATTCTTATGTAACTTAGTGTATGGCCAGTAACTGGCCTGTGAGGTGTTTGTTTATTTTGGATGTAAGTTTTACATGTCAAAGATTATTTGACTTTTATACTGAATTGAAAGATTTTCATTCACTTGCTTTATTTTGCAGCCTTTATAATAAAACATTCTACATATTTAAGACTCTTAGCCCAGGCAGTTAGGTCCAAGTCCTCTGTGTTTCCAATCGACAGGTTTTCAAATTCTCAAACCTGATGCAATGTTCAAACTGGAACAACAAGATCCATGGATAATAGGTCAAGAAATCCTAAATCAGAACTTTTCAGGTGAGGAATAATCAGGTTTATGAGATACAGTGAACATTTTATCTCAGGTTTTTGATGACAGGTGGGCACTTTTAAAGTGTTGTTTATAAAACTGTGTTTAAAGTTCCTGAATCTTTAGAGTTGACTCAAGATTGGTGACATGAGTTTTAATGGATGTGCTCCATAACCTGGTCTCCACATCGGGATGTGTCTTTTCTCCATGGAGTTTATGATGAAATGTATCCCTCTTATTCAGTGGCATAGATTGGTGGCCATTTACAACCCCACTTTCTTAGTTAAGGCTCTCTTTATGAATTCATAATTTTTTTCTTCTTTTAGATAACACTGATTGCCTTTGAGTTTATTTAAACTTCAAACTTTTAATTTATTATTTTTCTTCTCTTCCTCTAATTTGATATATTTCTATTTTAAAACCACAGAGAGTAGAAGATGAACCCACTGATACAGAGTGAAAATCTAGGCTGGGCGCAGTAGCTCATACTGTAATCCTCATGCTGTGGAGGTTGGGGAGAGGGCAGGGCACGACAGTCACTTAAGGCCAGGAGTTTGAGACCAACCTGGGCAACAAAGCAAGACCCCATATCTACTACTACTAATAATACCTAACAATAATAATAATAATTCAGCCAAATATGGTGGTGTGCACCTCTAGTGCCAGCTACCTGGGAGGCTGAGGTGGGAGGATTGCTTGACCCAAGGAGCTGGAAGCTGCAGTGTGCCATGGATGTGCTAGGCAACAGAGTGAGACCCTGTCTCTAAAAACAAAAACACACACACACAAAACCCTAATACCTTAAACATAGTAAGGAGATTTTGCTTCTTACCTTCCTCTGTACAAACTAAGGATTTTCAAGTCAGTTCCCAGTGCATCTTTCTGGTACATTTGATGTTTAACTTCTCTAAAGCTTCTCTCTCATACCATCACATAGTCAGGTGGGTTTAAGTCTCCATTACCTGCTGTGTGATATTTAATCTCCGTTTTTGTTGAAGAATCTCATGGTATGGGAACATCTTATCTCTCCACTTATTTTTCTATGCTCAAGAGTCATTATTAACTCCATTTGAGCTAGATTTGTGCTCAAGAGTCATTATTAACTCCATCTGAGCTAGATTCTTCCTCACACGCTCTTCTGAAATTTTTCTCTGCATCTGTACCTCTGATTATGGTACATTTTCCCCAGGTAGACTTCACTTTGAGCTCTTTTCTTCAACTTCAGTGAATGTTCCTTGACTCACAGCTTTCTCTGAAATCTCTATCCACGTAGCATCTATAGTATAGTAACTCAGGCCTGATGGACATTATCTGAAATTCCTAAAACAACTAGTCCTAAGATTTTTTTCCCCATAAAGAGAGATTGCCAGTAACGTAGTCTGTGTTCTCTGTGGAATTTGTGGTATGCACTTACTTGATTTTTAAAAATTGGTTATTATGGACCCAGATAAGGAAAGGTCTTGTTTATCAGATGTCCCTTCAGTAGAAAAGTTTCCATCTAAGCCTCTACCCTGGGAAATATTTATTTAAAAAATTTTTTTGAGACAAGGTCTCACTTTGTCACGCAGGTTGGAGTACAGTGGCGCAGTCACAGCTTACTGCAGCCTTAACCTATCTGGACTCATGAGCTCCTCCCACTTTAGCCTCCCCAGTAGCTGAGACTACCACCACACCAAGCTAATTTTTAAAAATTTGGTTTTTCTGGAGAGACAGGATCTCACTATGTTGCCCAGGCTGGTCTCAAACTCTGGGTTCAAGTGATCCTCCCGCCTTGGCCTCCCCAAGTGCTGGGATTACAGGAAGAGCCATAATGCACAGCAGGGAAACTGAGATTACAGGGGTGAGGCATAATGCACAGCAGGGAAATATTTCGGGTTACAGATGTCTGGGCACCATTCCCATTGTTGTTTAGGTCTGAGTGTGTGCAGTTTGGAAAAGCTGTAAAGATAGTTGTTATATTCCCCTATTAATTTAGAACCACTTCTCATGTGGAATGAGAGGAATTGAAATGAGTCATGAAATAACTTTATAGGATTTTAATTTAGAAGACAATATAAAACCATAAAATATTTAGTGATGCAGTATTTGAACATGAAGCATTTGTGTTAAAGTGCAAAATTAATTGCCAAGATTAATGATACCAAAAGGAACTATATTAGAAGCTCAATGACAAGTGAATAATATTTATCCTACCTATATTGAGGGCTTGTTATGTGCTATGCAGTGGGGGTACATTAGTGAAAAAGACAAACCTGTTCCCTACACTCATACAGTTTACATTCTACTGGGAGAGACACGAGTAAGAGGATTACCTATTTGATAAGTACTATGAAGGAAAGAAATAAAGAGGGTATTTGTTGGTGTGCCATCAGAATGACATTTTGGTGGGCGTGACATGGTGGCTCATGCCTGTAATCCCAGTGCTTTGGGAGGCCAAGACAGGAGTATTGCTTGAGGCTGGGAGTTGCAGGCCCGCCTGGGCAACATAGCAAGACCCCATCTCTACAAGAAGGATATTAAAAATTAGCCAGGTATGCTGGCACACACCTACAGTCTCAGCTACTTGTGTGATTGAGGCAGAAGGATCACTTGAGCCTGGGAGTTTGCAGCTGCAGTGAGGTATGACCCTACCTCGTCACTCCTTGGGCGACACAGTGATATCCTGTCTCTAAAAAATCACCAAATACTACTTTTAAGCCTGTACATAAACTACTTTATTATTGTTTATCATTTAATCCATTAATTTGGATAGACATATTTATTTATTTATTTATTTTGAGACGGAGTCTCGCTCTGTTGGCACGCTGGAGTGCAGTGGCACGATCTCAGCTCACTACAACCTCCGACTCCCGGGTTCAAGCGATTCTCCTGCCTCAGCCTCCCAAGTATCTGGGATTACAGGCGCACACCACCACGCCCAGCTATTTGTTGTATTTTTAGTAGAAATGGGGTTTCACCATGTTGGCCAGGCTGGTCTCGATCCCTTGACCTCGTGATCTGCCTGCCTCGGCCTCCCAAAGTGCTGGGATTACAGACGTGAGCCACCGCACCCGGCCTGGATAGACATATTTTTAATCTCATCTTGATTTGATTTTAATTTAAAAGTATTGTTTTTCTTTTTTCCCACATCTTATAAAACAATTTTCTGTAAACTCTTCAAGTGGATCTCACACTTGTCTACATATGACTCTTGCTTTTGATCTTCAAACTTCTTTGCATAGTCTTTTTCATCTCAATGAATAGTATTATCATCTTTGTTTATGCCCGAAACACTGAGTCTTTCTTTAATTTTCCATATCAGCAGTTGTGCTTCCTCTGAAATTCTATTTTCTTTTTGAGATGGGGTCTCACTCAGTCACGCAGGCTGACGTGTAGTGGGCTCACTCTCATCTCACACAACCTCCTCCCACCTCAGCCTCCCAAGTAGCTGGGACTACAGGTGTGCACCACCACACCTGGCTAATTTTTGTATTTGGGTAGAGATGGGGTTTCACCATGTTGGCCAGGCTGGTCTTGAACTCCTGGGGTCAAGTGATCCACCCACCTCAGCCCCCTGAAGTGCTGGGATTCCAGGCATCAGTCACCGCAGCCAGCCTGCTTCATCTGAAATTCTGATATCTGAGAATTAGATGAGGCTTTTTCCCCCCTAGAAAAGAGTAGTTTTTGGGGTTTTTTTGTTTTGTTTTGTTTTGTTTTGTTTTGTTTTTGAGCCTGTGTCTCACTCTGTCTCCTAGGCTGGAGTGCAGTGATAGTTATGGGTCACTGCAACCTCAACCTCTCAGGCTCTAGTGATCCACCCCCTCTGCCTCACAAGTAGCTGGGACTTCACGTGTGCACCACCACACATGGCTAATTTTAGAAAAAAAAAATTTGAAGAGACAGTTTCTCCATATGTTGCCCAGGCTAGTCTCAAACTCCTGGGCTCAAGCAGTCCTCCCACCTCAGCCTCCCAAAGTGCTGGGATTGTTGTTGTGAGCTGCCACCAGGCCCAGCCTCGTTTTATATTTGAGACCATGCCAGATCTTTTCATCTCGCAGAGTACTTCCTGAGAATATTACCCCACAATTGCTAGTAAATAATATCATCAAAAAGTCAAGTAAATAAACCTTTAAAATATGCAATAAATGGTCTTGTAGAAATCACAAACAATTGTACTTATTGGATGAAAATATCTGTTCTACTATTATAAAAAAATTATTGTGGTTAGGAGTAATTTCCAGTGATAGCATTACATATACATAAAATATATACTTTACAGATCCAATTAAAGGAGGATGAATGTGAAGAAGTTGAATAAAAGTGTTGATACTGAGCTCTGGAGAACTCTTGGATAATTCCAAGAGGAAGTTTTACTGATGATGGTGAAGTTATTGATATCAGTGATTTAAGTAATGATCCCGAATAAGAATATTTTATAAATGCAATAATAGTACAAAAAAATGTTTCTTATCTTTCAGGTGTAAAGTTGATATTGTACATTTATTCTGCATTATATCCCTTACTTTTTCTATTATACCATTCAACAATATATACTAATGTTGCATTTTTATGTTTTTATTATTCACATTCTTAACTATATTACCTCACTTCTTCTCTGATCTTCTGATACTAAGTTCTGGACACATAGTAGATAATCATAGATTATTGTCAAAAAAGTAAACTAATCACTTCAGTATTTGATTGGAAATTGCTCCAGGCTCTTTCATCTCATGATCACTGTTCTTTGAGTATATTTAATATTTCCTTATTTAAAAGTTCATGTATTTAGCCAGGCGTGGTGGCTCACGCCTGTAATCCCAGCACTTTGGGAGGCCGAGGCAGGTGGATCATGAGGTCAGGAGATCAAGACCATCCTGGCTAACGTGGTGAAACCCCATCTCTACTAAAAATACAAAAATTAGCCAAGTGTGATGGCGCACACCTGTAGTCTCAGCTACTCAGGAGGCTGAGGCAGGAGAATCGCTTGAACCCGGGAGGTGGAGGTTGTGGTGAGCTGAGATCGCACCACTGCACTCCAGCGTGGTGACAGAGTGAGACTCCCTCTAAAAAAAAAATAAGGCTGGGCGCAGTGGCTCACACCTGTAATCCCAGCACTTTGGGAGGCTGAGGCGGGTGGATCACGAGGTCAAGAGATCGAGACCATCCTGGCTAACACGGTGAAACCCCGTCTCTATTAAAAATACAAAAAGTAGCCGGGTGTGGTGGCACATGCCTGTAATCCCAGCTACTCAGGAGGCTGAGGCAGGAGAATTGCTTGAACCTGGGAGGCAGAGGTTGCACTGAGCCAAGATCATGCCACTGCACTCCAGCCTGGTGACAGCACGAGACTCCATCTCAAAAAAATATATATAAACAGTAAAAATAAAAGTTCATGTATTTAAACATTTGTAATTTAAAAGTTCATTTTCATTTCTGTTAAAATTGTCAATGCCCAATAAGTACACATTATTTGAGGGAATTTTAAAAACTGGGATTATGGCGCCATTTCAGAAGCTTTATGCAATAAGCATAATAATTGAAGGAATTACACAGTATGGTTCATTTTTTTCTCTTTTTAGAAGTCTGGCTAGATAATCCCAAAATGTGGCTCCGAGATAATCAAGACAACCTTAAAAGTATGGAGAGAGGCCATAAATATGATGTTTTTGGAAAAATATTTAATTCAAGCATAAACATTGTTCATGTAGGACTGCGATCCCATAAATGTGGCACAGGAGAAAAAAGTTTGAAATGTCCTTTTGATTTGCTTATTCCAAAAAATAATTGTGAAAGAAAGAAAATTGATGAACTCAATAAGAAATTATTGTTCTGTATCAAACCTGGCAGAACCCATGGTGGGATAAAATACTGTGATTGCAGTACATGTAGAAAATCCAGCAACGAAGAGCCATGGCTCACTGCTAATCACATAACACACACAGGAGTCTATTTATGCATGGAATGTGGCAGATTTTTTAACAAGAAGTCACAACTTGTTATACACCAGAGAACTCATACAGGAGAGAAGCCCTATCAATGCAGTGAGTGTGGAAAAGCCTTTTCACAGAAGTCACTGCTCACGGTTCATCAAAGAACTCACTCAGGAGAAAAACCGCATGGGTGCAGCGAATGTCAGAAAGCTTTTAGTAGGAAGTCACTCCTCATTTTACATCAGAGAATTCATACTGGAGAGAAGCCGTATGGATGCAGTGAATGTGGAAAAGCCTTCAGTAGGAAGTCGCAGCTTAAAAGACATCAGATAACGCACACAATAGAGAAACCCTACAGTTGCAGTGAGTGTGGGAAAGCATTCTCCCAGAAATTAAAACTCATCACACATCAGAGAGCGCACACAGGAGAGAAACCCTATCCATGTAGTCACTGTGGAAAAGCCTTCTTTTGGAAGTCGCAGCTGATTACTCATCAGAGGACCCACACAGGGAAGAAACCTTACGGATGTGGTGAGTGTCAAAAAGCCTTCAGCAGGAACTCACTTCTCATTAGGCATCAGAGGATTCATACAGGAGAGAAGCCCTACGAATGCAACGAATGTGGTGAAGCCTTCATCAGAAAACCACAGCTGATTAAACATCAGATAACTCACACAGGAGAGAAGAACTATCGATGCAGTGATTGTGAGGAGGCCTTCTTTAAGAAGTCAGAGTTAATAAGACATCAAAAAATTCACTTAGGAGAGAAACCATATGGATGCATTCAATGTGGGAAAACCTTCTTTGGGAAGTCCCAGCTCCTAACGCATCACAGAACACACACTGGGGAGAAGCCTTATGAATGCAGTGAGTGTGGGAAGGCCTTCACCCAGAAGTCAAGCCTGATATCACATCAGAGAACACATACAGGTGAGAAACCCTATGAATGCAGTGAATGCAGGAAAACCTTCAGTGAGAAGTCAAGTCTCATTCATCATCAGAGAACCCATACTGGAGAAAAGCCCTTTGAATGTAGTGAATGTAGGAAAGCTTTTGCCTGGAAGCCACAGCTTCTTAGGCATCAGAGAATTCATACAGGGGAGAAACCCTATGAATGCAGTGAATGTGGGAAAGCATTTGTTCAGAAAGTGCAGCTCATTAAGCATCAAAGAAATCACACAGGAGAGAAAACCTATGGATGCAGCGATTGTGCAAAAGCTTTCTTTGAGAAGGCACAGCTGATTATACATCAGAGAATTCATACAGGAGAGAGACCATATAAATGTGGTGAATGTGGGAAATCTTTCACAAGAAAGTCACACCTTATGAGGCATCAGAGGATTCATACAGGAGATAAATACTATGGATGCAATGAGTGTGGGACCACCTTCAACAGGAAGTCGCAGCTTATGATACATCAGAGAAATCATATAATATAAAAATCATGACTTTGGCGAATGCAGAAAGGTTGCTATCAAGTGTCATACTTTCTGACACTTTTGAGGATGCATGTGGGAGAGAAACCCTATTGAGGCAGTGACTGTTGAAAAAGCTTGAATTGAGGAGTCAAGAGTCACTAAGCAGAATTTAGAAAGAGAAGTTTTTAAAAAGCAAACAGTGTAAAAAAAGTCATCTCCCAGAAGACACTACTCGTTACATATTGGATGACTCATTGAGGTGAAAACCTTATTAGTGTTGTGATAGTAGAGAAGCTTTTAGTCAAAAGTCAGTTTATTAAATGTTTAGAATACCTAAACAGGAAGAAAATTCTATTGTTTTTTATAACAAAGTGGAAGATTTCAAGAAAGGACAACTCACTGTACACTTGAGAATAATACCTACAGAGGTTCATACTGAAGAGTAGTCTCAATAATGTAAAGAATTTGACAAGCATGATGCTATTGAAATAGTTCTGTAAGGAAGTGGTGTTCTTTATACATCAATTATTACAAAAAGCAGTGAATTGTAAGTGTGAGGTGTGTTTACTTAGATGTGAAGAGTTCTCCTTACTGCTGTGATGGAATAACAAGGGTCAGATTTCCTCTCCTGCCTTAAACAACTGGAAGCTATACAATACGTATAATAGGTAATGGTTTTTAGACATAGGACAAGCACAGGTTTGTGATCCTCAGGAGACTGCAGACAGAGTGAGGTGAGCACCATGGTTTCTCAGCCTGCCCCCGCATGGCAGTTCCTAGGTTGCAGTTCAGGGAAGGGAAACAATAAATCTCGCTGAATTGAAGAGACAGGACTGGCAGTTGGGGAGGCCACAGCAGCTAGAATTTCCAGGGGAAAGTACTGGAGAGATGGGATCCTTCTAGATACAGGGCTCAAGAAGTCTGCTGGGAGTCCCCTGAGTCCTTTGACTTAGTACTGACTTGCACTGAGGCCAGGAAAAGAAGCACTGGAAAGCAGCAGGCTGAACAATTCCTGGAACTCATGCAGGGCTGGGAATAGTTTATGTTCTCAGCAGCCAGAGTGGAAACAGAGTGGAAACACATGGAGCATCAGGTAGAATTCTCAGAAAGGTTTTGTTTTAGTAGTGCAGCTAATTAACTCTAGATTAAAAGCTACTCTGGACCTACAGTGTCCGGCATCCAAAAAAACTAATGTGTTATGCAAAGAAGCAATAAAATATGACTTATAACCAGGAGAAAAATCAGTAGAAACCCAGAAAAGACAGAGGTGATGGAATTAGTAGACAAGGATATTAAAAGAGCTATTGTAAATATAAAGTAGAGGAAAACATAAGATTGATGAAACCTGAGGTATAAGAGATATTTTTACTGGCCAAAATGGAACTTCTAGGGATGAAATCAACTTCTGATTTTGTTAAAATCCCGAGTGGAGAGATTAGATACAGAAAAAGAAGAAAAAATCAATGAACTTGAAGAGTAAGAATAAAAACTACCAAAGTGATATACAGAGAGAAAAAAAGACTTAGAGAAGAGGAAGAGAATAGGAAAACCATTACAGTAGTGTAATATATGTTTAACTGGAGTCCCAGAAGGAGAGGAGAAAATGAAGAGGCATGAAGAAGTATTTGAATAAATAATGGCTAAAGATTTTCCAAATCTGGTGAAAACAATACCCCCACATATTCAAGAAGCTCAAATGACCTGAAGTAGAATAAACATAATTTACATCACAGCAGTGCACCTCAGAGTCACATTCATGAAAAGCACTGATAAACAGAATACTTTTAAAACACCTTGAGAAAAAAAGATAATACATACACATGAACAAAGAATGGCAGCATATTTCTGGTGAGAACTATGCAAGCTATAAGACAATGGAGTATTATCTCTAAATTCCTTAATGAAATAAACAACAAACCCTGCAACCTAGAATTCTGTTACTGTCAAAAACGTTTTCAAAAATGAAGGCAAAATAAAGACTGTTTCTGAGAAACTAAATCAAAGGTAATTTTATTACCTGTAGACCTGTCTTTGGGAAACATTAAAGGATGTTTGAGGGCAGCAGGAAAATAATACAAAACTTAAGTTTGGGTCTGTACAAAGGAATGAAGTTCTGAAAATGGTGAATATGTGGGTAAATATAAAAGATATTTCTCTCTTTTTAAAATCTTTTTAAAAGGGAATTGGCTGCTTAAAGCCAAAGTAATGATAACGTATTTGGAGTTTATTTAGAAGTAAAGTGTGATGACGATAACACTTAAGTGTGAATTTTTAAATATAGTTGAGTAGACTGCATCATCTGAGTTAGAAGCCTATTCCTTCAGGGCTCGGGGTAGCTTGAATTTGTAGCAGGCACATGACAGAAATTGTATGTATTGTGGATCTGCATGTGTGCTGAGTATTCCCTATTTCTTTGATCCCTTTTCCCCCATTTTCTGCTCTGCTCCCCCCTGAGGCTGTCTTCTAGAGACTGGGGTTTCTTCATAGGTTTGAACAGTGGGAGATACCAGAGGTGGGAGGAGAAAAAGTTATTTATTACCGTTCCCTTCCTCCTGCCTGGACCATGGTAGCTTCTGTGTTCCCGTAAGGATACAGCTTCCTTTGGGAAGCCCCATCTATGGCTGTAGATCTCTCGGTTTCAGTTGACACCATTCCCTCTCCATGATCTTCAGACTTAACTACTACTGGGTGCTTCCCCAACCCACTGGTTGGGTGTCTTTAATTGTGAACACATATTTGTAAATAGTGCCTTTATTAATTGTTCTTGAGTTAATATTCTGAGTGTGCCATTTATTTTCTGTGCCATCTGTTAAATGATGAGCATTTAATAAAATTGTGATAATCAGTTATCAGTACAAGTGCCGCATAGTGCATAGGCTGAAATGTCTCAAGATTCCCCACACTACATATCAGTATTTTCTATCTGTATCTGGACAATGCAGTAGAAATTATAACAAATACAAAGTTCTTTGTGCTTTTCTGCTGCATATGTCAGTGGCTCTGGAGATTGTTACCATCTGCTACATATATAAATAGACTTGCAGTTATTACTAAGCTCCTCTTCAGTAATAGAAAGACTTATGAAGTCTTTTACTACCTCTGGGTTAGCCAAACAACCTTCAAAAAGCATTGTTATTTAGGTTAAATATCTGTGGACAAGAAACAAGATAATCAGTTACTGAGTGAAGAAAGACGGGAATGATGTCCCATACTTCCCAGCTCTCTAAAGTGTTATGCTGTACAATTAAAATACCCCTGACCCATCATCTGCTACCATTCGTTGTGGATAATTCATGTAATCTCTAACCTGTGGGCAAGTCTTTACCCTTCAGTAGTCAAGATTACGTTAGAGACTTCGTCCACGAATCCACACCACCTTTCCCATCAGTTCTCACCGGAAATATGCTGCCAAAAAGAAAATCAGCTTTTCTAAGATCAAGCCAGAGTTGCTTCTCTTACAACCTTACGGCGCTAATGCATTAAGTTGAAGTCGACTGCCAAAGAGGCCCAGCAGAGGGCAGCACCCCCATCATTTTTTTGAATTTCTCCCTTAGGAATTTTGCCTTCCTTTGTCTTCTGTCCACCAGGCCTTCTCTCCAGCTGGACACAAACCTCCTTTGAAGGGAAATAATTGCCGTTAGGCTTCACAGTAGTGCTTTTTCCTTTCACTTGGATTTGCATTTTAACCTGCATTTCGAAGATTTTTATACATGTTTTCTATTTCCGACAATGCCAGGAGGCTTCATTGACGTTGTAGTCTGTGTTAATAAACTTGTGTATCACTCTGCTCTGATCTTTTAGGAATTAACTTGCAAATGAAATGAATATGTTGGGACTTTGGCATAATTTGAATATAGCATTGTGTGAGTTGTGATTGTCTCTTCCTAATTGTGCTGTAATAACCTGTGTATGAGAATAAAATGATTTCCACCATCAGGATTCTCCCATGCCCCCCTTTATTTTGCCATAGACTAAAGGGGAAAGGCCATTCTCACTCTCCTTACCTTAGAAAATTTTATTTGCCTCATGATGACTGTCTGCCGCTTAGAAGTAGACAATATAAAATCTCATCACTATTTCACAAGAATAAAATTCAAATCAGTTATATCCAAAGTAACTTTTCAACTGGGGGTGGTGTCTCACACCTGTAATCCCAGTGCTTGGGGAGGCCAAATTGGGAGGACCGCTTGAGCCCAGGCGTTTGAGACCAGCTGGACAACATAGCAAGACTCATCTCTACAAAAAAAAAATTTAATTAGCCATGAGAGGCTGGGTGCAGTGACGCAAGCCTGTAATCCCAGCACTTTGGGAGGCCGAGGTGGGTGGATCACCTGAGTTCAGGAGTTCGCGACCAGCCTGAATAACATGGTGAAACCCCGTCTCTACTAAATACAAAAAAATTAGCCGGGCATGGTGGCACATGCCTGTAATCCGAGCTACTTGGGAGGCTGAGACAAGAGAATCACTTGTACCTGGGAGGAGGAGGTTGCAGTGAGCCGAGATCACGGCATTGCACTCCAGTCTGGGCAACAAGAACAAAACTCCATCTCAAAAAAAAAGTTAGCCATGATGGTGCATGTCTGTAATCCCAGCTACTTGGGAAGCTGAGGCAGAAGGGTCACTTGAGCCCAGGAGTTCAAGGCTGCAGTGAGCCATGATGGGGCCACTGCATTCCAGCCTGAGTGACAGAGTGAAACCTTGCCTCTTAAATGAATAAAAATAAAGTAAGCTTTCTTCAACAAGTTTTCTTCCAACGCCACACACTCCATCACCATATTAATTTAAATTATTTAGTATGTAGCAGATTTACTTTGAGACCAAATCTGTGAAGTTGGTGATGATATTTAATAATTCTTTATTTCCCTTATGGGATCTTTGCAACTTAGAACACAATTATTACTCATTGTATCCGGGTCATTTAACATCTTGTCAGAATGCTAACATTAAATAAACCAGGCCAGGCGCGGTGGCTCACGCCTGTAATCCCAGCACTTTGGGAGGCCAAGGCGGGTGGATCACGAGGTCAGGAGATCGAGACCATCCTGGCTAACACGGTGAAACCCCGTCTCTACTAAAAATACAAAAAATTAGCCAGGTGAGGTGGCCAGCGCCTGTAGTCCCAGCTACTCAGGAGGCTGAGGCAGGAGAATGGCGTGAACCTGGGAGGTGGAGCTTGCAGTGAGCCAAGATCACACCACTGCACTCCAGCCTGGGTGATAGAGCGAGGCTCTGTCTCAAAAAAATAAATAAATCAGGCGCTGGGCGCGGTGGCTCACACCTGTAATCATAACACTTTGGGAGGCTAAGGCAGGCAGATCACAAGGTCAGGAGTTCGAGACCAGCCTGGCCAATATGGTGAAACCCCATCTCTACTAAAAATGCAAAAATTAGCCGGGCTTGGTGGCACGTGTGTAGTCCCAGCTACTCCGGAGGCTGAGGCAGGAGAATCGCTTGAACCCAGGAAGCCGATGTTGCAGTGAGCTGAGATCACACCACTGCACTCCAGCCTGGGTGACAGAGCAAGACTCCATCACACACACACACAAAAAAACAGGGAACACCAAACTTATTTAGTGATACCTAAATCTCGAAATGTGCACAGCAAAAAGAATGTAGCTATCGAGGCATTCACTGTTAAGATGAAAAGAAATGTAAGTGAAGGGACATTTATAACTTGAAGTTCTCATTTAAGAATTACTGGCCAGGGCCGGGCATGGTGGCTCATGCCTGTAATCTCAGCACTTTGGGAGGCCAAGATGGGTGGATCACGAGGTCAGGAGATTGAGACCATCCTGGCTAACAAGGTGAAACCCCGTCTCTACTAAAAATACAAAAAATTAGCCGCGCGTGGTGGCGGGCGCCTGTAGTCCCAGCTACTCGGGAGGCTGAGGCAGGAGAATGGCGTGAACCCGGGAGGCGGAGCTTGCAGTGAGCTGAGATCGCGCCACTGCACTCACTCTGGCCTGAGCGACAAAGCGAGACTCCATCTCAAAAAAAAAAAAAAAAAAAAAAAAGGCATTACTGGCCAGATGTGGTGGCTCATGCCTGCAATCCCAGGACTTTGGGAGGCCCAGCTGGGAGGAGAGGAGAGCTTGAGCCCAAGAGTTTGAGGCCAGCCTGGGCAACATAGTGGCACTTTGTTCTCCACAAAAATAATTAATAAAGCAAGTAAGCATTCCTATCACTAAAAGTACTTAAAAAAACAAATCAAGCTTAAACTTACAATAGGGGGTGGGAGAAGTGAATTAACTTTTTATTTTCATTAGTGCGTGCTCATGTGAAAGGAGCAGTTAGGCAATGGAGTGTTACCACTGCAGCCAGGCAGGTCTAGTGTAGATTCGTCCCCAAACCATGGTATTTGCCAGGCAGCTCTGAGGGTATGAACAAGGCATGTGCATTGTGTCCTGTTGTGTGTAATGCGTTTGTATGAAGCAGATTCTGTAAGAAGATGATGTTGGCTGAGATGTGGGCCAGCTGTACTTCACTGCTTCATTACAAGGGTAAGGCTGGCCAGGTGCGATGGCTCACGCCTGTCATCCCAGCACTTTGGGAGGCCAAGGTGGGTGGATCACTTGAGTTCAGGAGCTCAAGAGCAGCCTGGCCAACATGGCAAAACCCTATCTCTACTAAACATACAAAACAAAAAAAATAGCCGGGTGTGGTGGAGCACCTGTAAACCCAGCTGCTCGGGAGGCTGAGGTGGGCAAATCACATGAACCCAGGAGTTGGAGGTTGCAGTGAGCCAAGATGGCACCACCACTGCACTCCAGCCTGAGCAACAGAGTGAGACTCCGTCTCAAAAAAAGAGAAAACAAGGGTGGGGCTAAAAGGCTAATAGCTAACTGAAAATGAGCAGCTGTTTTTCATTCTGTGAGGAGCATCTTGTATAAGCCGTAGTGTTTGATCCACTCATCATTGCATGGGCAGCTGTGCGAGGTCAGACCTGTTACTGACACTTCCTTCTGTGCTCTGTTTGAAAAGAAAATCTCTGTATGCAAATGTTAACTGAGTAAACTGTTTCATGAATTCATATGTGTGAGTGTGATCACTGGGAGCAATTTGCAAAT